>NW_018654717.1:0-600000 GCF_000001405.40 Homo sapiens
CTGACCTCAGGGGATCTGCCTGCCTCGGCCTCCCAAAGTGCTGGGATTACAGGTGTGAGACACCACATCCAGCCCAGCCTACTTTTATACTATGAACAAAACTTCTTAGAATTACCAACTTAAGTACAATAGAAGCTTTTGAAATTAGCTGGGGGGAAATTGAGTCTCTAAGTAAGGAGGAGTAAGAGCAAGAAGATCAGAAGGAACCACAGAATCAAACACTTTCAAAAGGAAAGAAAATTAGGAAATTGTTCGGTGCCATCCCTTCATTTCAGAGGGGAAGAACTAAGGACTAGAGAAGTCAGGTCACCCCGACAGGACCCTATGTCCCTCCTTGTCGCCTGACCTCTCCCTGTGAGTCTCAGTGGTCCTGGTCCCACAGCAGGTGCTTGGGGACCCAGAAAGAGGCCAGGTCTCCTGACACCCAGCCCCGCTCTTGTTGGGTCCCTGAATCTGGAATGGTTACTCATGTTGGGGGAATTTTATATTCTTTTTTCCAAAAGTTGATATCCAGCTAGAATCTGTCCTTCCTGAGAGCTTGTCACTGCCCTTTCTCTCCTCCCTGCCTGTACTCCTGTTCGCTTGGGACTCACACTCCTTGCAAAAAAGCTTGTTTCACCCAGGGGTGAGTTTTGTAACTAGAGCAGGGAGTCCTTGCCTTTCATTCCAATGCATTCCCCAAAAGCAGAAAAGTGTTATGCGATGGGAGTTTGCATTTTGGACCAAAGACTCCGCAGCAAATAAATCATGGAAACGAACAATATGTCCTTAAACCAAGATGTAACTGTAAACCTCTACTGTCTTATGAAATAACAATACTGTGCTTTGAGTAGCCAGACCACATAGTAGCTGGACTCTAGACTCTAAGCAGGGATGAAGTCAGTGGCTGCTGATCTGGGCCTTCCCCAGAAGGATGCCAAGAGATCAAGTTTTGTTTTTAAGTTCTGTGAATCACAGACATTATTTTTGTAATCTTTTTTTTTATGACACAGAGTCTCACTCTGTCACCCAGGCTGGAGTGCAGTGGCACGATCTCAGCTCACTGCAACCTCCACCTCCCAGGTTCAAGCAATTCTCGTGCCTCAGACTCCCAAGTAGCTGGGATTACAGGTGTTTGCCACCATGCCCAACTAATTTTTGTATTTTTAGTAAAGATGGGTTTCTCCATGTTGGCCAGGCTGGTCTCGAATGCCTGACCTCAAGTGATCTACCCCCCTTGGCCCCCCAGAATGCTGGGATTACAGGCATGAGCCACCATGCCTGGCTTTGTAAAAAATTTTTAAAGCCAATTTGCTTGTTTAAAAAACTGAATCCACACTGGTAAGTTTTGTTTTAATAAAAAAATTGTGAGTAAGTTGTAAAGCTTTTGATAAGTTCAGTGGCTCCTGTAGGCAGACAATAAATTGCTAAGTCCCAAAGTGTTGCAAGATTCTGGAGAGTACTTTGTTCATACTTTGAAGAATATGCCTGATTATAAGGCAACACAAATTACTGAAGCCTTGAAATGATGAGGTTGTTTCCATTTACTCGCACATAAAATAATATATCTAAAACATCTAGCAACTCTCAAAAGAAGAGAGTAAAAAGCTTTTGAGAAATCAAATACAATTCATTCCAATTCAACTTGAAAATTCCCAACAGTCCGTGTTGCATTTTATACATCTTGAACCAAACCATGGCTTTGAGTAAAGGCTTCATTTAAAAACCTAACCTATATATGGTGGGTGTTCATGTTCTATTAAAGCAAGGTCCCTGTCCTAGTTGGAGGGAACTTCCCTAGGTCCGGCAGCATAAACCAGTGCCTGTCGACCAGGGAGTGTCAGGAGGATGTGCTGCTTCCTGCCCCCTCCCACACAGGGAGCAAGGCTGTGCTGAATGGAGATATTCTAGTAAGGAGGAGAGTGTATGTGAGAAGGTGTATGTGAGAAGGTGTGGCATCCACAACAAAACTAATAAAGCATCAGCAACCTTAGGTGATGCGGTTTGGCTATGTCCCCACCCAAATCTCATCTTGAGTTCCCACATGTTGTGGGAGGTAATTGAATCACAGGGACAGGTCTTTCTCATGCTGTTCTCGTGATAGTGAATAAGTGTCATAAGAGCTGATGGTTTCATAAGGGGGAGTTTCCCTGCACAAGCTCTCTTCTCTTGTTTGCCACCATGTGAGATGTGCCTTTCACCTTCCACTATGAGTGTGAGGCCTCCCCAGCCACATGGAACTGTAAGTCCATTAAACCTCTTTCTTTTGTAAATTGCCCAGTCTTGGGTATGTCTTTATCAGCAGTATGAAAACAGACTAATGCATTTGGAAACCAAGAGGCTGATGGTGTTCAGGACACACTGTCCCCATTTATAGCACCTTGGCATTTCAGAAAATCGCAAAAGCAGGAAGGCCCCTCTCACTTTCCCCTCCTTGCCCTTCTCCCCTGGGGCAGGTTATAAGATCCTCATTTGGGAGAGTCTTTCCCAATACTTGGAGGAAAGGAACATCCTTGTCTCTGAAGACACAGAGCACAGAGAAGAATCAGAACAAACAGGCCTTTCTCAGTGACCCCAGTTTATCACCATTAGCTCACTCCCAGTTTGTCTAATCACCTCCTCCACCACTATCCACTCTTCATCAAACCTAAGTACAAAATACCCAAGTTTGCCTGTTTCTGTGGGTCTTCCTTTCCTTGTGATAACTCCTGAGTCACATGAAACACATACTAAATATGTGTGCCTGTTTTCCTCTTGTTACTCTTTAGTTACAGGGAAGGGCCCCAGCCATGAACCTAGCAATGGGTGAGGAAAGAAATCTTTCCTTCCCTACTGATATGGTTTGGCTGTGTCCCTACTCAAATCTCATCTTGAATTGTAGCTCCCTCAATTCCCATGTGTTATGGGAGGGAACCAGTGGGAGATAATCGAATCATGGGGGCAGTTTCCCCCCATACAGTTCTCATGGTAGTGAATAAGTCTCATGAGATCTGATGGTGAATAAGGGGAAATGCCTTTCACTTGCTTCCCATTTTTCTCTCTTGTCTGCTGCCATGTAAGACATGCTGTCCACCTTCTGCCGTGATTGTGAGGCCTCCCCAGGCAGGTGGAACTGTGAGACCATTAAACTTCTTTCTCTTTATAAAGTATCCAGTCTTGGGTATGTCTATATCAGCAGCATGAAAACGGACTAATACACCTACCAGGCCCGGATTTGTTTGGCAATAAAGTGATCCATTCACGCCCAAGAAGTGGGTGGAGCTGGGAAAGGCCAGACCAACCATTTGGAATAGTGTTTTTTGATCCACCCCCAGGAGGTGAGGATTGGCAGGGGCTGAGGGGAGTGCTCACCTCCAGCAAGGTGAGCTGGAGCCCACAGCAGGACTCCAGCCTCAGCAGAGGAACTGGAGAGCAAACCAGGAAAGGCAGACAGAGCTGACTCACGTGCGAGGGTGGGAGAGGTCGCACGGCCTGCCCGGACCCTGATGAGCTGAGCACAGTGAAAACAATGCCAGGCCTCACCTGCCCGTGCTTACCGGCTGGTGGCAGGGGGGCTGAGCAGGTGTTGAGGTGTTCACAGGTGAGTAGGAGAGGAAAGGCAGACGTCGGCCTAAAGGCAATCGCAAGGAGAAATGCGTTGAGAATTGTAGCACTGTATCCATCAAAAAGGAAGCTCATCTTTCACTGGGTGTCTTTCTAATTGTTAGACTTGACACTGCATTTGCTGCCCTGATTTCTTGTCCTAACCTTCAAGCTTGTTAGAACAGGGACTCAGGGACTCTGTTTTCTTCTCCTGTGCTCAGTGCAGGGCAGCAGGACTCACTTGCTAAGTGCTCACTGACAGATGTAAGATTATTGTTAGAGATATGGACCCGCTTGCTCTTCTGAGCCTCCGTGATTCTCATTCGGTCCTTTGCTGTCATTAGAATCGTCTGGGGAGAATTTTGTCACTCCTGCTACTCTGGCCAAACCTCGTATACTTCAATCAGAATGCTCGGAGTTGGGGCTGCAGCAACTGGAATTGTTTCAAACTCCCCGGGTGACTGCCCTAGCAGTCAAGTTTGAGAACCACGGGCATGGTAAAATCTTTTCTCAGCCTGAGCAGCCCATTAGCTTCACCTAGGGAGCTTTAACAATCACTAATGCCTAGGCCTCACCACCCTCCATCCCGTGTTCTGACTTAATTAGCGTGGGGTGGGGCCCCTAAAACAACATTCTAACAGCTTCCCAGGCGATGAGAATGCACAGCTAGGATGAGCTTCTCCTCTGAAGCATGAAGACCCACAGAATACTGCAGAGTTGCTGGGGGTGGCCCTGCCCAAATTCTCGCCTAAAACCCCAACTTTCAATGACATTGTGGACCTGCTTTCGTGTTATTATAAGGTTTACAAATTTCTATGCCACCTATCAGACCATTTTTTAAGGATGAAATCAAAGTTTCTATAAGTTGTGTAGTTCTTTCCCTGTGCATTTTATCGTAATATTGAAAAACGACAGTGAAAAGCAACCAAGGCATCTCGGCAGCATGCTGCTGACTAGTTCACGCAGTTACCACCAAAGCGCATGGACGGGACCCAGAGCATGAGCGTGTGCCCACTATCGGGGACAGAAACCTACCGCGTTCGAGTTTTGACATATTTCTCGCAGTTGTTGAAAACTATGAGGCATGAAATCCAGATTTATGACTTTTTAAAAAGTTATTTGTGGATTCCCAAGACGATTATGTTCCCATCACTTATGTAGCCTTAAAAGAAAAAAACCTCAAATGATGCTTTAAAAAAATCCAAGTTTGGCGCTCATTGAGTTCCAGTGTCAGTTGTCTGAATCGCCTTCAGCGAAAGTCAGGGGGAAAAAATACATTCCGCCTTCCTTTAACTGCTAGTTCGTCATGGAGAACAGAAAGTCCCATTTGCATGTGGCTTTTGGAAAAGCTAAGCCGGGAGCGATTATCCTGATGCGCTTTTACTTTTTGCATAAAATAAGAATTTGAGGAGGATGTCCCGGGAGAGTGAGCCACTTCTCATTTCCCAGGCCTCGCCTGCCATGCTCTTTGACAACATCATAGATTTTATTTTTGCCGGGAATCTCATTATCAAAGCAATGCCCCCCGCCCCCCCCCCACACACAGACTGCCAGGTAAACCACAGAGGGTGAGGGGGGTGCAGGTCATGGTTGCCTTATTACACACCCTCCTCTGCCATCACCTCCTTTTTTGTCTGGATAAGTTCTTTGGCAGTTCTCTCAACTTTTATTTCTGAAACATCCTGAAACATCTCAGTATTAAAAGCAAGGCCGATTATATAAACGATACTCCCAGGCCTGACAACACATGGTTTTGCCTGAGGCCTTTACTGCCAAGAGCCGTAAGGACCCTCTAAGTCATGTTCGCTATTTTTACTGGCCTTGAGAGTCTCCTTGCTTTGACATCCTCTTGTCTCCATTGTCAGACTGTTAAATGCTCATGCTTCTGGTTCTCTTAAATAGATGCAGATGTGTGGGGCTGGGTTGCCACTGAGCCCTCTTCTCTTTTGCAAGAGCTGGGATGCAGACAGAAGGCGGTTTGGAAAACACGAGCCACCTTGATTTTAGACAAACTCTAAGTTACAATCAGGTGTCTTCATTTATGACATTTAACTTTTACTTAACCTAATCAAGCCATGTTGTTGGCTACTGATTAGAATATCCTTTTATAACTTACCTTAAATCTCACTACTTGTTCCAACCATCCCAAAGTCTGGCGTCAACTGTCATTGCATGCTGCTCTTTTCAGCCTTTCTAGTTCGACTCTTAGCAAAAGCCATAATCTTCCTCCAGTCTGTTTCCTTTCTGCAGTGACAAAATTGCCCAGGGAAAGGAAAAAGAACAGCATCTATCTTCTTTCTTTTTAGCTCCCTGGTTTAAGGCTTTCTTTTCCCCCATGATGAAAAACTATAATCATTCTGCTTAGAAAGTACAGACCCCTAAGCCCACTTCCAAAAGAAGGATGCATTTTCAAGTCTGTTATCTTTACTTTCCCAGAGCCTGGGGGTCTCCCAGGCCAGAAGTTGACAGAACTGTCTTCATACACTCGAGACAACTTCATGCCCATTTCCTTAAAACTAAGAACATAAGACGCTGATTTTTCTTCCAGAAAAAAAAAAACCTTTCTTGTTCTTTCAAGAACTGTTTCACGGACAGTGTTTCATATTACAAAATTGAAACTTGGGACTTTTGAACTGCAAATTTAGCAGAAAATGAATCCATGCGCTTGTGGCTTTGCTTGTCACCTCTACTCAGATGTCTCCCAGACCCCTCTCCAGCTGCAAGCTGCAGGCAGAACTGTTCCTCTAAAAGAAAACAAACTCCTGTTTTTCCTACTACTGCTACTGCTTCTACTGTTGCTACACACACACATACACACACACTCTCTCACACACACACTCACACACACACACACACACTCAGAAAACACTTCTGACACCAAATGTATGGGTTTTTTTCATGCCAAACAATTCTGCAGTTCACTGCAGACACCAGCTGAGTGTCCTACAATCCAATTGTGGCACCGCCTGCCTGGAGTTAGCAGGTGAAGGACTCAGCCCCGCAAGCCTGCCCCCCTACCCATGCCAATTGCTTGTCCCAAATCCCCGTTCTAACTGACCAGCGGTAAATCAGGGGTTGCCACAACCCCCTCCTGGGATTTGTAACTTGCTGCAGCAGCTCACAAAACTCAGAGAAACACTTAACATTGACCAATTCATCACAAACGTTATTTTGAAAGGATGTGAATGAACAGCCAGAGAAGAGATGCACAGGGCCCGGGGCCGGGGAGCAGGGCATACGGAGCTGCCATGCCCTCTCAGGGGGCATCACCTCCTGCACCAGGGTGTGTTCAACCCCAAAGCTCCTGAACCCTTTAACGTCAGGATTTTTTTTTATTTTTTTTTAAAGACATAGTCTCACTCTGTCTCCCAGGCTGGAGTGCAGTGGCGCCATCTCAGCTCCCTGCAAGCTCCGCCTCCCGGGTTCTCGCCATTCTCCTGCCTCAGCCTCCCCAGTAGCTGGGACTACAGGCGTCCGCCACCACGCCCGGCTAATTTTTTGTATTTTTAGCGGAGACGGGGTTTCACCGTGTTAGCCAGGATGGTCTCGGTCTCCTGACCTCGTGATCCACCCACCTCGGCCTCCCAAAGTGCTGGGATTACAGGCGTGAGCCACCGCGCCCGGCCTGACGTCGGGATTTTTAAGGAGCTTCATTACATAGGCAGGACTGATGAAATCATTGGCCATTGAGTGAACCCCAGACCTTGCGGGGGTGGGGCTGAAAGTTTCAACCCTCCAAAGATTGGGCACGTTCCTCTGGCACTCGGCCCCCAGCCTCCAGGAGCCACCTCATTAGCATACACGCAGGTAGGGTTGGAAAGGGCTTGTGATAAATGATGAAGGACGTTCTTCTGCATCGCTCGGGGAATTCCAAGGGTTTAGGGGCTCACTGCCAGGAACCCGGGGCAGAAACCAAATACATATTTCTCGTTATAGCACAGTGTCACCCCCTCACTCTGCCTAATTTGGTGACTAGCTGCCCCATCACATTCTGCCTATTTAAGCCAAGCCCCCCTTCCCCAAGGCCAACCTCCTCTCCTCCACAGCCAGCCCACTTCCCGGGCGTGATAACTCTTCTGCCCCAGCTGGAGAGTTGTTCTGAGGCTTTCATCCTTCTCCACGTGCCGCCTGGCAGTGCTGCTGCCTGTCTTTTGAGGGCTACCCCTTTCTCCATTACCTCTGCGACCTGGCTAGTCCACATCCTCCCCGACCCGTGCTCTTCAGCACCGGTGCCTGCCCCGCTCAGTGCATGTCCTCATCCCTGCAGCCTCCACCCTGGGCTTCCTGACCCCCACTGCGTCCGGCACCGCTGGTTGCGGGCCTGCTCCGGCTCTCTCTGCCCAGCTGGCTGGCCTGCCTCTGTTCCGACCTCCCCTGCCTGGCCTGGTGTTCTGGGCGCCTCCTCCGCTCACATCGCCGCTTCACCTGCTTTTGCTATCTGCACTTTCCATGTCCTGCTCCTTCTCCCAGCTGGTGGTGCCTCTGAGAAGAGGACTGAGAACCGCCTGTGAACCCCGCAATTTCGTGGGTGTGGTGGAAGCAAAGGCAGAGCGTGTGAGTTTAGTGGGCGTGCGCCACTCTTTCAAGAAGTTTTGTTACAAAAAGATGCAAAGGAAGTGAAGAGGGAAGGGGTTTGCAGGTTGGGAGAAATAACAGCATTTGTGTTCTTTGTTGTTGTGACGGTTTTGAGCCAAAACATGACAAACGGGACAGAAGGAAGACCTGATGGAGCGTGTCCTTGAGAAGGCGAGAGGCATGGGGTTGGCCTGCTGGGGGATCGGCCTTCCATATGGGGGTTCCTCTCCAGCAGCCTGGGGTTCTGAGGAAGGCAGGCCTGCAGCAGGTGCCGGGTGCCGGGAAGCAGGAGACATCTCTGTTACTCCACTGTCCTCAGTGGGGAGCCACGGCTGAGCGTGAGAAAGGGCTTATAGGCTGAAGGCCAGGCAGACGGGAATGGCCAGGCAGAGGAGGGGAGGACGAGCCGGGTAGAAACAGTGGATAGAAACACGGAGGGCCACACGGCCAACGGTCAGGGGACTGGCACACCAGCCAGATTCACCCGCGGCGATGCCGGTGCAGAGAAGCTCGGCATCTGAATTTAACCCGGGTTGTGGTTTGACTCAGTCTGACGTGGAGAGAAGGGCCAGGGAGTCACGGGGGGGTGGTGGGCTGTGTGCTGGTTTAGGGGCTGGGACATGGAGGGGTGAAGGCGGGAGTCAGTCGCATCCGCTGGGCAGGGGCCTGGGGCTGCAGACAAGGTGGGAGGTGGCAGCTACGGAGGAAGCTGCAAGGGATTCTGCAGTTCCCCGGGGAGACAGGAGCCCAAGGGACCGGGGGGTGAGGGGGTTGGAAGGGGCACCTGTGGATGTCCTGAGACTTCCAGGAAGTGGGACAGGATCAGTGATGGAGATAGAGACAGAGTCATCAGGGCCGAGAGGAATGACAGTAACAGCGAGGTTGAAGTGGGCACCCCCGTCTAGCAGCACGGGGTGTGGAGCTGGCTTGTGGACGGCCAGGGAACAGGACGCTTTGAGGTGGCAGCCAGGGGCAGGGATGCTTTTGATCGCCAAGGGAGAAGACTTGATGCAGAGTTTCAGGAGCCTCCATGACTTCCCCATCTGAAGACCTTTTTTACTTTAATGGGATTGAAGTGATCACCAGAATAGTTAATGGTGTGCTCCGTTCCTATTTCTCTGGTTTTTCTAAGGTCCACAGGCTGCAGACATCGTTTGTACTTCTCCCTGGTGCCAAAGACCAGTTAATGCCGACTTTGATGGGCTCAGTGCAGGCCACATTGTCACGTGTAACTCTACACTGAGAATTATTTTAGAAGGTTAGACTCCTAAAAATGTTTTGTTTTTCCAAATGGTGGCCTCTGGGTCTGACTTCACCTCTTTTGCAATGATCAGCACTAGGATATGGTTTTGGAGACGGTTGTGCAGAGCCAGGGCTTTCACCAAAGCTTGGCCGCTCGGACAGGACTCACGATGGAAGACGGTCAGGTGCCCCAGGTTTCAGATGCCTGCCTCCTCCCATGCGTGGTGAGGGGCCTGCCTCCTTTATAGCTTTCCGCTGCCAGGCTGGCGCCTCCTCCCCTCACCCCCATCTCCTCCAGAGGAAGACCAACTTAATCAAATCTTACCACAACTACGTACTGCCTCCTGGAAAAAGCCTGATTTCTCGCCCCCTCTTGTCCCTCCCTGCGTGGAGGCAGGCCCTTTGTCCAGTGCCCATGTGGCTTGGTGGGTGGTCTTTCTAAGTTATCAGAGGACATTAGCAAACACACACGTCCGTTGGCCTAACGCCCAATCTGCAGCCAGCCTTATGAATAATCAACGTGACTTGTCTCTGTAGTTCAATGCCTATATCTGCCTCTCAGTTGTTATTGAAGCTGGGGGCAAAAAAGATGGATTATTCATTGGAAACCTCAAAACCTCGACAGCTGAGCTTTCTTACACATGCCTGTGTGGCCCCCGTGGTATCTTAGTGTTCACCTCCCCATTTGCACACAGGAAGCCAGTCACATTACTGGATTCCTGGTGAGTTTGACTTTTCATTCTGTCTTGAATCTCCCTCCCTTCCCCAACCCCATACCCCACCCTACTCCATCCCTTTTTCTTGGGTCTTCCTGATCTCAACCCCTCCATCTGTCCTCCACGTTGTCTGCATAGTGAGCCTCCTAACACACGGATCCCCCCATGGCCTTGTCTGCTCAGGTTTCTAAGGTCCCCAGTAACCACGCTCACACTGCGTAAGCACGAACGGTCTGGTCCACACCTCATCACTTGGCGTGCATGTGAATGTTTTAGCAAGTTAGCTCTTGCAATTATTGCCTGCCGATCCCCTGGGCTGCATTCACACATGCCGTGAGTCTTCAGACACCCAGGTCTCAGGACCTGAGGGGCTCCTGTGTGCTTTCCGTGAGGAACTGTCTTTCTGCTCACGACTCCATGTCACATGCCACCATCAGGAAGTCCTCCCTCAATGCCCCAAGCCTACTCAGGCTCCCACTTTCCTGCCCATGAAATGTGTGTAACTTCTAGGGTGTCCTGAGAAGCAAAGACCATGTCCCTGCATTTTTGCATCCTCAGAACTTAGCCTGATACTCACAATGAAATGAGTTCACTTAACGACACAACGAACGAATGTGCAGGTACTTCTGCAGGGGGTGATGTGGGGATGCGTGCATTGATTCTGTGGCTCAGCCCTGAGTTGGGGGCAGGAGGCAGGTGCTGGGAGGAGGATTTTATGTCTTAGGAAGCACAGGAAGGCCTTGCCAGGATCCAAGAAAAAATGGAAAGTAGACCAATGTAAGCGTTAAAAGAACACATTTTATCTTTTAAATGTGTGTACACAGTACAGTTGACTTTTTTGTATACAATTCTATGAGTTTAAACACACATATAGATTAGCGTAACCACTAATTATAAGATTGTAGGGAACTGGGGAAAAAATGCATGCATTAAGGAATGATACGGCATATTTGGGGGACAGAGAACAGGCTTGATGAGGACAGAGTCTATTTAAAAGAGACAGTGGGCACCGCAATTGGAGGGGAAGGCGGGGCAGGGTTTTAGAGAACCCCTGAGTGCTGGGCTACAGGATTCAGTAAAGTTATTGATGAGATTGGCTGCATTGTGGATTCTGAAATATTTATTTAATACCTCGAGGAGGGTGTGAGTAGATTGTGCTGATGATCGCATAACTCTGACTATACTAAGAACCACTGAGTTGCACCCAGAGCTTGCATTACTGAGCGCTTTACCAGTTAGGAAGGTTTCGCGTATTCCGTACTTTAAATCTAAGGTGACTTGACTGTAAGGCCTGCGAGTATTTCCTGGACCACTCAGAGGAAGAATGCTGTGAATGAGAACTACAGCCCTGTAAGACACGTCCTGTATCATTGTTGAGATGGGAAAGTGCATCTTAAGACAGTTAGCAGGCCAAGGAGCGACTTTAAAGGGTGAGCTCTGCCTAGAGGGAAAAGCGAATGCACTAATTGAAATCCAACACCCTGGGCTGGAGTAAATGAACCGTCAGCCACCCATGGGGCTTCATTTCTTGGTGATGGATAAATAGCTGGGATTCCTTGAAGCTAGAAGCCATGGGGAAATTCTGTTCTGCTTAGCTTTGTCAACAGTACAGTCTGCCTTAACTGACTTGGAGGTAAATAGATTCGGAGAGTGTGAGCTAAAACCCATTAAATCAGGTGAAGACACAAAGGCAAGCACAGCCAATGTGGTTTAAGGCAAAGCTAATGTCCCTTCGGCCTTAACTGACGGACTTTCCTAGCAGTCCTCACCCTCTGCAACCCAGGGCTCCTAGGAGGAGCTCATGGCAGAGAAAGCCTTCTGGCTTCTGCCACTGCCTCCTCAACTACATGTATACATCAGTGTATATGCATGGGTATGAAATGAACATTTTATGTCACCATTAGCAGAGGAAAGCTGGAACTCTTTCAAACCCCACCCAAAATTCACTCTGACTACTGAGCAGTCCTGTTGTTTATTTTGGAGGCCACTTAACCCTGGAGCAGTCCATAAGCTCCACTTAATCCCCTCTTCTTTCATGATTTCTTTTAAAGAGACATCTTGGGTTCTGTAGGGGAACATTTGTGCTTCACTGTAAAACTCCATTTGAGGCCTGCTCACGGCCTGCCACCTTATCTGCTTGCAGCCTTCATTGCTTGGGAGCTGTTTTACAGCTTCATAAGTTGTAAATAGCTGCTGGCAATGCAAACGCGCTTGTCTGTGGGCAGGAAATGAATTCTGTCTGGTAGAGGGAATGCTTCCTACCTTGTAGGAAAGCCAATATTTTTTGTCCATTAGCAAGTTTATATCAGTATTCCTAATCATTAAATGTGTTCTTCGGATTGTCCTTTGAACCAGTTATAGCATTTGAGTTAAGTAAAATGAATACACTGTTGTTTATTTTATACCTGTATGAAAGTTATGGGTTTTTTGGTGGGGGGGGGGTGTTTTTTTTGTTTTTTTTTTTGTTTTTTTTGAGGTGGAATCTCGTTCTGTCGCCCAGGCTGGAGTACAGTGGCGCAATCTCGGCTCACTGCAAGCTCCTCCTCCCAGGTTCACACCATTCTTCTGCCTCAGCTTCCCAAAAGTTATGATTTTTAAAAAATTATCTTTTAACATTTTTTAGCTAGAAACTTCTGGGTCAATATATAAATAGATGAGCCTGGTTATATCTGAGGTTTTCACTGAGGTAACAACAAAAATAAAACAACACGATGCCACCGAGCCATCGTTCCCCAACTTACGTCTGTCCCCTCCACATGTCCTGCACGCACTCCTGTTTCTGGGGTGTGTGCATGTGTGTGTGTGTGTAAAGGTTTGCAATGAAATTAGAATCATTGGTTTTTGTTGGGGGTGGGGAGTTGTATTGTTTTGAGACAGGGTCTCGCTCTGTCACCCACGCTGGAGTGAAGGGTCACAATCACAGTTCACTGCAGCCTCAACTTCCTGGGCTCAAGTGATCCTCCCACCTCAGCCTCCCAAGTAGCGGAAACTATAGGCATGTGACACCATGCCGGGCTTGCTTATCTATGTCTGTCTGTCTGTCTGTCTATCATCCATCTATCTATCTATCTATCTAATCTATCTATCTATCTATCTATCTATCTATCTATCTATCTATCTTTCTATCTATCTAGATGGGGTCTGCCTATGTTGCCCAGGCTGGTCTCAAACTCCTGGGCTTAAGCAATCCAACTACCTCAGCCTCCCAAAGTGCTGGGATTACAGGTGTTAGCCACTTTGCCCAGCTGAAGTTAGAGTTTAGAGCACATTGCTGTAAATTGCGATTACCAAGGGTATTGAAAAATCCATGAAAATAATAAACAGCAAGTTGACTTCAGAATTTGTGCGTTTGAGGCTTTTCGCCTTGATCTCCAGGTAACACACAGGCTCCTTGGCGAGAGCCAGTGGTGATACAATGAGAACACCGCCTGCTGCATCTAATATTTGCAGCTTAGAATTCACAGCTAACTTTTTAAAATGTACCAGTGTGGGGGAAATGGTGCTTTATTTGCTGGATAGGAAAATTGGCCAAGATCAGAATTCTGAAGGCAGTGTCACAGCACAAAGAAACTAGCTACTGAAGTCACATCCTAAACATTCGAGAGGTTGATTTCCTTTTCTACTGCATTACAAAAAGGTTTATTTACTGCTTATCCATATAGTGAGATAGAGATTAGATCTCAGTTTTTGGTTAAGAACAAGCATTATCATAAATGTGTGTGTGTGTTGTGTGTGCATTTTACAGGATTTTTAAAAATACACAGAGAATTTTTCACAGTTGTTAACTCTGGTAAATGGTGGGGAAGGCAGGGGTGAGAACTGATCTATTATTCATAATCTCAATGATGAACAAGCTATTTCCAAAAATAGGTGGATTATTTAAAATTATTATTATTAGGATATTTTGGGCTTCTAGAAACAAAAACTTAACAAAAAAGTCACTTAAAGAATTTAGGGGTCTTTTTTTCTGACATGAAAAGAACAAAATAAAGGATGATTTCAGTTTGGTCCGTCAGTGACTTAGAAGTGTTTTTCAGGACCCAAGGCTTTCCGCCTTCCCACTGGGCCATTTTCAGCGTGTCCCGTGGCCTCTGGGGGCTTCAGTGATCCAGGCGTCACATTAGACATGACAGTGTCCAGCAAAGAGAAGTATTTCTGCTTTGCATCTGTTTATAACAGTGAGAAAAACTCCCCCAGAATCCCACCAGCAATTGATTCTCACGTTGCATTGGCCAGGATTGAGGCCAGCTGTGCCATGCTTAGCGCAGTCATTTGTATTGCGATCACCGTGATTAGCTCAGACCCATCCTGGGACTTCTCCTTGGGCTTGAAGACATGGCCAGGTGGAGATCGGTGCCCCCCAGAAGAAGTCTTTGTTCTGCCAATAAAGAAGACACAGACAACAGTGTCTAACAGGAAAAGCCCCTTTTTACTTTATACCCTTCCGTATTGCTTCAACAATCAAATACTTTATTTTATTGTTTGAGACAGAGTCCTGCTGTGTCGCCCAGGCTGGAGCGCAGTGGCGCCATCTCTGCTCACTGCCACCTCCACCTCCCAGATTCAAGCGATTCTCCTGCCTCAGCCTCCCGAGTAGCTGGGATTACAGGCGCCTACCAAAATGCTCGGCTAGTTTTTGTATTTTTAGTAGAGATGGGGTTTCTCCATGTTGGTCAGACCGGTCTCGAACTCCTGACCTCAAGTGATCCACTCACCTCAGCCTCCCCAAGTGCTGGGATTACAGGCGTGAGCCACTGCGCCCAGCCTTTTTTTTCTTTAGATAGAGTGTTGCTCTTATTGCCCAGGCTGGAGTGCAGTGGCACAATCTCAGCTCACTGCAAGCTCCACCTCCCGGGTTCACACCATTCTCCTGCCTCAGCCTCCCGAGTAGCTGGGACTACAGGTGCCCACCACCACGCCTGGCTAATCTTTTGTATTTTTAGTAGAGACAGGGTTTCACCATGTTAGCCAGGATGATCTTGATCTCCTGACCTTGTGACCTGCCCGCCTCAGCCTCGCAAAGTGCTGGGATTACAGGTGTGAGCCACCGTGCCCGGCCAGATACTTTCATAATTAACTTTTTGAATGTATGTGTGTCCTACTTTAAAATGAAAGATACTCTTTCTTGATTCCATTTCCATGCAGCTTGGCCCCGTGATGCTAGGGACCATGGCTTTTTCTTGCAGTGTGACTCACCATTTGCCAAAGCAAATCTCTTGCCTTGCATCAGCTCAGTCTCTTTGTCTGCAAATTAAATCAGTAGCCCTTTCCACTGCCTATCTCGCAGGATATAGTGCCAAAAATACTCACAAAGTCACCATCCAGGAAGAATCATTTGCCCCTGCTGCCACTGTCTCCTGCAAGGCACATGAAAGCTGCTGAGGCTCGGTATTTATTATGCTATAAAATTCAACACAAGGGGAGAGAACAAGCAAATTCCATGAGCATATATAAGTGTATCGGATCTACTCCATTGATGCTGGAGCTATATTTTCACAGTAGGATCCTCTTTTGTTAAATATTACAGTAGTAGGAAAACCTAGCAGAAGAATAGTTCACTGTTTCTCTGATTTTGTGAGTGATGTGGGCTGTGGAATTTACTCTTTGCTGCTCTTCCCCCAACCTGCACCCTACCCCTGCCTCCGAGGTCAGCCTTGCCTGCTGCCCCTGACTGAGAGGACCCCGACGTCACCCCACCCCAGGTTATACTCCTCTGAGAAGGTCCCTTCATCCCTTCCCCGAAATACATCCCCTCAAATCTCTAATTTGTGTGAACCATTAATTTCAGATATTGTAGGAAAAATAAGCAGGGAAAATACGCAAAACAAAACGTGGATGGCACATAACCCATAGCATCTCGCAGGGTGTGTACACTGAAGAAGTCTTTACCAACCCGTAGTTAGGAAAATGCGTGTTCAGAATAACTGGGCCTTCCCGCGGTCCTCTGAGTCAAACAGATGACCACACATTGCCAGAATGAGAAGCAGAGCAGCTTCACATCCCTGCTTCTGAAATGTTTCCCAACAGCTCATTGAAACAATCTCGAGACACCTCTCTCCCCCAAACCCAGCGTGTTTCGGGAATGGCTCTAGGAATTCTACTTTTGCATTGCCTCACTCTCCCTTTCCCCGTCCAGACCATGGTATTGGATTTACAGCATTTCTTACATCCTATAAAAGTCCTTTTCTGCCAACAGCCTGGAGCGCGCTGGATTGAATGACGCTCTCCCAGCACAGCCGGCATTTGCAGTGCATTAGAATCTTGCCGTCACTTGCACACGTCACCAAGTTACTTTAGTGAGAGTTCAGCCTAGCTATGGCTCTGCTGTGCTAACAGTTGCTTTTCAATATTTTGTTTGAGGCTTTGGAATAATTCAAAGGCCTACACTTTTTTTTTTCTAATTTGTTTCCTTGGAGTTTTACGCATGGCTACTTCAGAAAACGTCAGTTTTATGTCATTAATGTCATCATCTTCTCTGGATTCTCAGAATTCAAAATTCACAGGAGCATGGCAGCCTTACATTCAGTCTATTCTTTTCATAAAAAAGGAAGTAAACTGCAACAGTTCGCCTACGCTATGGAGACTGGAGTGGTCCCACCTCTGTAATTCTATCTCTGTCTGCCCCACAGCTGTGCCGAAGCGAGTGCCACTTGTCTGCAGGGCCGTACCGCGGAACCCTCTTTGCCGACCAGCCAGCGATGTTTGTCTCGCCTGCCAGCAGCCCCCCAGTGGCCAAGCTCTGTGAACTAGTCCACCTGTGCGGAGGCCGGGTCAGCCAAGTCCCCCGCCAGGCCAGCATCGTCATCGGGCCCTACAGCGGAAAGAAGAAAGCCACAGTCAAGTATCTGTCTGAGAAATGGGTCTTAGGTAAGAATCCAGGCACACAGACGCTGTGGTGTGGTCCAGATCTGTGGACAGGTTTCCAGGGAGGGCGGCGTCAGGCTCACACCCCCTTCCACGCAGCTGGGGCACCTGGGTTGATGTCTCAGCCTCCAGCATCTGCCCTGGCAGCGTCGTGTGGTCACCCTCGGCATTCCCGCTCCTTGCTGTTAGCAGACGTACAGTTCACGAGGAAATGGGAACTCTAACTGGACTTCCCCACTTGACTTCCCTGGCTCGTGTGAAAAATCCAGGCTACCCAAAGCCACCCCGGGCCACCCCTGTGGGCACAGACTCTCCGGGCACCCCTCTTAGACCCTCCCTCCCCAGTGCCTCCTTGTCCTGCTTCAGGAGTCCCTGGCAGCGCCCGGCACTGGGGCCCAAGCCCCCGTCCCTGTCATCTCCTCTCCCAGGTACATCTCATGATCACTCCGTCTGCTCATGTGCTCAAAGGGTGTTAAAAGACGTCAAACGACTCCATCTTTTATTTGACAAAGTGAGCACAGTGTGACCGTAATGTCCCACTCTGGCGTTCATGGAGCTGCGCCAGGCGCCGTGTGCGATTCTGGGGAGGAAGAGGTGGTAGGAGCTGAGCTGAGATCGGAGGAGGCTGGAACCCCACGCCGTGCTAACACACGGGCTCCAGGAGACTTGCAGGTGATCCCCGGAGAAGAGGGTTAAGGAAGAGTGTGAAGCAAGGACGGCCTGGGGAATGCGGAGGAAGCAGGGGCAGCGTCTGTGCTAGAAATTACCTGCCCTGTGGTGGAGTCATATGTGGCGGGACAAGCCTAGGGCTCCACTGTGGGGAAATCCCACACCCTCCTCCATGGGGTTGTGATAAACATGTTAGTTTGCTTGGGCTGCCATCGCAAAATACTACAGGCTGGGTGGCTTCAAACAACACGCATTGTCTCTCAGTTCTGGAGGCTGGAAGTCTAAGATGGGGTATCGGCAGCGTTGGTTTCCCCTGAGGCCTCTCTCCTGGGCTTGCAGACAGCTGCCTTCTTCCTGTGACCTCACGTGGCCTTTCCTCCATGCACACACATCCCTGGTATCTCTGTGTGTGTCCAAATGTTCTCTTCTCTAAGGATACCAGTCAGATTGGATTAGGGCTCACCCAATGGCATACTTTTATTTGCTTTTATTTATTTTTTTGAAACAGTGTCTCGCTCTGTCACCCAGGATGGAGTGCAGTAGCATGATCACAGCTTACTGCAGCCTCAGCCTCTCTGGCTGAAGTGATTCTCCTGCCTCAGCCTCCCAAGTAGCTGGAACTACAGGTGCACACCACGATGCCCAGCTTTACTTTCTTTTTTTTTTTTTTTTTTTTGTAGAGATGGGGTCTCCCTATGTTGCCCAGGATAGTCTCAAACTCCGGGGCTCAAGCGATCCTCCTGCTTTGGCTTCCCAAAGTGCTGGGATTACAGGTGTGAGCCACTGCACCCAGCCCCAGTGGCATCATTTTAACTTGTCTTTTTCAAGGCCCCATCTCCAAATACAGTCTCATCCTGAGTTACTGAGGGTTAAGACATCGACATACGAATTTTGGGCAGACACAATTCAGCCCATAACAATGAATCACTCTAGTTTCAGCCCCTGGGGCCAAGATCCTTACCCGACTTTAGAGGTACATCCCCTCTCTCTCTCTCAATCTCTCTCTCTCTCTCCTGTTCTCTCATTCTTTTTCTCTCTCTTTGCTTCCATCTCCTTCCATGTTTCCTATTCAGTCTCCTTTCTTAGTACTTTTGCATGTCTCTAAATCCTAAACTTCTGGCTTTTCTCATCATCTGCTCAACATTATCCCTTAATAGACAAGTAGATACTGTGTTTGTTCAAGTTACATTCGTATCTAACTACGGACATTTTACAAGTATCTTTTACATGACTGATGGTCATCCTTTCATATATTTTAGAAGTGTGGCAATCAAAAGTAATTTTTTACTCTGGTGCAGAGTAATTCATCTTTTGCCTGGAAACCAACTTCCAAAAAAAAAAAAAAAAAAAAAAAAAAAAAACTATTGATTTTAGTCACAGTCCAAAAGCTAAGAGGCTGTTTACTCTTTTCTAAATGCCAAGAATATAACCTTCAAAACATCCTATGTTCTGAAACAGAGGTTGTTGTTTTGTTTTTCTGGAGAAGTGTATTATCAAAATGCCACGGACTGCAGAACAGAACTGGGCCTGAAAGCATGTCTGGGCCAGCTGACGGAACTGTGCACACGATTGATATCCACAGTGCATATCAACAGGCAGTCTTTTTGGAGTTTGCAAAGCGTGTGCCGTGCAGTGCCCGAGCCTGCCTCTGCACTCGTGTTTCCAGGTTGGGTGGCTCTGACAGCCCCTTCCTGTGGGTCCTGCGTCCTTGTGTGGAGTCACGCTTGCTCGGCAGCTGCTCACTTCCTCCGGTTGTTTTGCCGCTCGGCTCTCCCGCCCGTGGGTTTTCAGGAGGCGAATGTCTACCTGCTTAATCCTGAGGCTTCGATCCCGCAAAGCCCTTCAGAGTTCTCTGACTTCCAGGCCTGGGCCACAGGCCCCAGCCTCTTTTTCTTTCCTCCTGTAACTTGTGTCCTGTTTCTGATTTCTCACCAATTATGCCATCTGCCTGTGCCCTTGGTAACATCTGGGTATTGTGTGTGCTGCAGACCTCACCCATGTGAGACAGGTCCCCTCACTCGCCGGCCACCAGACCCCAGTGTAGTGGGCGTCTCCAGCGTAGTGGGCGTCTCCAGTGTAGTGGGCATCTCCAGTGTAGTAGACCTCTCCAGTGTACCAGGCCTCTCCAGCCCACACTCTCTGAGATGTAAGATCACGTAGTTCTCAAGTATTTATTGGCTTGTATTTTTCTCTTTGTGAAGTGAATTCCAATCTAGTAGCTGCAGCTATGTACGAATAAAGAAGGGTTTATTTTTCTGTCCGTACATACTTCTGGCTTTTCTCACCCTCTGCTAAACATTATCCTTTAATAGACAAGTAGATTTTTTTGTATTTTTCTCTTTGTGAATTGAATTCCAATCTGGTAGCTGCCGCTATGTACAAATAAAGGAAGGTTTATTTTTCTGTCCATACATACACACGTAAACCTACAGAACACACAGTCCAGGGCATTGCGTTTCCTGCCTCATCCAGGTCCAGGCTATTTGCTTATTCTCTAACCAGAAACAAATCATATACTTTTTTTTTTTTTTTTCTGAGATGGAGTCTCGCTGTGTCACCAGGCTGGAGTGTGCAGTGATGAGATCTCAGCTCACTGCAACCTTCACCTCCTGGGTTCAAGTGATTCTTCTGCCTCAGCCTTCCCAGTAGCTGGAATTACAGGCCCCGCCACCATGCCCAGGTAATTTTTGTATTTTTAGTAGAGATGAGGTTTCACCATGTTGGCCAGGCTGGTCTCAAACCCCCAACCTCAAGTGATCCTCCTGCCTCGGCCTCCCAAAGTGCTGGGATTACAGGCGTGAGCCACCGTGCCTGGCCGAAATCACCTATTTTCTGTGGAATGCATTTACTTCATGTATAAAACAGAGTCATAGCCTCCACCTTGCTTACCCCACATGCTGGTTAAAGGAGGAAACACAGAGAGCGCAAATGCCCTGTGGCAGGCGTAGGCTTCTTAAGTGTGGCAGATTGACGGTATCCATGGATGTGTCCTCATCATCCCTGCCCCTTCGACAAAGCACATTGTGTCTTTTGGAGACTTTTTTTCCTCCCGTTCATTTCCATTATAACAAATGCTTCTCTGGACAATGTTTCATTCTCAAAATATCGCAATATTGAAAAACTAGGAATATATCAAACCATTTTAAAGCACCAAATCGAAAAAGAAGTTATTTTGTTTAAATAAATTAAATTATGAAAAGACAATACTCAAAAAAAAATCAATTAAATTTATTCAAACTGGAATATCAACTGCTTTGTAAGGTAGGGTCCCTGAGCGTCTTAGAGTAATTTGAGCCGGGCGTGGTGGCCCATGCCTGTTGTCTTAGCTACGTGGGAGCTTGGCTTGAGCCCATAAGTTCAAGGCTGCGGTGAGCAACGATCCCACCACTGTACTCCAGCCTAGGCAACAGAGCAAGACCCCATCTCTAAAAAGAAAAAAAAAAGAATCATTTTTCAGTGCCTTTATATTGTTTCTGTATCTTAACAGTCTTGTTTTGCAGATGTCGTAAACTCACAGGGGGTGGAGAACCAGGAGTTTTTTAGCCACTAGGAACCTCTCTGAGAAGTTTCTTTTCTTTTCCTTTCTTTATTATTATTAGTATTCTGTGGCCAGAGGAGGGAAAGGAAGGTGGGTACTGAAACGACAGCTCTTCCCCTGGGACTGCAGCATCCGAGCACCACAGTCCACCCGCCAGCCTTTGTTCCTGCACAGTCTGCCTCTCAAGACCAACAACTCCATATCTATGACGATAAAAATTGTTAGTGATTATTTTACTTGTAAGAATTTCTTTCGACCTCAGCTCTGAGGTGACCCTCAGCTCGCCCGCCACCCCAGCTGCCCCACCTTGCTGGCATAGAACAGGGAGTGGAGGTGTGAAGTCACTCAACAGGGCTCAGTATACAAAATGTAAGCCACGCCTCACTCACTTGCTCCCTGGAGAATTTCATCTGCGCCGCGTTGCCTAATAACGGGGTTATCGGAAAGGGCATGATTACGTTCCCTCTTCATTCCCTGGAGTCTTTTTTCCCTGAAACTGTATTGTACTTGGGCCAAGATTCTTGATGAATCATTCAACCAGAAGGAGAAATGGGGTTGTTGTTTGGTTTTTTTGTTTTGTTTTTTTTTTTTTTTTTGCGTTTTGAGAGAGCACACTTGTGGGTGGTTGAACATGGATAAAAATAAACGGGAAAACAAAAATCAAATTCCCGGCCCTAGGAAATAAAATGTTACCTTTACCTGATATTGATAATACATATTATATTTGAAAGCATTTGCTAATGGTTGCATTTTCCCCCCAACACTCCCATGACATATAATTCCCATTTTATAAGTCACGAAACGAAGACCCTGGGGTCTGAAGGAACTTGGCTGGGGTGAGGATCACAAGCCCTTGGGTGGAGCTCTGAGCCCTGGCGCGGTCCTCAAGGGTCTGCGACATTTGTGCTGTGGTCAGCTCTGTGCACTCTTCCCTCCCTGCTGCTGTTATCACGAAAGGCTGGCTTGGCCTTTCTCATAGGCGTATTTCCACTCTCAGGCGCCCTTTTATTGTCTGGGCTCCATTCAAGTGATAAGACATACATTTATGCTATTGTGGGAACATAATGTAATATTCTCAACAGCATTGCCAAAAAAAAAAAAAAGTTTAGCCTCCGCCTGATTTTCTTATAACTTATAAAGAAAATTTGGTTTGAACATGTCCCATGTCGATGTTTTCAGGAAAAAGATCCGATAGCATGCAGGCCTTCTCATGCTGGCCTGGCTCATTCATCGTTTCCCCTAATGACTGACTGACCAGAAAAATGCACGACGCTCCCATGGGGCCACTCGGGAGGCCTCAGGCCTTCGGGCTTCCTGATTCAGTAGATATGTGAGGCTTGATCAGTCACCGCAGTCCACATCTCCATTGCCTCGATAAGGAACCAGTCGCAGAGAGGGGAGGCCATCTGCAGAAGCTGTGGAGAGTGGCAGAGAGGAGAGTGAGGACGGGGACTGCCCCCTTCCAGCCCCTCTCCTCCAAGGACGGCCTCATTTTATCCCCACCCAGGTTTCCACACCCAGGAGCTCAGCAACCGCTCAGAAAATGTTTGTGGAATTCAAAGACACAATTCAGACAATATGAAGAATTATTTTTCCTTTGAGTTGTTCTTAAAACAGACGAAATCTACCAGCATATAAATGAATGAGAACTAAAACTGGTGGGATTTGGTAATGTCGACATCTGAGATGTTTAGGCTTTTAAATATATATCTCAGCCAGGTGCGGTGGCCCATGCCTATAATCCCAGCACTTTAGGAGGCCGAGGCGGGTGGGTCGTTTGAGCCCAGCAGCTCGAGTCCAGCCTGGGCAACATGGTAGAATCTCGTCTGTACAAAAAAGTACAATAATTAGCGGGCATGGTGGTGCAAGCCTATAGTTCCAGCTACATGAGAGGCTAAGGTGGGAGGATCACCTGAGCTCAGGGAGGTCAGTGCTGCAGTGAGCTGTGATCATGCCATTGCACTCCAGCCTGTGCGACAGAGTGAGAACCTGTCTAAAAATATATATGTGTTTATATATATATATTTATATAAACATTAGTGGGTTTTAAAAAAAATTAACTAACTGCTAGCTCCTAAAACAGTATTTTGCCATTAGCTTTGGAAAGGTTTGCTCAGAAAATGAATTTCTAAGCACTCCCTTCATTGCATTTATTGGTCAAACTAATGGTCCTGGATGGTTATCTTTGAAACTTCCTAACCTGTTGGGTCCCCGTCGTTAAACTTATGCCAACAGAACTAAACTCACTGGATGTGAATTGCATCAGAGATGTAAACATTTAAAAGCGTATTAAGGCTGGGCGCAGTGGCTCACTCCCGTCATCCCAGCACTTTGGGAGGCCGAAGCGGGCGGATCATGAGGTCAGGAGATCGAGACCATCCTGGCTAACACAGTGAAACCCCGTCTCTATTAAAAATACAGAAAAATTAGCCGGTCGTGGTGGCAGGTGCCTGTAGTCCCAGCTACTCAGGAGGCTGAGGCAGGAGAATGCATGAACCCGGGAGGCAGAGCTTGCAGTGAGCCGAGATCACGCCACTGCACTCCAGCCTGGGCAACAGAGTAAGACTCTGTCTCAAAAAAAAAAAAAAAAAAAAAAAAACATTAAAAGCAGACCAAAAAAATCCTAGAATACAGGAGTCAGCTGTCTATTCAATTCAGAATAAGAAATATTGTAGACAAGGCAACATTTTATGTGTATTAGAAATGTGGTGGTTGGTTTGAGAAGTGAAACCAGCCATGTATATGCTGCTCCAAGCATTTTGGTTGTGGCAGGAAACTTTGAAGACTATTTTGCTGTACAAATTCACAAAGCCCCCTGCAAACACTCCCGTGCTTGGGGTGAATGCCCAAGTGTGTCACAGCTGCCTTGCAGCTCTGAGGATCAGAAAGGTTAATGGACATAAAAGAAACTTCAAAGCTCAACCTCCTAATGGGAAGCTGCCCTTGGTTTTAGGCTGTCTTTGCTTACTGACCGACTTAATTCATGCTTTGGGTTATGACTGTAGGAGAGATTTTCCTGTGTCTTTGGAGTATGCTGAACTTGTGTTTCTTTTTGTTGTTGCATATTAGACAGTCAGTGTTGAAACTAAAGTGACCTAAAGTGACAGAGCTCATGTTATGGGCTGAATTTTGTCTCCCCAGAATTCATAGGTTGAAGCCTTCCCAGTCCTTAGAACATGATTGTATCTGGAGCTAGGGCCTTTAAAGACATAAATAAGGTAACATGAGGTCATAAGGGCAAGGCCCTAATCCAATATGACTGGTGTCCTTATACGAAGAGGAAGAGGCCAGGCGTGGTGGCTTACGCCTATAATCCCAGCACTTTGGGAGGCCAGGGCCGGCAGATCACTTGAGGTCAGGAGTTTGGGACCAGTGTGTCCAACATGGTGAAACCCCGTCTCTACTAAAAATGCAAAATTAGCTGGGCATGGTTGTGGGCACCTGCAATCCCAGCTACTTGGGAGGCTGAGGCAGGAGAATCCCTTGAACACAAGAGGCGGAGGCTGCAGTTAGTCGTGATCCCACCACTGCACTCCAACCTGTGCAACAGAGCAAAACCCCATCTCAAAAAAATAAAAATAAAATAAAGGAAGACAAAGAAACACCAAAGATATTTTTGCACAGAGAAGAGTCCAAGTGAGGACTCAGGGAGAAGGTGGCCATCTGCAACCCGAGCAGTCTCCCAGGAAGCCTCAGGAGAAACTAACCCCTGTGACACCTTGGTCTTGGACTTCCTGCCCTCCAGAACTGTGAAAAAATACATGTCTGCTGTTTAAGCCACCCACCCTGTGGCATTTTGTTATGGTAGCCTGAGCAAACTAGTTCAGCCCAAAATGAATTCTGATATCACCTGCAGAAATCTGCTTTTAGACAGCAGGAAACTGAGGGCCTCTGAGTTTCTAGGCCAGAGTCATGCAGTGAATTACTGAAAGACCCAGAACCCCAGTCCTGGCCCCTGATTTTCAGTTTAGAATCTTCCTTGGTAAGAAGCAGGATCTTAGGCTGGGCCCAGCAAGTGGAAAACTCTTTTTTGTTTACACAGCCACTGACTGTTGTGGTCTCAGACTGTACCACAGAACCTGGTGTTCCACAAACTTCCCCAGTTTGGAGCAAGAGAAAAAAGTAGTTGGATGAAATGATCTCATTTTATTTTTTAGTCAATTTTTCTTAAATGTTGGTGCTTGAAAACAAATGGATGGCAGTAAAGTAATCCTGAAGAACACAGGAGGAAAGAAATAAAAGAGGCAATACCAAATGTTAGCAAAATGGCAGCAAGGCAAATAAGAGGCTCAGCAATAGCAAAAAACTGACTTCTTTGGCTGGGAAAAACTTATAAATATTAAAAATCCTGACAATGTTGAAAAAGAAAGGCAGAGATAGGGTTCCAGGAGAAATACTAAGAATGAAATTGGAGCTGTCACTGCAGTTATCGTAAGGATATTTTAAAATCATAAGAGAGCATGATGAACAATTTAATACCAATAAATTTGAAAACAGGTAAGATGGATGATTTTTAGAAAAATGTTACCAAAATTGATTCAAGAAATAGAAAATCTAAACAAGCTCAAGCGTTAAAAAAATTAAATAGGTAAAATATGTACATCAACTGGGCACAGTGGCTCACGCCTGTAATCCCAACACTTTGGGAGGCTGAAGTGGACAGATCACTTGAGGTCAGGAACTAGAGACCAGCCTGACCAACACGGTGAAACCCTGTCTTTACTAAAAATACAAAATGAGCCAGGCATGATGGGGCATGCCTGTGATCCCAGCTACTTGGGAGGCTGAGGCAGGAGAATCGCTTGAACCTGGGAGGTGGAGGTTGCAGTGAGCCGAGACTGTGCCATTGCACTCCAGCCTGGGCAACTAGAGCAAAACTCTGTCCTAAAAAAAAAAAACAAAAAAAAAAAACAATTATATATCAACAAAAAAAAGAAAATTTTAAAAAGTAACAATTTGAAAAAGTCAAATAGGCAATCAAAAGTATTCCTTTCACCAGCCACTAAAAAGGCACCTGTACATGGGAATGGTAGCAAAATGACAGAAGAGGAAACTCTAACCTCTCATCCAACACAGAAACCGCTAAAATCAGGCAGAAGCTGTCTGCAGAGATGTTGCAGGTGCTCTAAAAGGTGCTCTAAACAACCACCAAATGCATACGGCAACCAGGCAAATGCCTGATAGAGGAAAGCCATCTTCAAGCCCGCAGGAAAGTTTTGTGGCACATGGTGGCAACCCAGTTCCCAGTTCCCAGTTCCCTTCCTCAAGCTGCAGGGAGCAGACCAGACATGATCTGTTCTAGTCTAGCTGATTCATACCTGAAGGATTGATCCTCATCTCCATCTCACATAACATGCAAGGTGGGCAAGAGAAAGAGGTGGGCACAGCTCATGAAAGCCACAGAGAGGCAATTAAGGTAAAAATAGATAAATTGCACTATATACAAATTAAAGACTTCAGTGCATCAAAGGATACAGTCAACAGAGTGAAAAGCAATCTATGGAGTAGGAGAAAATATTTGCAAATAACGGGTTAATCTTCACAATATATAAAGAACTCCTGCAACTCAACAACAAAAAAAAAACCCCAGTTTCAAACTGAGCAAAGAACTTGAATAAACATTTCTTCAAAAAAGATGATATAAATGTCCAATAGGCAAATGAAAAGATGCTTAACATTACTAATCATTAGGAAGATGCAAATCAAAACCACAATGAGATAGCACCTCAGCACCTCACACCCATTATGATTGCTACTATAAAAAAAAAAAAAACCCAGAAAATAACAAGTGTTAGTAAGGATGTGGAAAATTGGAACCTTGTGTCTGCCTCATGTAATGTTGGGAATGTAAGATATTGTAGCCACGATAGAAAACAGTGTGGCAGTTCATCAAAAAATGAAAAGTAGAATTACTGTATGATCCAACAATTCCTCTTCTGGGTATATGCCAAAAAAATTGAAAGCAGGATCTCAAAAGAATAATTGTACATCCACATTTATAGCAGCATTGTTCACAATAGCCAAAAGGCAGAAGCCCAAGTGTTCATCAGTGGATGCATAAGAAACAAAATGTGGTCTATCCATACAGTGGAATATTATTCACCCTTAAAAAGGAAGGAGATTCTGATACATGTAACACTGTGGATGAACTTTGAAAACATCATGTTAAGTGAAATAAGCCAGAAACCAAAGGACAAATATCATACGACTACACTTATAAGAGGAACTTAGAATAGACAAAGTCACAGAGACAAACTATAGTTGAATTACCAAGGGTGGAGTAGGCAGGAAGGGAGTGGAGAATTATTGTTTAATGGCTACAGAGACTCAGTTTTGGATAATGAGAACATTCTAGAAATTAATAGTAGTGATGGCTGCACAGCATTGCGAATGTACTTCATGCCACTGAAGTGGACACTTAAAAATAGCTAATATGGTAAATTTTATGTTATGTCTATCAAACTTTTAAAGGCACCCTCCACAGATAGTTTTAGTAGTAAGTTTTACCAAACATTATAAAGTTTTACAGGAAAAAAAAAGAAATCTATTCACCTCATTTTACAAGGCTACATTGATCTTGACCTAATACTGGTTTAAAAAACTCATTTGTAAACAAGTACATAAAAATCTGAGGCTGAGCGCAGTGACTCATGCCTGTAATCCCAACACTTTGGAAGGCCGAGGGGGGCGGATCACAAGGTCAGGAGATCGAGACCATCCTGGCTAACACAGTGAAACCCCATCTCTACTAAAAATACAAAAAATTAGCCGGCCGTGGTGGCACGTGCCTGTAGTCCCAGCTACTCGGGAGGCTGAGGCAGGAGAATCACTTAAACCTGGGAGAAAGAGGTTGCAGTGAGCCAAGAGTGCGCCATTGCACTCCAGCCTAGGCAACAGAGTGAGACTCTGTCTAAGAAGAAGAAAAGAAAAAAAAACTCAGAAATAAGATATTTCATCAAGTCAAATTTGGTAGTGTGTTTTTAAAACACACACACACATAACCAAGTGTGGTTTAACCTAAGAATGAAAGGATAAATGAATAGCATTAAGTCTTCTTTTTTCTAATCCATTAATTTTCTTAGTAGTGTTAAAAAGCAGTAGGGAAGATTCAATGCCGAGTAATGATTTAAAAAAAAAAAAAACTCTTCAGAAACCAGGAATAGATAACTTTCTTAACTATGGAGGTTATCTATAAAAAACGTACAACAAATATTGAATGGTGAAAACCTTAGTTTAAGGCTTAAATCATGTACAAGACACACATGAATGCTATTACTCTTCAACAGTGTTCTATGATTCCTAGTCAAGGGAATAAAATAAAAAAAAATTACAAGAATTATACAGGAAGGGACACATTTTGTTTGCATGTCATACAGTTGTCTACATAGAAACATCAAAGAGAGTCAATAAACTGTTACAACTCATTCAGCAAAATTCCTCTTTGTAAGATCCACTCACTGAAATCTTTAGCATTTGTATACCCAATGATAAACAATTATAAAATGTAACAGAAAACATAGTAAATAATAGTGGATTCAAGGCTAGCCATGTAATACAGGTTGAACATTCCTAATTTTAATCTGAAATGCTCCGATATCTTAAACTTTTTGAGTGCCAATCTGTCAACACAAGTGGAAAATTCCACACCTGACCTCATGTGACAGGGCATAGTCAAAGCACAGGTGCACGACACAGTTGATTTAGCGTCCCCAAGGGAAAAAAAAGACCCACCCAGCCCCCTTCAACTATAGTATAACTTTTCCATGCACACCCAAATTCCCCCACACAAGCACGCCCACAATGTGTAATAAAATGGCACGTGTGCAGGCTGGACGCACCCAACGCAGATTCCCCACGATACCTCACGTGGGGCCGAGAACTCCATGCATTACTCACTGTGGTTTTTTGCTTATTCTCTGCAGTGTCATGTAAAAATATTACTGAAAATGTCGAAAAGGCCTGCAGATCCCCCTATGTGTAACAGTGATCAGAAAAAGAGGAATAATTTATGTTTATCAATAGCACAAACAGTCAACTTGTTGGAGGAACTGAACAGCAGTATAAGTGTGAAGCGTCTTACAGAAGAGTATGGTGTTGGGATGACCACCATACATGACCTGAAGAAACAGAAGGATACGCTTTTGAAGTTCTATGCTGAATGTGATGAGCAGAAGTTAATGAAAAATAGAAAAACTCTACGTAAAGCTAAAAATGAAGATGTGAATAGTGTATTGAAAAACTAGATCTGAAGGCATCACACTGAACCCGTGCCACTCAGTGGTAGGCTGATCATGAAACAAGCGAAGATCTATCCTGATGAACTGAAAATTGAAGGGAACTGTGAATATTCAACAGGCTGGTTGCAGAAATTTAAGAAATGACATGGAATTCAAGTTTTAAAGCATCTGCAGATCACAAGGCAGCGTCGAAACTCATTGACGAGTTTGCCAAGATTATCGCTAATGAAAATCTGATGCCAGAACAAGTCTGTATTGCTGATGAGACATGACCATTTGGGTGCTACTGCCCCAGAAAGATGCTGACTACAGCTGACGGGACAGCCCCTACAGGAATTAAGGATGCCAAGGACAGAATGACTGTGCAGTGCTGTGCAAATGCAGCAGGCACGCATAAGTGTAAACCTGCTCTCATGGGCAAAAGCTTTTGTCCGTGCTGTTTTCAAAGAGTAAATTTCTTACCAGTCCATTATTATGCTAACAAAAAGGCATAGATCACCAGGGACATCTTTTCTGATCGGTTTTACAAACACTTCGTACAGGCCTCTTGTGCTCGCTGCAGAAAAGTTGGACCGGATGATGACAGCAAGATTTTCTTATGCCTTGACTACTGTTCTGCTCATCCTCCAGCTGAAATTCTCATCAAAGATAATATTGATGCTGTGTACTTTCCCCCAAACGTGACTTCATTAGTTGAGCCTGTAACCAGGGTATCTTTAGATCAATGAAAAGTAAATATAAAAACACTGTCTTGAATTGCACGCTCGCAGCAGTGAACGGAGGTGTAGGTGTAGAAGATTTTCAGGAGCTGAGCATGAAGGATGCCATACATGCTGTTGCCAACGCTTGCAACACAGTGACTAAAGACACAGATGTGCGTGCCTGGCGTGACCTCTGGCCTACGACTGTGTTCAGTGATGATGATGAACCAGGTGGTGGTTTAGAAGAATTCAGCTTGTCAAGTGAGAAGAAAAGGATGTCTGACCTCCAAAAAATATACCTTCAGAGTTCATCAGTCAGCGGGAAGAAGTACACATTAATGTCATTTTTAACATTGATAATGAGGCTCCGGTTGTTCATTTCATTGACTGTTGGGGAAATAGCCAGAATGGTTCTGAATCAAGGTGATCGTGATGATACCGACCATGAAGATGACGTTAACACTGCAGAAAAAGCACCCGTGGACAGCGTGGAGCTCAGGTGTGATGGGTTAACTGAGGCCCAGAGCAGCGTGCATTCACAACAGAACAAGCAATCATGTCAGCTTATAAAATCAAAGAAAGAATCCTAAGACAAAAAAGAAAGAAAAAAAATTAGCCGGGCATGGTGACACGTGACTATAGTCCCAGCTGTGTGGGAGGCTGAGGTAAGAGTCTTGCCTGAGCCCAGGAGTTAGAGGCTGCAGTGAGCCGTGATCATGCCACTGCACACCAGCCTGGGAAACAGCGAGGCCCTGTCTCAAAAAAACCCAAAAAACTAAGTAAATATTTTGTACATGAAACAAACTTTGTGTACACTGAACCAACAGAAAGGAGCTGTCGGTTCTAAGACCATTGTTAGTGGTGCAGATACCATTAAAAAGCCCCCCAGCAGAATGCCTCCTCGTCCCCAGAGGACCCACTTCCTGGGCCTGTAACTGCTTCTTATGTTCCTTCTCACCTAAAATGTAAAATGCCGTGTCCCGTAAGCTTTGAATCAAAGCACAGCATGGTTGGGAGAGCAGAGGCCTGCTGTTGTTTGTTGTTGCTGCTGTTGTTCAGCAGCTGATTGCGGTCTCTGCTGATGCCACTGGCTGCTTAGCTCCCCTGAGCACGTAAGTCTTCACTGTGTTAATGGCATGTCTTATTTTTTACTGTGAAGTACTTATGTGTGAATAAGTGTAAGGAAATGACTGCTTGGTAGTAGCATATAAATTCAGAGTCACGGGCAGGCACGGTGGCTCACGCCTGTAATCCCAGCACTTTGGGAGGCCAAGGCGGGCAGATCACTTGAGGCCAGGAGTTCAACACCAGCCTGGCCAACATGGCAAAACCCCATCTCTACTAAAAATTACAAAAATTAGCCGGGCGTGATGGCACATGCATGTAGTCCCAGCTACTTGGGAGGCTGAGGCAGGGGAATCGCTTGAGCCTGGGAGGTAGAGATTGCAGTGAGCCAAGATTTCACCACTGCACTCCAGCCTGTGTGACAGAGAGACTGTCTCAAAAAAAAAAAAAAAAAAGTCACAGTCAGGAATGAGGGTGATGCCACACAACCACTGATTGTCCACATGGGGGTGAGGGCTGAGATAGTGATACCTCTGCTTTCTGATGGTTCCATGTACACAGACTTTGTTTCATGCACAAAATTTGTTTGTTTATTTTTTGAAACAGAGTTTGGCTCTGTTGCCCAGGCTGGTGTACAGTGCTGCGATCATAGCTCATTGCAGCCTCTAACTCCTGGCCTCAAGCGATCTTCCCACCTCAGCCTCCGTTGTAGCTGGGACTACAGTCATGCTGTCGCACCTGGCAATCACACCAGTCTATGCACAGAACTATTTAAAATACTGTATAAAATTACCTCTAGGCTATGTGTATAAGATGCAGATGAAACATAAATGAATTTTGGTTTTAGACTCTGGTCCTATCTTCAAGATCTCTCATTGTCCATTCCAAAAATGCCACCCACCACCCCCCAAAAAAAATCTGGAATTCAAAACATTTCTGGTCTCCAGCATTTTGGATAAGGGAAACACCACCTGTAATATCCTTTTACACATTTCCTGGATGGGAAACAGAAGTTGGTGTGGTAGGAGTCACACATAAACGGCAGACTTTCTTGTCTGTGACACATTCTTAGGATGTCCTAGAGAAGTATCAGCGATGTGAATGTCTCCAGTCAAATATCAGAGCAGAAAGAATATGTTGAGAACTGCTGTATTATTAGACTGGGCTACTTTCTTCAAACAACACATGGTATCAGGTCATTCATTCATTTACCCAGTAGATATTTCCTACACACTCGTCATATGCCGAGCATATCCTAGGCACTGCAGGTACAGCAACTGACAGGAATATACAGCCTTTGCCCTTGTGGGACTTAACATTTAAGAGAGAAGACAGGCAGCAAACAATTTCTTTAAAAATCCTTCTGGTGGTAAATGCAATGAAGAAAACAGGGTGAGTATAGAGAGGAGGAGTGAGGTAGGCCCCTTGCAGGTGAGTGGCATTTGAGCTGAGGCCCAGATGATGAAGAGAAGGATGGACTCTTGTAGGTCTATTGGACTGGCCCTTCCAGGAATGGTAAGGGCTGAGAGGTCAGGAGAAGCGGTAAGTTTAGCGTGGCTGAAATGAAGGGAGAGAAGACAAAGCAATAGGAAATGAAGCTGGAGAAGCAGGCAGCTTCAGACAGGACCATTCCAGACCACTGACACCTTAACAGACAACAGCAAGAAGTTTGGGTTCTGTTCTAAGGATAAATGGAAGTCACAGAACGATTTTAAGTGGGAGGATTAGGCTGCGGTATATGTTTGTTTACTCTGTTTGTGTTTATTTTTGTTTTAATGGATACAGAGTCTCCCAATGTTGCCCAGGCTGGTTTTGAACTCCTGGGCTCAACGGATCCTCCTAACTCGGCCTCTCAAAGTGCTGACACATGTTTTTTTAATGGAAGCAGAGAAAGCAGTCTCGGACCTTTGCAGTGGTTCAGGTGATTAGTGATGGGGGTTAGGACCAGGGACGTATCGATGGAGGTGTTGTGAAGTTGTCATATTTTAAATATACATTTCAGAGCCAGGTGCACTCGCTGATACATTGGATGTGGCATATTAGAGAAAGAAGACTCGAAGGTGGCACCTAGTCTTGTGTTCTGAGCTTCCAGAATGAGGCATCTAGAAGCCAGGACCCGGGAGAAGCACGGAAGGAGCAGTGGTTTATTCAGTCTGCAGAAGCAGTGCCTACAGGACTGCTGTGTGAAAGAGGACACATGTGATATGAGCAGATGAAAATCACACAGCAGGCAGCTCTGGGCTCATTATGAGAAACGACTCTAGGAATATTTGTAACCTGCTGGGCTCTACTGCTAAGGGCTGCCTTAAGCCATGAAGCCGCAGAGGCTGGGTGACCACCGTCCCACAGTGAGGGAGCTGGGCAATTCCTTACCAGAGTGGAGATGTGGCTAGATCTCCTAGCCCTAACATGCTTACTTATTTTGATAAGCAAAGATGAAGCTCACATGGGTCCCGTGTGCTCTTGAACTTCTGTACATTGTACCATTAACCACACTTGGATGCTGGCAATCGCAGTTTTAGTTAAATAAAGTGACTTGCCCACCATACTATAAAAAATTAATTTTGGTAGCATGTTGATTCTGTATCCTAACCATAAGACCACACAGAGCCATGGCTAGTAAACTTTAGCTTGTGCGTAAATGCCTGCCAAGACCTGCTAAATACTGTTGCTTACATTTAAAAAAAAAAAAAAAAATTTTTTTTTTAATTTAAATTTCACGGAGCTGCTCAAGGGCAGTTCAGCTTCCTATTCATCTCTGTCTCCACCGGCCAGGACTGGCATTACTCTAACATCTGTCCTACGGCCACATTTTATGGGATGTTTGAGGATTATTCCTATGAAGTGACATTGGAATTTGGGGATGTGGCTATGTTCAGATGCCAAATAAACTTGGATAGAAATCATTTTTCCTGTGTGTGTTTACAGTTAGGAACGTGGGGCTGTGAGGGGCTCCCTGGACATGACCCTGGAGCTGTCGGCCCTTGTTCAGTGGTCAGATGCGCTTCAGACCTCCCAGAGTGCTGCCCGCACACTCAGTCACAGCCCCATGCGCACCTCAACGCCACTGCTCAGAAGTCCAGTGTAATTCCTCAGGCAGCATGTCCTAGAGCAGGCCATGAGAGGTGTAAGGTACAGACTTTGTTGTGAGGTTACATGTAGGCTTCTGTTCCATCTTGTCTCTGTTTAAAGATCGATACTTCTGGCAGCCTTTATCCCCACCACGATAAATACGTGGATGGAAGGATACATGCGTGGAAGGGTGGATGGGTGGATGGTTGGATGGATGGGTAGACGGGTGCATGGGTAGATGGGTAGATGGGTGGATGGAGTGATATTTGATTTCATAGTCAAAGAACTCAAACAGTAGACAAGTACACAGGGTCCTCCAGTCTTACAACCCTTCCTTAACTACAATAAAGATAGAAGTGTATCTTCTAGATTTCTTTTAAAAACATATTTATGAATGTAAACATATTATGGTCAGGTCCAGTGACTCACATGTATAATCTAACACTTTGGGAAGCCAAGGTGAGTGGACTGCTTGATGCCGGGAGTTTGAGACCAGCCTTGGCAACATAGAAAGACCGTGTCCCTACAAAAAAAATTTTAAAAGTAGCCTGGTGTCATGGCACATGCCTGTAGTCCTAGCTACTCAGGACGTCAAGGTGGGAGGATCACTCGAGGACAGGAATTCCAGGCTGCAGTAAGCCATGATCATACCACTGCACTCCAGTCTGGGCAATGGATCAAGATCCTGTCTCTTTAAAAAAAAAAAAAAACATATTTACATAGAAATAAATGTATATAAACACAGATATTGTTTAGGGATTTGTTTTTATATATATTGGAGAATGACATGCTTTTTCAGGAGCTTTTATTTAACCCTATGCCTAGAAGATCCTTCCAGCTTAACACATATACAGCTACTTCATTCTTTTTAACCATTGGGAGGTACTGTAATTAATTTATGTGCTTTCTGTTATTTTCATTGTTTTGCTATTGTATTTACTTATTTATTTTAGAAACAAGATGTCACTATGTTGCCCAGGCTGGCCTCAAACTCTTGGGCTCAAGCAGTCCTCCCACCTTAGCCTCCCAAGTAGGCGGGACTACAGGCATGAACCCTGCAATACGGCTGGCTTCTGCTATTTTAAACTCGTGTGTGTGTGTGTGTGTGTGTGTGTGTGTGTGTGTGTGCGCGCGCGTGTGTGTGTGTGTGCGTGTGTGTGTGTGTTTTCTAACTGAACAATCTGAATTCAATTTTAAGAGATTTTCTTGAGCTGGAATTATTCTAGTCCGAGCCCAGGCTCATGAAGATTTCTGTAAAATACATTCCAAGCAGTGAAATTACTGTGCCCTAGGATATGTGTACTTAAATTCTGATACACAAGGCTGCAGCAATTTACACTATTACTAACGGTACATAAAGTCCTATTTCCTATGTCCTATAAATTCCCATGTCCAGTACTGGACATAACCCATATTTTCAATATTGGGTGATCCGATTAGTTAAAAAAATAGATCTCATTAATTTCTAATTGCCTGATTACTAAATTATGAATGAGTCTGAATATCTTAGATAGGAGATTTATCATTCGTGAATTACCTGTCCTGATCCCTTAACTGTTTTGAAATTGGGTTATTTATATTTTTCACATGGTTTTACAGCAATGTTTACATAATATGGACATTAAACTTTTGTTGTGTTATAAAACTCTGTCTCTTTAGCTGTGCTTATGGTGTCTTAAGTATTACCAAGTTTTTAATTTTTAACTATTATTTTTTACAAAATTAAACACCTCTTTTCCTCCATGGCACCTACCCTTGTGGTTTTGCTTAGAAAGGCCTTCCTCACCCTCTGAGCTTTAAAAATAATCTCATATTCTCCTATTTATAGTTTTAAAAAATATTTAGACCTTTAATGCATGTGCATTTCACTTACTGTATAATGTGAGGGGACCATGTTGTTTTTAATAACTAATTTATTGACACTGACCTATATTGCCCCCTGTGAGTCATCTCTTACATTCCCACATGGTATGGGTGTGTTTCTGGTTATTCTCGTCCATTGATCTGTTTGTCTATTCTGTGCTGACCTCTATTTTACTGCTATAATTGTACAGACTGTTTTGATATCTGGTATGTCAAATTTTTTCTCATCATTTCTCTTTTTAAAAATCATCTTCCTATGCATTTTTTTCTTTCCTATAAACTTTAGAATAAACATGTCGTTTTCTTTTTGAAAAGTTTGAAATTTTTGGATTACATTGAATTTCTAGATGAATTTGGAAAGAGCATCATTTTTTCTGCATTTTTTTATGATTTTTCAAAACTGACACCTAGTCAGAAAACTAAGTGTAAAAATTGAATCCATAGAGTTTTTACAACCTGGAAGAAAATACAAATGTGGCTGAATGACTTTAAACCCTGAGTATCGGAAAAGGCTTCCACCTACCTATGACTCAAAAGCCAGATGCAATAAGACAAAGTGTTGATATAATTTGAATACATAAGAAATTGAAACTTATACATGGCAAAAGTTTGCATAAGAAAAGTCAAGCCAGGTGTGGTGGGTTATGTCTATAATCCCAGCATTTTGGAAGACTGAGGCACAGGAAGATTGCTTGAGCCCAGGAGTTCGAGATCAGCCTGGGCAACAAAGTGAGACATTGGCTCTACAAAAAATCAAAACATTAACTGGGTGTGGTGGTGCATACCTGTAGTCCCGGCTACCTGGGAAGCTGAGTCTGGAGGATCACCTGAGTCCAGGAGACTGAGGCTGCAGTGAGTCATGTTTGCACCAATGCAGTCTAACCTGCGTGACTGAGCAAGACCCTATCTCAAAAAAAGAAAAAATATGTAAATCATAATAATACCTGCTTCACTGTTGTGGAGAGAATTAAGTAGTATGCCTAGTACTAATAATATTGTTATAATTATATACAATGTTTTTAACTATATCATTTCTTATATATATAAGCTATCACAAATGTTAGTGTTCCTCCCTTCTGAAATTCATCTGAGGGTCCCTCACTGACCCAGGCCTCCTGGGTAGAAGCACATTTGTATTGAGAAGACAACAGTTAAATTCTGGGACACTATCTTGAGCTATAACTAAGATAAGTCATTTTTTTCTTCCATTTCTAAAAATATTTGTAGATTAAACCCATTTTTTTCTTTTTTGTACCATACCACCAGGATAGCTTTCCACCTTCCATCACTCATCTGTGTGACTTCTTAAGTTCCTTCAAATGTAACTCTGTAATTATAATTATATATTCACACAATCATTGTGATTCTTTAATTGCAATTGATTTAATCTACCTTATCATCCAATCGGTGCTGACAGTGGATTTCATTCCTTTTTTTTTCTAACAGTAGGAATAGAATGCAGTGCGCTTGCCAGGACTGAGGAAAGAGGGAGGGGTTGTTTCCGCCAGCTGCCAGGATCACCTGTGCTGACCCTTCAGCAGCACCTGCAGCGCTATCCTGGGCCAGGCGCAACTTGTGATTTTCATAAAATAGTCGAGTTTCAAACGGATGGGACTTTAGAGCTTCTTTAATTTGAGCTATGAAGAACAGAGTTTTAGAAAGTATGCTTATTCACTTGGAATTCCATAAAAAATACCTATGCTGGGTAGATAGGATAGCACGGCCTACCTCTCACCACTGGTGTCATAATTAAAACTCATATATGTATTTACTTATACTCTGCCTTATGCCAAGAGTACTGGAAGTGGTGAGCTAAGATTAGAAATTCTTGGCTCCTATGTCACAGACTGGCAAGCTTCCCACCCTGCCCACTGAGTGTCCTGACACAACGGGAACGTGCCCTGCATCTAATGGGACATGTGGCTACCAAGCACTTGAACTGGCCAGTGTGACTGAGAACTGAATGTTTCATTGTATTGAATTTCGTTTCACGTTAATTTAAAAAGGTATGTGTGCTCTATGGACGTGGGGGGGCCTATGGACAACACAGCTCTTGGCTATTTGTTTTTAAATATAGTTTCATGTATATACAAACAGGTTATCACTTTCCTATGTGGCTGGCTATTATGAATGCTAAACTGCTTTTCGCTCTCTCTCTAGATTCCATCACCCAGCACAAGGTCTGTGCCCCTGAAAACTACCTATTGTCACAATGACAGTGACCTCACTGGCCTGTGGTGACTGCACACAGCTCGCAAAACTGTCTTTGGATGTTCAAATGAGAAACAAAACTGTGAAGAGAAGGAACTGGCGTATACAAGATGACTTCTGATATCATGTTTGCCATGTGTTGTGGTTCTTAAGAACTCATAGGTGACTTTCTGATGACTGAATGTCTGTTTCAGAGACGCTTCGGGCCTTTTTATTTTTATTTTATTTTTTATTTTTTGAGACGGAGTCCTGCCCTGTTTCCCAGGCTGGAGTGCAATGGCACAATCTCGGCTCACTGCAACCTCCACCTCCCAGGTTCAAGCGATTCTGCTGCCTCAGCCTCCTGAGTAGCTGGGATTACAGATGTGTGCCACCATGCCTGGCTAATTTTTGTAGTTTTAGTAGAGACAGGGTTTCGCCATGTTGGCCAGGCTGGTCTCAAACGCCTGAGCTCAGGTGATCTGTCAGGCCTCTTCTATAGAATTCCAGTCTTTGTGTCTTAGTCATGATCATAATTGAAAGGTCACAGAACCTTTGTCATTAGAGCACAGTACTGCCAAATAAAGAATGGAAATTCAATGACATTGTTTTATTACTGAGAACAACTAGAGAACTCTGCAAGTTTCTTGGCTTAGACTCGATCTTTATTAATACATTATCTATTAGGTAGGAAAGACATTTGTCAGCTATTAAGGTGACTTTTATCTAGCGGAGATTCCTCTCTTAAAGTAATGAAAGGAGATAGGTATGGGGGGTGTTATACAGGATAATTGGTGACATCTGAGTGTCTTACTTCTGCAAGCCTGCTTTATGGTGAGCAAAGCATCACCAGCAAGTGATCACAATGTCCACTGGCCGCTTTTTGCCTGCCGTCCTCGAGATGAAATTGGCAGTTGGGGCTGATTCACAGAAACACCGATTTGTGGCTGAGCACGGTGGCTCACACCTGTCATCCCAGCCCTTTGGGAGGCTGAGGTGGACAGATCACTTGAGGTCAGGAGTTCGAGACCAGCCTGACCAACGCAGCAAAACCCATCTCTACTAAAAATACAAAAATCAGCTGGGTGTGGTGGCACACACCTGTGGTCCCAGCTCCTCAGGAGTCTGAGGCAGAAGAATCGCTTGAACCCAAGAGGCAGAGGTTGCAGTGAGCCAAGGTTGCAGTGAATCAAGATTGCTCCACTGCACTCCAGCCTGGGCAACAGAGTAACTCTCCTTCTCAAATAAATAAATAAATAAATAAGAAACACTGATGTGTCTGTCACCTTCTAAAGAAATGAAATGCTAGGAAGTCCTAGCCAGAGTGATCAGGCAAGAATAAGCCATAAAAGGCATCCAAATAGGAAAAGAAGTCAAACTGTCTCTCTTCACTGCCGATATGATTCTATACCTAGAAAACCCTAAAGACTCTGCCAAAAGGCTCCTGGAACCGATAAATGACTTAAGTAAAGTTTCAGGATAGTAAATCCATGTACAAAAATCAGCATTTCCAAACACAGTAACATTCAAGCTGAGCACCAAATCAAGAACGCAATCCCATTTCCAATAGCCACGGAATGAAATACCTAGGAACACGTATAACCAAGGAGGCAAAGGATCTCTACAAGGAGAACCATAAACGAGATGCTGAGTCCCAGCGAGGTCGGAGGTGCCACTGAGCCCTCATCGTGGTGCCGTTCCCGCTCTGGGTTATTTATCTGTTGCTCATCTCAGCTGTTGTTCCTACCTCAAATTTCAAGTCCCTCAACAAATATAACAGAACCACTTCTAGAATGAACCTTTGAGAAGGGAGGTAGCAGTGCATTGTATAGGAATTGGCATTCTATAGAAAACCACAGAAACTGGAAATAATGAAGGGTTGTCTCTTGGTTTTAAAATAATGTATACACCTAAATCATCCCCTTATGATACTCATCCTCTAACAGCAATTGAACTTCAATACAATGAGTCATTCCTGAGTTCACTCGCTTCACATTACATATGTTTCTCTATAACCACAAGCATCCTGGCTTGGTAGTGCTCCCACAGCACCAAAAATCCCTGAGGAGGCTGACAAACATTGTGCTGACTCATGCTGGAGACAAGCCACAGAGAACTTCCATCCCCCACCACATCAGCCACGGAGCCAGCCCAGCCTCTGCCCACCCAGGCCTCAGTCCCCAGTGTTAAGTTCTGATCCCTGATGCTGGCCTGCCAGTGGCCAGTCAAGATTCTCTTTCTGAAAGCTAGTATTTTATGAGGACTGACTGTTGCTAGACATTACACTAAGCACATTATATGTTGTACTTCATTTTACCCTTTCAACAATCCTATTAGTAGCTTACTGTGGGTCTGCAAAGCCTTACTCAAAACATATAGGGCTAGAGGTTCTCAGGATTCTGAATTTTAAAAAAAATTTGTAAAGGCTTATGGCTCTCACCACTGTTATTCAACGTTGCATTAAAGTTTCTACCCAGAGAAGGCAATAAAAGGAAATTAAAGCTATACAGATTGGAAGTGAAGAAATAAAAGTCTTTATTCTCAAGAATACAAGACACTATGTATAGAAATTGTAAGGAATGCAAAAAAAAAAAAAAAAAAAAGCCCTACAAGAACTTATAACAAGTTTAGCAAGATTGCAATATACAATCTTGCAATCTTCCTAAAGATTATATACAAACCTAACAGAATTGTATTTATATATACTGTCAATAAGCAATTCAAAATGAAATTAAGACCACGATTCCATTTAAAATTGCATCTAAAAATAAACAAAATAGGAATAGACTTGGCAACAGTTGTAACATCTGTATACTGAAACCTGTAAAACATTGCTGAAAGAAGTTAAAGACTTCTTTAAATAGAGACATATACAAAGTTCATAGATTAGAAGATGCAATATTGTTAAGATGATAGTCCTCAAATTGACGTATAGATTCAATGCAATCCATTAAAATCTCAGATGGCTTTTTATAGAATTTGAAAAGCTGATGCTAAATCTTTTATGAAAATGCAAAGAACCTCTAGTAGACAAAACAATTTTTTTAAGAGCAAAGTTGGAGGATTTATAGAACCTGATTCCAAAACTGTCAGTAAAACTACAATAATTACAAAGTATCAGCCAGGTGCCGTGGCTCACATCTGTAATACCAGCTCTCTGGGAGGCTGAGGCGGGTGGATCACTTGAAGTCGGGAGTTTAAGACCAGCCTGGCCAACTTGGTGAAACCTTGTCTCTACTAGAAATACAAAAAATTAGCCAGGCATGATGGCACACACCTGTAATCTCAGTTACTCAGGAGGCTGAAGCAGAATAGCTTGAACCCAAGAGAGTCCAGCTCAAAAACAACAACAAGAACAAAAGTATCACATTGGCATAAGAATAGACATGTAAATCAAATAACAAAATAGAGAATTCAGGTATAAATCTTCATATTTATGGCTGATTGACTTTGAACAAAGGTGACGAGGCAAGTCAGTATAGCAGCATATTCTTTTCAACAAATGGTGCTGGCAGAAGAAAAAAAAAGTACTTGGATCCTTACCTCACACCATGCACAAAAATTAGCTCAACGTGGACTATATCAGGGTTTCTCAACATCAGCAGTGTTGGCGTTTGCTGGGGTGGATAATTCTTTCCTGTGGAGAGCTGTCCTGTGCACTGTAGAATGTTTAGCTGCATCCTGGCCTCTGCCTATTAGATGCCAGTGGCATCCCTCCCCTGACACACACCTAGTTTTGACAATCTCTGTCTCCAGATATTCCCAAATGTGCCCTGGAGAGCAAAACTGTTTCCAGTTGAGAACCATTGACCTAATGTAAAAAATAAAATGTACAGAAGAAAGCATAGCAGGAAATCATTCTGACCTCAGGTTAGGCAAAGCTTTCTTAGATATGACACTAAAGGCATAATTCATTAAAAAAATAAGTTGGGCTTTGTCAAAATTTTAAGTTTTGCTCTTCTGAAGAAACCATTAAAAAAAAATGAAAAGACAAGCCACAGACTATGAAAAAATACTTGCAAATCATATATCTGATAAAGGACTTGTACCCAGACCATGTAAAGAACTCATAACTCATTAATAAAAGGATAAAGAAAAAGCTGAAGACAATTCATGCAAGAAGATATACAAATATTAAGCACATTAAAATGCTCAATATTATTAGTCACTAGGGAAATACAAATTAAAGGCCCAATGAAATACCTATTACACACCCATTAGAATGACTGTAAACAACAAGACTGATAATTCCAACATCTGACCAAGATATGGAGAAACTAGAACTCTCCTACATTGCTGGCATGAGTGCAAAATGATACAGCCACTTTGAAACACCATTTGGCAGTTGCTTAAAAAATTGAACATTCAACTACCATATGACCCAGCAATTTCACTCTCAGGTATATAACCAAAATACATGAAAACATGGATCTGCACAAGGTCTTGTATACAAATGTTCATAGCAACATTATTCATAATAACCAAAAATTAGCCCATCAACTGAAAAGTAGATAAACAAAATGTATATCCACACCATGGAACGCTACTCAGCAAACTTCTAAAAAGCAACAAACTACTAAACACGTGCAACAACATGAATGAGCCTCAGAAACATAAGTGAAAGAGGTCAGACACAAAAGACTACAAATTGTAAGATTCCATTTAGATACCATTTCTACAAACCGCAAAACTGTAGAGGCACGAAACAGATTCATGGTCTGCTGCAGCTGGGGATGGGAGTGGGAACAGAGAGCAAACATTTTGGGATGATGGAAACATTCTAAAACTGGATTGTGATTTTGGTTACACAACTGTATACATTTACTAAAATCAATGAACAGAACACTTTTAATGGGTAAGCCTTAAGGCATGTGAATTATACACCAATAAAGCTATTTTTTTTAAAAAAAAGAGAGAGAGAGAACGAGAGCTACATGGCAGCCCCAGGGCAATAGCTCTCAGATCTCCCTTAGAGAAAGAACTTTCTCTTCCACAGCAATGAGTGCAGGTAGCTAACACTGACCAACCTGCATCTGGTAGTTCATTTAAGGTCGGCCTTGGCTTTCAAGTTAAGGCCATGGTCTTTCTCTGCAGTCCCCAGCCAATACGTGGGCACAGAAAGGCACAGGGCATGGCTGATTCAGCCCAACATGAGGCTCCACACCCTAGAACTCCCTGTGGAGTTGGCCGATACTGCCTGTGACCTGCAATGTGGTCTAAGCTGTCAGACCTCCACAGTGGCCAGAAGGTTTTCCATACCTGAGCCTGCTTCTACCCACTTTTATTTTTCCCAGGAGTCACGCTTAGTCATCTCTTGCTCTTTGAACTCCATGTCTGTATCAGCTACCCAGAGGACCCATCAGACAGAAAGTAATATGCAGATAACAGCCCAGGGGAATCTGGGCAGCACTGTGAAACCAACATTTCTTCAGTGAAACCTAGAACAAAAGTGGAATAAATAAAAACTAACTGTCTCATTTCAGCACTGGCAGTCTCACTCTGGAATCTGTGTTCATGCTACCCAGGCCTATACTACAAGCTCGTTCAGCCATAACAGGGCAACTGTGAGGCTGTTGGATGGGATGATGTTGGAAGTAAATGCTCAGTGCTGCCAAGTGAAAATAGCACTCAGGCAGAAGTCTTCTCACCAAGGCAATTTACTTTTATAGAAGGGTGCATCTCGCGGATGGAACAATGGCGAGAGCACACTGGACAAGGGAGGGGAAGGGGGCCTTATTTCTAATGCAGCTAGCCCTACTGCTATATCTTTCCCCCACTGACTAGGGTTGGACCGCACAGTCTAAGCTAATTCCAATTGGCTATTTTAAAGACAGCAGAGGTACAAGCCACACTGGCAGGACAGTTACAGAACAGGTGACTAAGGATGACTAAGGACAGAACAGGTGACTAAGGATGACGAAGGACAGAACAGGTGATTAAGGACAGAGCAAGTGACTAAGGTTGACTAAGGACAGAGCAGGTGACTAAGGACAGAACAGGTGACTAAGGATGACTAAGGACAGAACAGGTGAGTAAGGACAGAACAGGTGACTAAGGATGACTAAGGATAGAACAGGTGACTAAGGGTGACTAAGGATAGAACAGGTGACTAAGGGTGACTAAGTACAGAGCGGGTGACTAAGTACAGACCAGGTGACTAAGAATGACTAAGGACAGAGCAGGTGACTAAGTACAGAACAGGTGACTAAGGGTGACTAAGTACAGAGTGGGTGACTAAGTACAGAGCAGGTGACTAAGGATGACTAAGGACAGAGCAGATGACTAAGTACAGAACAGGTGACTAAGTACAGAACAGGTGACTGAGGATGAATAAGGACAGAACAGGTGACTAAGGGTGACTAAGGACAGAGCAGGTGACTAAGGACAGGTGACTACGGATGACTAAGGACAGAACAGGAGACTATGGATGACTAAGGACAGAGCAGGTGACTAAGGACAGAACAGTGACTATGGATGACTAAGGACAGAACAGGTGACTACGTATGACTTAGGACAGAACAGGTGACTAAGGACAGAACAGGTGACTAAGGACAGAGCAGGTGATAGAGGCTAGGAGCGGGCTGTTTACTGAAACTAGGGGTAAAGAGATGTAAAGAATGAGAAAGTTAAACTTTAAAATGGAGAACAAAGAACAGGGAAGCTGAATATACTGACACATTGGTTCTTTGGAGAGGAACTCAGAACTCAGCGTACTTAACAATTTTCTCCCTCTTGAATTTTAAAAGACATTAACAGGCTAAACTTCGAAGAGGAATTTATTGTTTCCTACAGATGACAATTAATAATCAATCTTGCAATGTTTACTGAGGTCACTATCCTCAGTGCTATACGTGTTCTGTGTCCCATAGACTTCAGGGTAACTACATGGTCCTTAAACTTACAATCTAAAGTATTTCCATGAGACCTTCCTTAATAGACGTTTGTTCTCAGCCTTCTTTCAATAGCAACATCCTTTGTTCACATGAGGATGCATAAAGAAATACAATACGTAAAAACATGTTATCAGGACCGCTCTCATTAAGCTGGGTAGGGGGTGGTCACACGAGGGTTTCAGATCCTCACCCAAGGATCTCATCTTTCTCTGCACAAGGGTAGGCTGCACAGCGCCTTTGTAGATACTTCCGAGATTGCTTGAAAACTGCCGGTCTGGCCCAGTCCCTCCTATCACTGACAAAGAAGCTGAGATCTCGAAAGACACGCCACCCATGAGCAGTAACTCAGTGCAAAGAATCTAAATACCAGAACTCCTGACCCACAAGGCTTTCTCTGTGCATCCAAGATGTCCCAAACTGAAATGGTCTATGCACGACAGAGAACTTTGATCACACTCAGAAAACGTCTTTGAAAATGAAACATGGCACATTGCAGAGATGTCACAAATGAGACTTCCCTTGATGGTCCCTGAGAGCGTCTTTGTGTTCCATGTAGCTGCTCCCATTATTTTGGGCAGACATTGACAGTCTTTGATGAAACATTTTTCACCTTGAGTTACAGTAAATGTTATCATCTCATGTTTTTGGAAATGCCATTCAAGGACTTGAGAGATCATTTCTAGATAATTGTTTATAACCATGCCCCTTATAATTTCATTTGAGATTATATGAGAAAAATCTAAGCATACCTATTTAATAAAGGATTTGGACAACTGCATCTCAAACTTTAATACAAATTCAAATCACCTGGGGATATTGTTAACTGGCAGATTCTACTTCAGCACATCTGGGGCCAGAAAGGCTGCGTTTCTCTCCCCTCCCCTCCCCTCCCCTCCTCTCCCCTCTCCTCTCCTCTCCTCCTTCCTTCTCTCTCTCCTCCTTCCTTCTGTCTCTTCTCTGTCTTCTCTCTCTCTTCTTTCTTTCAAGATGGGTCTCCCTCTGTCACCCGGCTGGAGTACAGTGGCACACTCATGGCTCACTGCAAAGGCTGGATTCTAACAAGCTATCCGGTGATGTGGATGCAGTTTCAGAAGCAGGGAGTTAGAATACGCAATGGGATATTATAAATGTACATTTCATTTACTTCTGCACAAGATGTAATGTCTTGTTAAACCAAACTGCTATTTTTTTTTTTTTGAGACAGAGTCTCACTCTGTCACCCAAGATGGAGTGCAGTGGCCCAATATCGGCTCACTGCAACCTCCGCCTCCCGGGTTCACGCCATTCTCTTGCCTCATGAGGTCAGGAGATTGAGACCAAATTGCTATTTCTTACAGTGTTGCAAATACCTTGTGAGATTCTTATCAAGGTATTGGAGAATAACTAGGGCACTGATTATGAGAACATCAGAATTGTCAGAGGCGTCCTAACTAGGGTGACTCCATCCTGAATAAAGCCTGGATAGAGCCAAACCTGATGGGGGACATTCCCTGAGGGATGATCACTCTCAGTCACAGGATGTTTATAGTTGAGGGAACGAGTTAATGATGCTGACTACCTACCTAAAGAACCAGAACTTACAGAAATGTCCCAGTATTTGAAGAACAAACAGCATTGTTAGTTTAAGAACAGGGTTCGTTTTAGAGATAACAGCACATTCATAAATTCTTGCTGAAATCAATAGTTGCACAAGAAAATAACAGTATTAATAGCCTGTCGTAAGCTGATCACAAATCTTTGTAATATATTACACTCTTCTAAGCCAACAAAGATCAAAACAGACAAAGAAGGGCATTACATAATGGTAAAGGGATCAATTCAACAAGAAGAGCTAACTATCCTAAATATATATGCACCCAATACAAGGGCACCCAGATTCATAAAGCAGGTCCTTAGAGACCTACAAAGAGACTTAGACTCCCAAACAAAAATAATGGAAGACTTTAACACCCCACTGTCAACATTAGACAGATCAACAAGACAGAAAGTTTACAAGGATATCCAGGAATTGAACTCAGCTCTGCACCAAGCGGACCTAATAGACATCTACAGAACTCTCCACCCCAAATCAAGAGAATATACATTCTTTTCAGCACCACACTACACCTATTCCAAAACTGACCACATAGTTGGAAGTAAAGCACTCCTCAGCAAATGTAAAAGAACACAAATTATAACAAACTGTCTCTCAGACCACAGTGCAATCAAACTAGAACTCAGGATTAAGAAACTCACTCAAAACCACTCAACTACATGGAAACTGAACAACCTGCTCCTGAATGACTACTGGGTACATAACGAAATGAAGGCAGAATTAAAGATGTTCTTTCAAACCAACGAGAACAAACACACAACATACCAGAATCTCTGGGACACATTCAAAGCAGTGTGTAGAGGGAAATTTGTAGCAGTAAATGCCCACAAGAGAAAGCAGGAAAGATCTAAAATTGACATCCTAACATCACAATTAAAAGAACTAGAGAAGCAAGAGCAAACACATTCAAAAGCTAGCAGAAGGCAAGAAATAACTAAGATCAGAGCAGAACTGAAGGAAATAGAGACACAAAACACCCTTCAAAAAATCAATGAATCCAGGAGCTGGTTTTTTGAAACGATCAACAAAAGTGATAGACCGCTAGCAAAACTAATAAAGAAGAAAAGAGAGAAGAATCAAATAGACGCAATAAAAAATGATAAAGGGGATATCACCACCGATCCCACAGAAATACAAACTACCATCAGAGAATACCGCAAACACTTCTATGCAAATAAACTAGAAAATCTAGAAGAAATGGATAAATTCCTCGCACATACACCCTCCCAAGACTAAACCAGGAAGAAGTTGAATCTCTGAATAGATCAATAACAGGCTCTGAAATTGAGGCAATAATTAGTAGCTTACCAACCAAAAAAAGTCCAGGACCAGATGGATTCACAGCAGAATTCTACCAGAGGTACAAGGAGGAGCTGGTACCATTCCTTCTGAAACTATTCCAATCAATAGAAAAAGAGGGAATCCTCCCTAACTCATTTTATGAGGCATCATCCTGATACCAAAGCCAGGCAGAGACACAACAAAAAAAGAGCATTTTAGACCAATATCCCTGAGGAACATAGATGCAAAAATCCTCAATAAAATACTGGCAAACTGAATCCAGCAGCATATCAAAAAGCTTATCCACCACGATCAAGTGGGCTTCATCCCTGGGATGCAAGGCTGGTTCAATATACACGTATCAATAAACGTAATCCAGCATATAAACAGAACCAAAGACAAAAACCACATGATTATCTCAATAGATGCAGAAAAGGCCTTTGACAAAATTCAACAACCCTTCATGCTAAAAACTCTCAATAAATTAGGTATTGATGGGACATATCTCAAAATAATAAGAGCTATCTATGACAAACCCACAGCCAATAACATACTGAATGGCAAAAACTGGAAGCATTCCCTTTGAAAACTGGCACAAGACAGGGATGCCCTCTCTCACCACTCCTATTCAACATAGTGTTGGAAGTTCTGGCCAGGGCAATCACTTAGGAGATGGAAATAAAGGGTTATTCAATTAGGAAAAGAGAAAGTCAAATTGTCCCTGTTTGCAGATGACATGATTGTATATCTAGAAAACCCCATCGTCTCAGCCCAAAGTCTCCTTAAGCTGATAGGCAACTTCAGCAAAGTCTCAGGATACAAAATCAATGTGCAAAAGTCACAAGCATTCCTATACACCAATAAGAGACAAACAGCCAAATCATGAGTGAACTCCCATTCACAATTGCTTCAAAGAGAATAAAATACTGAGGAATCCAACTTACAAGGGATGTGAAGGACCTCTTCAAGGAGAACTACAAACCACTGCTCAATGAAATAAAAGAGGATATAAACAAATGGAAGAACATTCCATGCTCATAGGTAGGAAGAATCAATAGCGTGAAAATGGCCATACTGCCCAAGGTAATTTATAGATTCAATGCCATCCCCATCAAGCTACCAATGACTTTCTTCACAGAATTGGAAAAAACTACTTTAAAGTTCATATGGAACCAAAAAAGAGCCCGCATTGCCAAATCAATCCTAAGCCAAAAGAACAAAGCTGGAGGCATCAAGCTACCTGACTTCAAACTATACTACAAGGCTACAGTAAACAAAACAGCATGGTACTGGTACCAAAACAGAGATATAGACCAATGGAACAGAACAGAGCCCTTAGAAATAATGCCACATATCTACAACTATCTGATCTTTGACAAACCTGACAAAAACAAGAAATGGGGAAACGATTCCCTATTTAATAAACGGTGCTGGGAAAACTGGCTAGCCATATGTAGAAAGCTGAAACTGGATCCCTTCCTTACACCTTATACAAAAATTAATTCAAGATGGATTAAAGACTTACATGTTAGACCTAAAACCATAAAAACCCTAGAAGAAAACCTAGGCAATACCATTCAGGACATAGGCACGGGCAAGGACTTCATGTCTAAAACACCAAAAGCAAGGGCAACAGAAGCCAAAATTGACAAATGGGATCTAATTAATCTAAAGAGCTTCTGCACAGCAAAAGAAACTACCATCAGAGTGAACAGGCAACCTACAGAATGGGAGAAAATTTTTGCAATCTACTCATCTGACAAAAGGCTAATATCCACAATCTAAAATGAACTCAAACAAATTTACAAGAAAAAAACAAACAACCCCATCAAAAAGTGGGCAAAGGATATGAACAGACACTTCTCAAAAGAAGACATTTATGCAGCCAAAAGACACGTGAAAAAATGCTCATCATCACTGGCCATCAGAGAAATGCAAATCAAAACCACAATGAGATACCATCTCACACCAGTTAGAATGGCAATCACTAAAAAGTCAGGAAACAACAGGTGCTGGAGAGGATATGGAGAAATGGGAACACTTTTACACTGTTGGTGGGACTGTAAACTAGTTCAACCATTGTGGAAGTCAGTGTGGCGATTCCTCAGGGATCTAGAACTAGAAATACCACTTGACCCAGCCATCCCATTACTGGGTATATACCCAAAGGACTATAAATCATGCTGCTATAAAGACACATGCACACGTATGTTTATTGTGGCACTATTCACAATAGCAAAGACTTAGAACCAACCCAAATGTCCAACAATGATAGACTGGATTAAGAAAATGTGGCACATATACACCATGGAATACTATGCAGCCATAAAAAATGATGAGTTCATGTCCTTTGTAGGGACATGGATGAAGCTGGAAACCATCATTCTCAGCAAACTATCACAAGGACAAAAAACCAAACACCACATGTTCTCACTCATAGGTGGGAATTGAACAATGAGAACACATGGACACAGGAAGGGGAACATCACACACCGGGGCCTGTTGTGCGGTTGGGGGAGGGGGCACAGATAGCATTAGGAGATATACCTAATGCTAAATGACGAGTTAATGGGTGCAGCACACCAACATGGCACATGTATACATATGTAACAAACCTGCACGTTGTGCACATGTACTCTAAAACTTAAAGTATAATTAAAAAAAATAAATTACATTCTTCTTTGCCTTAATATGCTATATAGGCAAGCATTACGTTTAAGGTGCTCCTCCTTGCTTTTCGAGGACACCCTACTCGGTAATAGTTTCTAATAAGCAGTTTTAACTTTACTATACTCTGCAACTTGCCCTGAATTCTTTCCCATGTGAGATCCAAGAACTCGCTCTTGGCATCCTTCTGGGACAAGACTCTTTTTTTTTTTTGAGACAGAGTCTTGCTCTGTCGCCCAGGCTGGAGAGCAGTGGCGCGATCTCGGCTCACTGCAAGCTCCGCCTCCTGGGTTCACGCCATTCTCCTGCCTCAGCCTCCCGAGTAGCTGGGACTACAGGCGCCCGCCACCACGCCCGGCTAATTTTTTGTATTTTTTTTTAGTAGAGACGGGGTTTCACCGCGTTAGCCAGGATGGTCTCAATCTCCTGACCTTCGTGATCCGCCTGCCTTGGCCTCTCAAAGTGCTGGGATTACAGGCGTGAGCCACCGTGCCCAGCCGACAAGACCCTTTTTTAGATAACTGAGTTTAAAAGTACATCTAAGGAGGCTGACGCAGGAGAATCGCTTGAACCCGGGAAGCAGAGGTTGCAGTGAGCCGAGATGGCGCCACTGCACTCCACCCAGGGTGACAGAAGGAGACGCCATCTCAAAAAATAAAAATAAAAATAAAAGTACATCTATGTCAACTGGGAGCCTGATATAACTTGTCCGGGCGTCCGTGTATTTGAGGTCTGTGCGAGCGTTTGTCTGTTTAGTGTGTAAACTCGTGTAACCACCACTGTGGTGAAGACACAGAGCAGCTCCGTGACCAGAAGGTTCTGTCCTGGGGCCCTTTTATAACCACGGAACCCACCAGCTTCTGTCCCTTCCTTAACTCCTGGCAACCACTCATCTGCCTTCCACTTCCATAACTCTGCCATTAATAACCTGTTACTTTATTTCACATGACAAGTAGTGACTTAATTGCAGATAAAGGGAACATTCATGTTTGCGCTTTTCTTGTCATTGCTTCCTTATGTGAACCTTTCTCTGCTTACAGGGAATCATATCGAGAAGTACAGTTTCTGTTTGGAGAGAATGGAAAGAGAAAAGAAAAATAAACACAATGGTCTCAATGTTCGAAAAAGCATGCAGTGGATATAATCACCTAAACCTAAACACCCTTTTGCACAACAGACCTACAGATAGTGATGGAAATGTCACAAGCTTCCTTCCAAAAGCACTGCAGAACTCCTAATAAAGAATGGAAATCCTCAGGCGGTGGGGAGTCAAGAGAGGCAGCCGGGATGCCGAGTCCAGGTCCTGGGGTCCGGCCGCTGCCAGGTAGGGCAGAGCAGGCTCTTGGGGAGCAGAGGCTTGGGTTTTCATGTCGAACAGGATCAGCAGATGAGGAAGTGGACCTGTGAAAAGTCGCTGGCATTGCAGCTGAGATCCCCTAAAGAAAAGCAAACTCCTGGAAGGACACGCTGAGAGGAAGAGGACTAGGAAAAACTGCACAAGAGGCCAAAGAAGCCAGACCGGCCCAGAGCTCCAATCAGGGAGAGCAAAAAAGAGACTCAACAGGTTTAAGTTCATATACGGTCATACAGGCCATGTTTTCTGAACTAAGCATAATGTAGGAAATTAATTGTATGAAGAAATCCAAACACTAGGCTGGGCACAGTGGCTCACGTCTGTAATCCAAGCACTTTGGGAGGCCAAGGTGGGCAGATCACTTGAAGCCAAGAGTTCGAGACCAGCCTGGCCTCCATGGTAAAAGCCCATCTCTACTAAAAATACAAAAAAAAATAGCAGGCATGGTGGCGCACACCTGTAATCCGGCCACTTAGGAGGCTGAGACACGAGAATCAGCTTGAACCAGGAGGCGGAGGTTGCAGTGAGCCCAGATCGTACCATTGCACTCCAGCCTGGGTGACAGAGTGAGACTCTGTCTCAAAGAAGTCCAAAAACTGTATTTGTAGGTTGAAAACATAAATAATTGATACATCAAAAGAAATCATAATGGAAATGAAAAAATATTTAGAACTGAAATAAAACCTTCTGGGACATACCTAATGCAATAGTTAGAGGGGACTATGCAGCCTTAATTGCTTATATTAGTAGTAAAGGGGGAAGAAACCTAAAACTTTGTTAGCTAAATATTGAATGAAATAAACTGGGGAGGGCCAGGCGCGGTGGCTCATGCCTGTAATCCCAGCACTTTGGGAGGCCGAGGTGGGCGGACCACGAGGTGAGATCGAGACTATCCTGGCTAACACAGTGAAACTCCGTCTCTACTAAAAATACAAAAAATTAGCCAGGCGTGGTGGCACACGCCTGTGGTCCCAGCTACTTGGGAGGCTGAGGCAGGAGAATCGCTTGAACCTGGGAGGCAGAGGTTGCAGTGAGCCGAGATCTCACCACTGCACTCCAGCCTGGGCAACAGAGCAAGCACTGTCTCAAAAAAAAGAAATAAAGAAATTGGGGAAATAGCTACATAGTAAATCAAAGAAAGTGATAGGAAGAAAATAATAGCAGAAAGTAACAAAATCAATATAAAGAAAAAAGAATCAATTAATCCGAAGATGATTCTTTGAGAAGACTAATAAAATAGACAAATTTCCGAAAGTTTGACCAAGGGTTGGAAGAAAAGAAGGAACAAAACAATGTTAGGCATGAAAGGGAAACGTAACTACTCACTACACTTACATACGCCTTTAAGTTTTCAAATCTTGAAGAATTTTGAAAGCATATGACAATAATAAACAATGGAAAGTAAAAGAAAATCTAAAAGGATGTTACATTAGAGGTTATATTAGAAATAATTAGATATAATTCAGCAAAAACAGACTTAAATCAAAAATTGCAATGAAATAGCGTGAAGTCTGGGAGGGAATGCAAAATTTTGATGCCCTCTCCCCGTGGAATCTGAACACATCACCCTCCCAGGGCCAGGACATCAATCAGTGCGTTCATGAACTCCTCTAAAGAACTTCCACCAAGGCTGTGCTGCAGAGTTTTTTATTGATGTGTCATTATGTGGGCATGAGATTGATTAAATTTATTAAGTTGGTTGATTGACCTCAATCTCTGGTCCTCTCCTCCATCCCCATGGTCATGATCAACCGAAGTCCCAACTTTCTAACCAAGTGCTTGGTCCTTCTGGTGACCAGCCCCCATCCTGAAGCCACCTAGGGGCCACCGGGGGTCACCTCATTAGCATCACAAAGACACTCCTAGTGCTCAGGAAATTACAAGGGTTTCTGAAGCTCTGTGCCAGGAACTAGGGACCAAGAACATGTATCTATTAGCCTCATTTAACAGATGTCCATTTTTGTTACACCACACATGGCAAGCCTGGTAAGGAGAGCCTTCCCCAAGAAGGTATGTAAGCAACTAGGAACTGGGTGGGATGTTTAATCCTCTTTCATGGAAGAGGAAAAATAATTGGAAATAATAATACATGGCATGACGAGAAAAAACTTAAAATCCCATGTTGAGGCCGGGTGCAGTGGCTCACACCTATAATCCTAGCACTTTGGGAGGCTGGTGGTGGGCAGGTTGCCTGAGCTCAGGAGTTCAAGACCAGCCTGGGCAACATAGTGAAACCCCGTCTCTACTAAAAATACAAAAAATGTGCTGGGTGTGGTGGCGTGCACCTGTAGTCCCAGCTACTTGGGAGGCTGAGGCAGTAGAATGACTTGAACCTGGGAGGCAGAGTTTGCCTCCAAAAAAAAAAAAATCCTATGTTGAACATGTTATGTTTGAGAGGTCTGAGTGACATCCGAATTAAGATGTGAAGTAGAGTGGTGTGTGTGTGTGTGTGTGTGTGTGTAGTCCGGACACTGCATGAGGACAAATCAGTAGGTGTGTGTGTCTTTTACGTCTCAGGAATTGATAAGCTCACCTGGAAGGAGAAAGCAACAGAGCCCCAAGCTTTAGCCATAGGGAACTCCAAACATTAGATCTGGTAAATGTAGAGAAGCTGTGTCTGGCAAAAGAAATACTTCAGCTGAGTTAAATTTAAAGGACCTTCATTGGGTAATGAACGGCAAATCAGGCAGCCCCCAGAATCACAGCGAATTTAGAGAGACCCCAGCACAGCCGAAGAAGATTTATAGACCAAACAAAGGGAGGTAATGTACAGAAATCAGGGGTAATGTACAGAAACAACTGGGTTGGTTACAGCTCAGCATTTGCCTTATTTAAACACAGTTTGAACACTCAGCAGTGTATAAATGGTTGAAGTATGGCTGCTGGGATTAGCCGAGACTCAGCTATTGTTACAGGTGCATACTCCTAAGTTAGGTTCTCAATCTTGTCTACCTATTAAGTTAGATTGCAGTTCGTCCACAAGGACTCGAATATAAAAGTACTGGAGTCCTTCTCTGGCCATATTTAGTTTGCTTTAACACTACCCAAGATAGAGAGTTCAAAGTCACAAAATCTAAGAAGAAAACATATTTCAAGAAGTCACTGGTTAGTTAACTGTTGAAAGCTAGCTGAGAACAATAGATCTGAGTAGAACCTCTTTAGGGGATCACATTGCTGAGAAGTAAAGCTCTTTGTCAACCAAAAATCAAGATCCCAAACATCTCTCATCTCTGCTCCCTTCCCTCCAATGTGATTGTTCCTCCCCTTCTTTGCTTCTCTTTGTTCTTTAAATTTATTTTTCTATATTCAACTCAATTCTTTTTCCTTCTCTTCCACCTCCTATGTTCCCTTCCTTTCTGGAGGCCCAAATGATTTCATTAAAATCAAGGTGTCAGCAGAGATTCCTTACTTTCTGGAGGCGCTGGGTGGGAATGCGTCTCTTGTCTCTTCTGGGATCTAAAGGTACCGCCTTCCTTGGCTCATGGCCCCTTCCTCCATCTTCAAAGCCAGCAACGGCAGGGGAGTCGTTCTCATCTTACTTCACTCTGACACTCACTCTTCTGCCCTCTCTTCCCCAATTAGGAACCCTTGTGATTACATTGATTACCTTGGGCTCCCCAAAATAACCCAGGTGGACTTGTTTTAAAGTCAGCTGATTAGTACCTTTTCCACCTACCACCTGAATCCCCCCGGCCATGGAAGGAAACATATTGACAGATTTTCAGATTAGAACATCTTTGAGGAGACCTTACTCTGCTGCCAACACTGGCCCCTGATTGCCTCACACTAAATCCAGGACGGATGCACTGACCATGGGTTCTCACTGGCACCCAGCCTGAAACCTCAGATAAGGCATTTGTCTTCTCAGAGCCAGGGTTTCTTCAACTGGCAATTTTCACAATAATCCCTGTCTGGTGCCTGAGAGCACAGGATGATGGCCAGGGAGTCGACGCCCTTCTGAAAGGGGGAAGAAGCAAAGGCATCTCGGTTTGCAGTATTCAGTGAGTTATGCTGACTCAAAGACACGAATCAGACACTGACTGGTAGGAACCCCCAGCACAGATTAAGAAGTGCATAGCCAACAGGCCTGACTCCAAACAATTCAAACAACAAGGAAAGAATAGAGAACTTATCATTATTGTGTCTGTTTGACAAATACTTAATTGACCATAATGTAAGGCTGGAATTTGCCTATTTTAAAGTTACCTGTGGTTGTAATTAAACTGTTTTGTTCAGTGTTCTCAATTCTAATTCTACTACTTTATTTAAAACTATAAATTTTTGTGTCAGGAAGACAATATCTACTTTTATCCCTCTAATATTTAACCCCTTAATGGAGACAGTAATTAGAATTATTGACCTGAAACTACACAAGATCATACAAACATTCTTCAGGCTAAACTATTATTTTGTTTGGTATGAGTTCCCAGTCTAAGCGTTAATATTTTCCCAAAGCCTCAGGACCTTGCAGGGACCAAACTCCACCTAGAACTCTAAGATACTGGCGGCAGCTGTCAATTTCATTAATCTGGTTTCAATTTTTTTAATATTTGGATTACAGCTTATCTATGGGAACTCATAGTTGTTCCATCTTTAATATTCCAGATAGACGATTTACTGAAAAAGCTAATTCAGTATTGTCTCCCGTGAGCCAGCCAATGAAACCTCAGCCAACGCTGAGGAGGGAGCACTCGAGGGGAGGAACGCCATCCTGGGCTCTCTAGGGCTGTTGTCTGTCAACAGCGAGATGAGAACAACGGGCAACAGCAGCAGCTCCGTCGGCCCACGGCCGCCCCAGGGGCCCTGGGAGGGCGGGAAGGGAGACACTGCCAGACCTCAGAGCTTGGCACCAAGAGCCAGTTATCAGCCAGATAATGTACTCAACCAATGGCGAGAAACCCGACCATGAACTTATTGGGAACTGGTCACAGAAAAGAGAAGGACTCTTTGTCCTGAGTGTGTGAGGCTGTGATGGTAGGAGCCGCAGGGCTGTGACTCACACGATGCCACAAGGTTCCTTCCAAAAACAACTGGGGATGCTGTGTGGGGAAAGGGCTGATGGCACAGTAGGAGGTAACGGGCTCAAAACTGACCTCCTTTTTAGGGGTGAGGAAAAGACTGTCACCTCATCTTGTGGCTTCAGAGCCCAGAAGAGATTGTGGAGCAGCGGTTAGAGACTTACGGAGGAATTCTGATATTTTTAACTCTTCGGCACTTTGCTTTTCTTGAGCAATTCCCACACCACCCCTTTTTAAAGATTTATTAGATTCAGGGGCTACTTTATAATATCCTTGGAGCCCAAATTAGACTTTAAGCACATAACATATCTGAGCTTGAGGAGTTTAACTTCTTCAACAAAGGAGCAAAGAGATTTGGTGAAATGACCCCCATGGTCCCTAATGCTGATGGACCCACCGAAGTTAGCCTGTCACCAGAAGCAAAGGGATACTATTTTTAAGATATGAGGATCTTTTCCACATTTCTGTTCAAAGCAGTAACTTTGCAGCTTCATCTATTGAAGGCCTCATCTCCACCTGCTTTTCCTACCCTGGATTCACAGGGCTTGTGGTGCCCTCTCCCTGCCTCCACTCACCTTCCAACAAGTGCTGGAGTTTGATTCACACCAAACAGAAATAGCCAAAATTTGTAAGAACTCTATTGGGCAGCTCTTCTGTATCAATGACTGTACAGGCTCCAAGGGCCAGAAATAATGAAGATACAGCACCTATCTCAGCGAGCTGACAGCCTTGAAGGGGGATGAGGCTGGAAAACAAATGACAACACAGTGTGATAAGTTCACTGCAGACCAGGGAGAGCGACAACTTTGAGAAAGGGTGATTGCTTTTAAACGGAAAGGAAAAGAGCTTGGGAAATACTTCCAGAAGAAACTGACATCTAACTTAGGTGAGTTTTCTTTTTTTTTAGGTGGGGTCTCACTGCGTTGCACAGGCTGCAGTGCAGTGGCTATTCAGAGGCATGGTCATAGCTCACTGCAGCCCTGAATTCCTGCACTCAAGCGATCCTCCTCCCTCAGCCTCCTGAGTGGCTGCAACTACAGGTGCATGCCACCATGCCTGACTCTCTAACATAGGTTTCAAAGGAAGCATAGGAGTTCCGAGTGGAAAAGAGACCAAGGGAGAGGCCCGTGCCAGTCCCGAAGGTGAGGGGAGGTCTGAGGGCCTCAGGATTGCTGGAACTTCCAGTGGAAGGGCACGTTGAGGGGACGCAAGTGAGATATAAGCGTTGGGTAGTTAAGAAAGGCTATTGAAATTTTCCAGACAAGAAATGTTAAGGCGCAGAACACAGTGCTCACAGAGAGGGAAAGGAGGAGGTGGATTAGAAATGAAATTTTGGAAATGAAATTATTTGCTGCCTGAGTGGCTACGCAGGAGGAGCAGGGGGACAGAGTCAATCTGGATGAGTCTTGGACTCAGGCATAAAGTGTCAGCAGTCTTGGGAGGATCCACATCCTCACGGGAACCAGCTCCTTCAGCTAAAGGGAAAAGGTGCTTGGTGCTTCAGCCGGCCCAGAGCGTGCCCTCCATGGACACAAAGAAGCCAAGTTCTTGTTGCTAAAGGTGTTCAACAGAGAAATGTTGGAGGGCCAATTAAAGGCAAAGCCCACCACTTTATAACCACATTTTAGGCATATTAAACATTCTAGAATGTAATCATCAGACTTCTAAACTGAGCCATTTGTGTTATCCAAGAAAGTAAATCAGTGACTTATGTTTGCAGCAATATAATGAACATTATAATGGACCCCTGAAAATGCAGAGTGAATGGTAGGGAATTTGCAAGAAAGGTAGAGAAACGCTCTACCACTGGAGACAAGGTGGAGAAGCAGGTTGACATCCAAGCTGGGGAACATCATGTTGACCGAGCATTGTGTATACACAGGGCGTGTGTGCATCTGCGTGTGTGTGCATGTGTGTATATGTGCATTCATGTGTGTGTGTATGGGAGGTGGGCCGGGACAGGGGAGTTGGAATGGAGACCAACCTGATAAAGCTGACACTCTGGAAGGGTTAGACTCCCAGGAAGAAAGTTAAGAAGGGAGAAGGATAACATCTGCACAAAGGCAAACACAAAGCAACATCCTTTGTCAGCAACATCCTTAGGCACCTGGAAGAAGCAGACACACAACTTCCAGGAATAATGTCCCTGAACCTGGGCTTCTGATGATTCCCACCAATATGACCATCAATTAGAATGCGTGCACACACACAATTCCAAATAAATCATCAAGACAATCATTAGGAAAAATAACAGGACCAGATAGACCAAGACTTCAGGTGTTGGCGTCATCAGATACGGATGATACATGTTAAAAGAAATAAAAGGACGGAAAACCATGAGAACGGAACAAGAATGATAAGATGGAATTGAAAAGGAGGCAGATAGAACTTACAGAAAAAATTTTTTAAACTTAGAATTTAATATTGTTTAAAACGTTTTAGGTCCCCACATAAAAATAGATGGCCTGGGTAGCAAACCTAAGCCAAGGGCACCTTATGAGCTCCTTACAAGGGGCAAATTACTGCCAGCCACGAGCCCCATGAGGTTCCAGGTTCTGCATGGGTGGAAGAAGGAAACTCCAGGCAGCAGCAGACAGCTCTGGGAACAGCAGAATACCACACAGCTCAAGGTTATTCTCCATCTTTTGCTCTGTATTACCAGGAAGCCCAGCAGGGCCAACTGGACGAAAGCGCTTGGGTTTTGCCCAATGCAACTGCATATAATCGAGAGCAAGGGACCCACAGCTGGAAGGGCCCAAGAGTCTGGAGCTCTCTATCTCCCATGAACTCTCAAAACTGACCCATCTGAGTGCCTGTCTGGGCCAGGGCCCTACCCCGAGGAGAAATTCCTGGGAGTAGAATCAAAATCAATCAAGACAGGCATGACAGAGACAAGAGAAAAAGAAGGTCCACACCAGGCCAACAAATCCCTCTGTTATGAACCAGATAGTAAACATCGTAGGCTTTGAAGTCCAGACGGTCTTGCTGCTACTACTCGGCCCTGCGGTTATAAGGTAAAAGCAGCCACACATGACATGTAAATGAATGGGCATGGCTGTGTGCCAAAAAAACTTTATTTATGAACACTGAAGTTTGCATTGTACACAATTTTCACGTGTGACAAAATAGTATTCTTTGTTTGTTTGTTTCAACCATTTAAAAATGTAAAAAGCATTTTTAATGCACAGGCTATACAAAACTGGTGGTGGGCCAGAGTTTGATTTCTGTCTCCTGGTGTTGATGAAAGAGGCTTTGAGAAAAAGATGCAGGAAAACTCAAGACAGGATGCCATGCTGCTTTTGGACATTACCAAAAACAGCAGAAGAGGGAGCCCCGCAAAGGTAAAAGAGCACTCCTACACCCAGCCACATCCTAAAGGCTCAGGCAAATGAATTTCCCATAAAAATAAGCAACAGAAAATATCCAAGTCAAATCCCATACAAAACTATTATAAGAAAAAGGTCCTAAGAAGCAGAATAACAGCCCAACAGACAATAAGAGCAGACACAAAGATGTGGCCGTCATGGGGCTCAGAAGGCCCAAAGTGCAGCCTCAGAAGCCAAGTTTCCCCCTGACCTTCCCTTGCCCTCCTGTCTCTCACCCCTCATGCTCCCCTGAGGGAAGCTATAGAAACTAGAATTCTTCCTCTCCCGAGGTGAGTCATAAAAACCAGAACCCCTTTGCCTCAAGGCCAGCCATAAAGCCTAAAAATATGACTCTAGCCTCCCCCTGCTTTTCTGTGTAACAGCTGGCAATAAAGAAATTAAGACCCTCATTGTAGAGGGACCCTACCCTATGCCCAGGAGGAGGGAATGTGGCACAGAGAGGCTGAGAAAGATCTGAACGCAGAGGCCTTGCTGAGTTTCCCCACACCATCTATTACATTCGATCAGGACCTTTCTGTCCAGTCTTACATTTCGACATGGCTGGCTGTGCTTCATCAAATCTAAGTATAGAAATGCACAGTTCACCCTGTATCTTTGGGTCTTCATTCTGAAGGTTCCCACATCACATCAAACTATGATGAAATAAATGTGTTATACTTTTCTCATGTTAATCTGTCTTTTGTTATAGGGGCACTGGTATGACCTTTATGATGGAGAAGAAAGTGATTACCCCCTTTCTGCCTCTGCAGCCACAAAACAGATCAAAACCTATTTCAGAACAAGCTAACAGACTCTAAGAAAATTATGTAAGACATGAAAGTATGTGAATTGTTACAGCAATCAGAAAAGAATTAAAAAATTTAAAAATGCATTTTAGGAGCAAAGACTAAACAACAAATAAACACAACATGTAATGCCCTAAGAAAAACAGAGGGTGAAAATGAGGAAAGTTTTCTTGTGTGTTTGTTTGTCTGTTTTGGAGACAGAGTCCACTCTGTTGCCCAGGCTGGAGTGCAGAGGCACAACCTCAACTCTCTGCAACCTCCACCTCCTGGGCTCAACCAATTCTCCTGCTTCAGCCTCCCGAGTAGCTGGGATTACAGGCATGCACCACCACGCCTGGCTAATTTTTTTTTCTATTTTTAGTTGATATGGGATTTCACCATGTTGGCCAGGCTGGTCTTGAATTCATGATCTCAAGTGCTCTGCCCACCTCGGTGTCCCAAAGTGCTGGGATTATAGGCGTGAGCCACTGTATGCAGCTGATAATGAGGAAAGTTTTAAAAGTAAAAAAGAAGTGAAAAAAAAATATGTCAGAAAAAGTGGAACATATTGAAGACAGGCAAAGGAGATAGAACATAGGAGGTCTCGAGGAAGATACCAATGCAAAGAAGAAGACTGAATACTAAAAACGACAAGAACTATACCACATTTTTAACACTGAATTTAAAAAAGGATTTGAAGCTACATATTGAAAAATTATACCACACACTCGAAAATATTGACCCCAAATGGTAAAATTACCAAACTTAAAAAAAAAAAAGAAAAAAAATCCTTTGAACATTTTATTAGTTACCTAGGGCTGGCATAACAAAATACACAGCCTGGGTGGCTTAAACAAGATAAATTTGTTTGCTCACAGTTCTGAAGGCTGGAAGTCCAAGATCAACGTGTTCGCAGGGATGATTTCTTCTATGGCCTCTCTCCTTGGCTGCAAAGGGCCATCTCATCCTGTCCTCATATGGCCTTTCCTGTGCACCTGCATTCCTGGTGTCTCTTCCTTTTCTTTTAAGGACACCAATCATATTATATTACCAGCCCCTCTTATGGCCTTAATTACCTCCTTAAAAGCTCTGTCTCCACATACAGTCACACTAGGGATTAGAGCTTCAACTTATAAATTTGGGTAGGATGCAATTCAGTCTACAACAGATATCCCAAACAAGTGTGTAAGGTATAAGGAAAAAAAATTAATTATCATCACGCTTGTCGACAGCAATGCTTTATGCTATGAGAAAATGAAATAGCATATTATTTATTTAACATACAATATTTATATACAAGATAAATCATACAGAATACAAATATACAGTAATGCAAATATATACAAATAAATAATACAAATATCATATGTTATTATATGCTATTACAATATACAATATTAAAATAACATATAATAATTAACATACTCAAGGAAAGAATATATGAAACAAGAATTTTATATCTAATTAATAAAAGACAAACTTTTATCAACATGCCAGAACTCAGGGACTATTATTGCTGAGTCTTTCCTGAGAAATCTAGTCGACATCAAGCTTCAGACAATCAAAATGGAGAGAGAGATAAGTGACTTATGCAATGGTAGTAAGTAAATAGGTGGTACGCCTAGGCAACATAGGAAGATCTCATGGAAAGAAGGAAGAAGGGAGGAAGGGAGGGAGGAAGGGAGGGAGGGAGGGAGGGAGGGAAAGAGAGAGAGAAAGAAAGAAAAAAAGAAAGAGAAAGAAAGAAAAAGAAAGAAAGAAGAGAGAGAAGGAAGGAAAGGAAAGGAGAGGAGAGATAAACTCCCAAATTTTTAAATGGTCAAAGATAAAAAACATTTTATGAAAACATAATCTGCTAATTAGAGGCTGCAGTGTGCTATGATGGCACCACTGTGCTACAGCCTTGGCAACAGAGCAAGACCCTGTCTCTGAAAAAAATTTTAAAAAATAACACATTAGACACAGCTCAAAAGAGAATTTGTAAACTGGAAATTATATCCAAAGACATTGCTCAGGATGCGTAACAGAAAGACAAATTAAAAATACGCAAGAGAAGTTAAGAAAATGAAAAATAAAGTCCAACATATATTCATTTTAAGTTTCAGAATTAAATAGTAGAGTAACAGCAAGACAGCAGTATTTAAAGAATATTTAATAGACTAAGAAATAATGGCCAAGAATTTTTCAGAGTTCAGGAAGCAATATAATATATCAAGCAAGAGAAATAAATTAAATTCATACATGATGAAATACATAGATGAAATTCATAAATAGATTAAATTCATACATAGATAAAATAGTGAAAAAACAGATTATCTACAAAAGAATGTCAATAAGACTGACAGGAGTCTTTTTAATAACAATGGAACATGGAAGAAAGTGAAATACCTTCAATGTGCTAGAAAATAATTATAGATTTAAAAATCACAAATCCAGTGAAACTACCAAAAATGAGGTAGAATAAAGGCACTTTGAGATAAACAGAAATTGAGACTGTTTGCCACCAAACTTAAAGGCACATTTAAATGATGTACTTCAGGAAGAATGAGACGCTCCCAGAAAGAAAGTCTGAAATGCAATGACGTTTGGCAGCTAAACAAAATGGTAAACATATGACTAATCTAAATACATATTAAGCAGATACTGATAATTACACAATCTGTGAGGTTAAAAACAGAGATTGATTCAAAATATTGTATCCCAGTAGCACACAAGCTAGAAGCAGTGATCAACGGAGGAAAACCATTCTAAGACAAGGTCTCCAACCCCTGGGCCACCAACGGATATGTTAGGAACTGGGCTGCACAGCAAGAGTTAGGAGCCGTGGGCAGGCAAATGAGCGAAACTTCATCTGTATTTACAGCTACTCCCCACTGCTCACATTACCACCTGAGCTCCACCTCCCATCAGATCAGCGGTGGCATTAGATTCTCATAGGAGTGTGAACCCTATTGTGAACTGTGCATGCAAGGGATCTAGGTTGCATGCTCCTTATGAGAATCTAATGCCTGCTGATCTGTCACTGTCTCCCATCACCCCCAGATAGGACCATCCAGTTGCAGGAAAACAAGCTCAGGACACCCACTGATTCTATATGATGGTGAGTTGTATAATTATTTCATTATATATTACAATGTAATAATAATAGAAATGAAGTGCCCAATAAATGTAATGTGCTGGAATCATCCTGAAACCATCCCCCTGCACCCTGGTCCATGGAAAAACTGGTCCCTGGCGCCAAAAAGGCTGGGGACCACTGTCCTAAAATCTTTGTGTTATTCAGAAGGATGGTAAATAGTCCTTCACTGTAGACTGTTAAGTATATATAAACAATTTCCAAGATAATCATTAAAAGAAAAGAAGTATAATACACATCTCCCAAAGCTGTAAAGAAAAATAAATGGAATACAAAAGCAAATGAAAAATTGTAGCTGACACTGTCCTTTGAGCAAACAGAGGTTTAGAATTAGTCAACCAATAAGCCTCTTGAGATTTTCCATGAGAGCTTAGGATGGTATTTGACTGTTTAGAAGAGGCACGCGAGTGGCTGTCTTTTTGATAGACAAAGAGGACAATTAAACGGAAGGAACAGTTCCTTAGGCATTCCTAGTTGGAGCTGTAATTTATGAACATTTGATACATCCCCGATTATTCAAATATTTTGTATTAATTTTTAAATCTGCACCCAATTTAAAAGTTCCATGGGTAGCTTCAGCAGGGAAAATGGACTTTTGATGGTTACATCCTTCTCTCCACCACCCCATCTCCTGCCCCCGAATCCTCCACTGCCCCCCTCGCTGTCTGAATGATGCTTATGGGAGCACCTGACGGCCAGGCAGGGCAGTGCTCCTGTGTCCAGGACGGGGGCTGCTAGTGGAGACTGCTTAGACATTTTAACAGTGAGAAAAGATATTTTATGTTTGGAATTTAACAGAGATTTTGGTTGATAGCATGAGGGCTCCCTTTAGCCCTCCTGATCCTCTAATTCAACGAGAAAATTTCCCTCACCATTTCTCCCCAGTCACAGTTTCTTTGTATTTTTCCAAAATTTTAACTGAGTTATCGGTTGTCTTCTTCAGTTTTACATTGTAATTTTGGCAGATAATTTCTTTGGCAGATAATCCAGGAGATAATAACTCCTGGACCAGCGGATTTTACCAAGAGGTTCTCATTTCTTTGGTTCTAGAGAACAGCCGCAAAATGTCAAATCCTCTAGTCTTTCTGACCAGCTGGATGCCATAGTTGTTGACAGACTGCTGCCTAGAAGTAAAAGAATTCAAAAGAAATCACTCATTTCTGCATCTCAACAGTTACAAAACACCAACAGCCCCCAAATTACAGGGTGTTATATAAGTCAATGAACCAAGCATTTGGGATTCTACAGAAACACTGTCTCAGCGGGTACTGGCTTCCTGGCCTGACCATTATATAACTATTATCCATAGCATAATTGAGGTGCTGTATATTTGAAATAAATGATAAAAAAATGCTGTAGATTATCCGTTTTTCTTAGCCATTTTTTCCAATAAGACATAGCCCACAGGGCCCTGGATAATTAACCTAGGCCTCCTCCATTTTTTTGCCAGGCCATTTAGACTTTCTCCTAAACTGACTACTGGCCTGAGGGAGGGTGTGGAGATGGGAGGAGCTGGTCCCATTGGGTGGACACTGTGTCGAGTTGGGAGGAGGGTCTGTGGCCTCCCCACAAGAAAGGCACCTTCTCTCTGCAGCTCCACCCACACCCTTTAGAGGGAGCAAGAAAAGGAAGCAGTCAGGCAATAACTGAACCCCACTGGCCTGCAGGGCAGCCAGTCAGTGGGCAGACATAGGGGCCATAGTGGGCCAGGGCCCCCCATTCTTAGGGGCAGACATAGGGGCCATAGTTGGCTGGGCAGGGGGTCGGGGGTGGAGGGTGGTGCAGGGTGGAGGGAGAAAAGGCAATTCCCACAGGATGACCTGCAGATCCTCCAAGCATCTGAAGATTGGGAGGGACCGAACATTTCACCCAGGTCAATCATTCTTGCCTCCCCACCCAGAGTTCAAACTTCTGATAAAATATTCAGTTTTAGCTCAAATACTTCCAATGTCCTGGCTGCTCCCATTCGGGGGACCACTGGGATGGCAGAGCTTGAGAGGATTAAGACTTGGGGGATTAAGAAATGGAGCCAGGTTGCAGTGGCCCTAGGAAGAAAAGAGAGCAGAGGGAGTGGATGTGGGAGGAATCAGGGCTTCTGCAGTAGAAAAGGAAGTGGATTAGGAAAGTGTTCCAGAATATGGGTGTTCCCAATGCCCGAGGAACAATGGGTAGGTAGAGACACAGGCCTCAGGATCCCAGGTCGGCAGTGTGGCTGCCAGGATGCCCTCGTGTTTTCCAGCCTGGAATATGGGTAGCCCAAGGCCTCTTTCTAGTTTCCTCCACACCCCTGCAGAGGCACAGTGAGGTTCATGTGGCCAAGCGCTCCAAGAAGCAGTGCAGCTATGACTTTACAGGGGAGGTGATGCCAGCAAAGGCATGACACACTCCATGGGGGCAAAGGTTGCCAGGACAACCTCTGCAAGGACAACCTCTCCCACAGCCAGGGTCTGAAGGGGATAAAAGAAGCTCTCTGAGGGCTAAGAGTGATGTGCCTGGGAAAAGAAGTGTGGTGTATGCTAGGCCAGTGCCCCCGAACCCCCAGCACTGGGGCTACTGTGGTACATGGGAAGTCCACCCGCCAACTTGGCTGCAAGATGCCCAACCCTTTTCAGCTCCCCCAACCACTGAGCCACTGCCTCAGAAAGAGCTTCAGGTCTTTTGAGTGCACCCAGGCGAGTGGGGAAGACAAAGGGTAAATGAGTCCCTTCTTCCAATGAGACCCAGAAAAGTAGCAAGGGGTCTGTTAGTCCTAGAATGGCAGAGGTGGGATGGGATCTGAGGTCCTGCATCCTCAGCTCTCTATCAGTGTTTGTCAGAGATACAGGGACATCCCCTGTGCCTGCAACTCAATGAGGCACCATATAAATAATACAAAGGGCAGGGAGAGGTTGAAGATGCAAGAAAACACTTAAGTTCTTCTCTTTCTCTCCTCTCTTCATTGGAAGAAATATAAGATTTGGATCACAAAGACTGGAACAGACTTAAAGGGAGAAAGGACAGGACAGATTAAGTAGGGGTGAAATTTTAAGGCAATATGAGAATAAAAAAGAAACGTAAACATTCAGATAAGTAATAGGCAGCTCAGACAAGAGTGAAAAAGTGAAGAGGGGAAAATATTTGAAGAAGTAGTTCAGATCAGTTTCCCAGAATGAAAAGACTGACCTCAGATTTAAAGGACTCGTAGAGCACCACAAAAGAGAATAAGGAAAACCTCACCTACACGTACTAAACTGAAATGTAAGAGCATGAAAAAAACAGAGAAATTCTAAAAGCCCACAGAAAGAAAGAAAGAAAGAGGCTATATGAAAGAACAAGAATCAGCTTGATATCATCTTTGTTAACAGCAACAATGGATGCAAGATAACTGGAATCTTATTTTCGACATACTGATGGAAAAGAACTTAAAAATGTAGAATTTTATATCCAGCCAAACTATCATTCAAATAAGATGAGATGATGAATTTCCTCAGGCATACAAGTGCTTTCAAGATTTTGTAGAAAAGGTCACATTGAAAATAGTTTTGAAAAACTAACTAAAAAGTGAAGGAAATTCAAGAGATATTCCAAGAAATTCTTGAAGGAAAAATGACTTTATACCTTAGTAGAGTTGTTATCTTTACAAATTGATAAGACTAACAAGAAAAAATACATCCTTACAACTAAGAATTAAAAGTTAGTTAATGCCAATATTAATGGGTTGGCAGAAGATGGCAAGAACAAAAGATATGAGAGCATAGTAAAGTTCTTGTCTTATTAGAAGATATTTGTAGATATCAAACTGGTTTAAAAGAAGCTCAAACCTAAGACCTGTAATTAGAAAACTTCTAGAAGAAAACAGGGGAAACACTCCAGGATGTTGGTCTAGGCAAAGAGTTTATGGTTAAGACCTCAAAAGCATAAGCAACAAAATCAAAAATAGACAAATGGGACTATATTAAACTAAAAAGCTTAGGTACTTCAAAGAAAACAACAAAGTGAAGAGACAACCTGTCTCTGATCATTTGAATATTGGCCAAACTTCACCTGATGAGGGGCTAACACCCAGAATATACAAGGAACTCAACTCAACAACAACAAAAATAATTCCATTAAAAACTGGGCCAAGAATCTGAATAGACACTTCTGAAAAGAAGACACACGAATAGCCAACAGGTACATGAAAACATGCTCAGCATCACTAATCATCAGGGAAATGCAAATCAAACCCACAATGAGATATCATCTCATCCAAGTTAAAATGGCTATTATAAAAAAGTAGAGATGCTGGCAAAAATATGGAGAAAAGGGAACCCTGTACAGAAAACAGTATAGAGATGTCCCAAAAAAACTAAAAATAGAACTACCAAACGATCCAGCATTCCCACTACTGGATATTTATGCAAAGGAAAAGAAATCAGTATATCAAAGTACTGCCATGTTTACTGCTGTGCTTTCCACAGTAGCAAAGATATAGAACTAAACTAAGTGTCCACCAATGGATGAATGAATAAAGAAAATGTGGTCTGCATACATAATAACATACCATTTGGCCATAAAAAAGAATAGAATTTTGTCATTTGCAATAACATGAATGGAACTGGAAGTCATTAAGTGAAAAAAGGCAGGCACAGAAAGATAAGTGTCGCATGATCTCACTCAAATGCAGCAGCTACAAATGTGGACCTCATGAAGCTAAAGAGTAGAATGATGGATACCAAAGGCTGGGAAGGACGTATGTGTTGCAGGGTGGGGTTGGGGGTGGGGGATGATGAGAGGAAAGTCAATGAGTACAAACATACAATTATGTAGAAAGAGTAAGTTCTAATGTTTAATGGCATAGTAGGGTGACTATAGTCAACAATGTATTGTATATTTCAAAATAGCTAGAAAAGGCTTTGAAATGGTTCCATCACACATGGTTACTCCTCGAAGTGATGGATATCCTAACCTAACCTGATCATTATCTACTCTATGCATGTACCATAATATCCCATGTGCCCCACAAATACGTACAAATCTTATATATCAATAAAAAAGAAAAATTAAAAGAAAAGAAATAGACTGAGTGGGGCTGGTGGCCCTCCCACCTACACTGGCTTCAGCACTGACTTGACCCAGTGGTATTACCTGCAAAGAGGTGCCCACGCAAAACTGCAAAGCCAGAGTGGTTTCCCAGTCCCTCTCCCTGGCCCTTTATGAGACTCCTCCTTCCATCTCCCTTGTGTGGCCCCATAGGGCTTGCTGGGGTCAGCACCCTGCTCAGGCCAGCCTGTAATGTCCAGAGTTTGTTCCCAAATCAGAACTAGCATTCCTTGACCATCTTCATCAATGATCTGAGGAAAGTTAAGTCACACTGAGGTTAAAAAGTCAACTGCATTTTAAGAGATTAGTAGCACAGATGAAAGGGACTAACAGGCCCCTTTCTGTGTGGGGAAGCTTTCCTTAATTACCTCATTCAATCCGCAGAACCACTATTAGAGAAGAAGAAATGCCTGCTATTAAGGGTTAAGTAACTTGCCCAAGGTCACCCACGTCTAAGTAGCAGAGGGGAGATTCAAATTCCATCTCTCTGGTTCCAAAGCCTATGTTCTTTCCAAATAAATTCCCAAAAGACAGAATGAGTGAGAGGACTCTCTTTTTCAGGATGGAAAGGCTCTTCATCTGTCAGTGACTTCCGCTTCACAATATTTTGCGTCCCGTAGCCCCCTACTTCGTCCGTAGTGAAACCAAGGCATGGGATTAGTGTTGCAGCCACATACCACTCTCTGGCACCCCAGGGAAATCTCTGTAACAGAGTCTTTACTTGGAAGAGGGGAACGTGGGTTGGCACAAGAAAAGCACAATCGCAAATCACGAATGTGCCAGCCCCAAGTGCTTGCTACATCTTGACTGGTACACAATTTCCTTTCTGGAGTGCCCACTTGAGATGCTTGCCAGCAGGTACCAATGAAACCAGGATAACTCACAACAGCTTCTGAGGGAAAATGGGAGGATTTAAATCAGTGTAGTACATTTAGTTGTTCCCATATGAATGTTCTTAAACCAAAATGCTAACTCTAAGATTATTTAGAATTAACTAATAATATATACTACCTTTGCCAAAAGTAACTTACCCCCAAGATAACTTATCCAATGGGGGTAAAAATAACAAACGAATTAAATATAATGGCTGCATGCTTTTCATGAAATGAATTAGATTCTCAAAGTATAGGCAAAAAAATATAGTCATGGATAGACGAGAAAATTTAAAATGATGTAAAAAATTAAATATTCCATCTAAATCTAATTATGTTAATACAATAAAACTAAGTTGAAGGGATTTAGTGAGGGAAGTGGAGTTCAGAATCTCACATAAGTTCACAGTTAAAACTCTAAGAAATATGTCACATTATTTACTGTTTTCAAATTTAATATATCTTCAGCTAACCATGATATTCAGAGACAGGAATGTCATAGTTTTCTGAATTCCCTGGTTAATATTGTAACCAGAAACCCTGCTTGAGTTCAATCCACCTTTTTGAAAATCTTTCAAAAATTTTTCTTTGTTTTCTTGTCCTAGTAAATACACTGTACTCACCAGAAATCTTTATTCCAGAACCTCAGAATTATTGTACCATGTTGTTTGTAGAAAGTCTATGAGATAGGGCTAAATTTGTAGCAACCCTGGAACACAGCCTGTTGCTTTTTAGATAAATGTCTGATAGGAATACACTGAGTTGTGAGTAAACTCTTCCAAGTAGAAATGTGGGAAGTAAAACCAAGGGATCTATTTGAAGTTTCAGTGAGTCCCATCTCAGTAAATCAAGGCCCCCTCAAGTTTTCCAATTCGATTAAATACACATTGTCTAAGCACCTACTTGACATGGAGGCTTAAAAAAATAGGTATAATCCTTGCACGTGAGCAGCTCAGAAACCAGGATAAACAAATAGCTGTCATTGAGTCTGTCACATAGAAGTATATCAAGTGCAGTCAGGATAAGTATTAAATTGGATGAAGGATTAAGAAGGAAGAATGGGAAAGAGCATTAGGGCAGATGGCACTTGGATTGGTCTAGAAAACGTGTAAGAGATTTCTGGACAGAGCAAAGGGGGAGAGGCCATTCTGGAAGAAGGTAATAACACTGATAAAGACATCTAGATAGAGGTATCTAGATGGCACTTACAGAAGTAGTAATTTACCCAACCATGTAGACCAGAGTGTGTGGTGTGAGAAGCAGACAGGATGGCTGTGATGCCAGAAATGGGGACTGGAATGAGTTAGTGAAAAGCTGGATATTTCATGCTAATACAGCTTGTCTGAATTTAGTGAGCACTGGCAAGCTATCAATAGCTTTCATGCCCGAGAATGGGGAGAGTCAATTTGTGTTTGGGAAGGTCATTCTGGTAAGAGTGTGGTAGATGGCTTGGGTGGGGCAAGACTGGAGACCAAAAGATGTATTGGGTTATGGCAAGTGGCTGTTTAGAGATTATGAGCATCTGGACTAGGGCTGCGGCAGCAAGGATGGAAGGGAAGAGAGAGATCAGGGCACCTTTTTGAAGTAAGATCAAAAGGACTTACCGATTGCCTGATTTAGATGGCAGGGAGTCCAAGTGGGTAGATGGATAGTTTTACTTCCATAAAATAAGGAAGACAGAGGATGAAGAGGCTTAGAAATGAGATTATTAATTTGAATTTGCACTAGATAAATCTGAGGTGCCCAGAGCGTGTTTAAATGGAGATCTCTAGGAGGGAGTTCAATCATGAATCCCAAAAAGAGCATCTTAATGCCACACTTAATGACTCAGAGAAGTTTAATGGCCATGTAATACTAAATAATACAAATATTCAACATATGCAATATGCAAATAAACACTGAGAGACCACAAAACCCATTTGGCACTCCCAACTGAGAAGTTTGAAGATGTACGTGGTGCTTTGTTTGTGATCCAGGCCTGATTCCCCACTATCTCAAGGCTCTACTGAACCCCTCTTAACTTTACCCGAGCAGAACCCCATGAAACAACTGCCTTTGCTGCTTTTGCTGGCTCCAATTGATCTCCCAGTTGAGGCTCAAACTTGTTGATTCCTTAACAAGAAAATCATGGTGACCCAGTTATGTGTTCTGTTTAGTGGATTTCATCTTTCTCTGTCTATTTTCAGGTGCTGACTATGTGCAGCTCCCCAGTCAGTTCTTCAAGGCCTGCAGATGCCCAGCCTCTAACCAACTCTGCTTCTTTCTACAGCGCATTCTGTATTCACACCCATTAGACTCCATGGGCTATGGAAGTCATTCCCCTGTGCGTGTGTGCTGAGTTCAATCTCAGCTCCTTGCCTGGGTACAGCCCTCACTACCAATGACCATGCAGATGTACTAGATTGTTTGCTGGCTTAAAAAAAAAAATAGCAGCTTTCTTATCTGAGCATACAAAGGAGTTTTATCGTAAACATTCAAGCACCGTGTATAATCAAATTACCCATAAAAAGATAGGGAGGGTCTTTTCATTATTGCTGTGGTCCTGCTGTTAAATCGCTTTGAAATGAGGTGCAGTGAACGATGGGATTCCTTCGAGGATTCTGCCATAGCGGCCCCGGGATAGAGCACGTTGGAAAATTGATCCAGTGTAAAGCAAGATTTGTTAGGAGATGGAGACTAGTGAAGCCAAGGACAGAAGATCACTGGCTGAATCACTTGTTTTCTTGTCATGACTCCAATTCAGTGGATTTCAATCCTGGCTGCAGATCAGAGTCACCTGGGCAGGTTTTGTTTTTCCCCAAAATACTGTGCCTGGGCTCACAGTCCCAGAAATTCAGTAGGACCCTCCCCATCCCCCATCCATGTGTACTTTTAGAAGAGGCATCATTCTGGTGCCTTTTACACCTGACACATGAAACACTAGTGACCATAAACATGCTTTCATTTAGGCAACGTGTGAATACCCAGAGTATACAGGAAGGAGCGGGGAATGCGGCCTGGATGGCATGGGGTGGACTCTAGGAAGCAATGACACCTTTCAGAGACAACCCTCACTACTCGAGGGTTTCCTGGGTGTTTCTGAAGCTGCAACTGGGATCAGGCCTTAGTTCATGTGCCTCAAGTACAATGTAGTCCTTCCCCCACCTCTCTCCCCATCTAAAAAATATCACCAAATCTACTCAGAGACACAAGTCCACCTGTAGGAGAAGAGGTGGAGGCACATATTCCCAATCCTGGGCTAACAAGGCCTAGGGGTCACTGTAGTGGGTCGGGAGCTGTGAATGTTGCAGGGAGGATTTAACCGGAATAACAAGGGGTGTTGTGTCCCTAGGGCTCTGTCCCTCTTTCCCCATCCAAAGTTCTGTCATGGAAATGATGAATGAAGGCATGGGACCTTTGCTGTCAAGCCGTCTTAGCTGGGGACAGTGACTCCCAGGGCCACCATCAGTGAGCATGCCTGGGACCCAGGGGAAGGGAAGCTGCTCTAGGACCTCGGCTCTGAGGACACACAGATCCTGCTCCCAGTGGTCCCAAGCCTCCAGTTGTGATCCCTATCTGTTGACAATCTGGACTCAGCCCCACTGTTACAAAGAACCATCCCCTGGGCAGGCACGGTGATTCATGCCTATAATCCCAGTGCTGTGGGAGGCCAAGGTGGATGGATCTTTTCAGGCCCGGAGTTCAAGACAAGCCTGGGCAACATAATGAGACCCTATCTTGAAAAAGAGAGAGAGAGAGAAAGTGAAAGAGAACAAAGGAAGGAAGGGACGGAGGGAGGAAGAAAGACAGAAAGAAAGACAGATAGGAGGGAGGGAGAGAGGGAAGGAAGGAAGGAAGGAGGGAGGGAGGGAGGGAGAGAGGGAAGGAAGGAAGGAAGGAGGGAGGGAGGGAGGAAGGAAGGAAGGAAGGAAGGAAGGAAGGAAGGAAGGAAAGAAGGTTGGTTTAAAAAGAAAAAGAAAACACAACCATCCTCTCCAACCAGCCCCACTGAAGTGGATCCTGCCCATCCAAACAGGATGAGGCAAAGTCCAGCAGACTTGAGCCGATAAGGTTCAAGGACAAGGCACAGGACGTAGAGTCATATTCCACAACATCCTCTCCAAAGCCTCTGGGCTAAAAGTTTTACATCTTGATATCATCCAACGATGTAAAACACCACTTCAACTTCCATGAAGGCCAAGTTGACTCTGTGAGCTGCTATTTCTGCAAATTTCTCAAGTGGTTTCCTCGGGCCCTTTAAGGGAGCCAACAGCTTCTGCATGAGACCAGTCATCTCTTCATTAACCAGTTTAGATTCCCTTAAAGCCACTCTTAGGTTTTCTTTTGGGTTGTGTGCTTGTAGATATCATCTAGAGGTTTGGGAAACTGGTTCTAAGTGGGACCATATAGTCCTCAGAGTTCGGTCCAGTCGAGAGAAGGGGCATAAGGGGAGGGAGTGAAGCCATTTAGAGTTAGAGAGGCCTTAGAGAGTACTTGGCCCAGTCTTTCATTTCAGAACAGAGGAAACAGAGACTTAAAGAGGTTAAGTGTTTGTTCAGAATCACTTCAAATGTTGATAGCAAAAACAGGGCGAGGACTTCAGGAGCCTAACTGTCCACCCCAAGTTCCTTCTGGTTAATGCGGCACATGTGGTTTCCAAGGAAATCAGTCAACTCTTCAGCAGGAGGAGGCGAGGCTGCAGAGCAGAGGTTACTTACGGTGGTGCAGGCAGACACACCATCGTGGCCACAGGAAACGAGTGCTTCAAATGGGGCTGCTACAGGAACAAATAGCAAGGACACTGGCGTCAGAGGTGGCGTAGGACAGCATGTCACAAAGTGACAAATGGATGGCCCACGCAGCCCGCGTTTTGGGAGCTGAGAAGAAGCAATCACTGGGCTTAGGTGGATGGAAGTTATCAGGTAAGTTTCGTCCTCCAGTTTGCAGGCATGAATGTGTCATGCTCACTTAGAGGTTTACGCTGCATTTTTACGTGATACTACCCAGGCAGCAGAATGGAATTTAATAAAAAATGAGAATCGTAGTTGAAAAGGCTTCAGAGTATTTTGCATTTACAATTGCATTTCAGAAGTCTGATTTTTCTAACCTGATTGACACAAAAGCATATTGAGTTCTGTGAGTTCTATTTACAGATTTGCATTAATGATGATTAATAATGTCTGCTATTTAAGTCAGATTTTGTGTAAGGAGTATGCAAAGAATGAGCTGTTGAGGCAGCAACCTGATTTTGTTGTTTTTTTCACCACTGCATTTATCCATTCTTTAATTTTTTTTTTAATTATTTGAGACAAGGTCTCACTCTGTTGCACAGGCTGGAGTGCAGTGACACGATCACAATTCACTGCAGTCTCAACCTCCCAGGCTTGAGCAATCCGCCTGCCTCAGCCTCCAGAGTAGCTGGAACTACAGGCATGCACCACTATACCCACCTAATTTTTTTTTATTTTCTTTTAGAGATGAGGTCTCATTATGTTGTCCAGGATGACATTTATCCATTCTTAATCATCTCTTCATTTTTATACAAAGCCAAAGTTCACATTATTACTGGGGCAAAATTTCCCCCCAGTTTTCCCCCTAGTTAGCAATCAGTCCTTCCCTTCCTTCCTTCCTTCCCTCCCGTCCCTCCCTTCCTTCCTTCTTTCCCCCCAGTTAGAAGTCCTTCCTTTCTTCCCTTCCCTCCCTCCCTCCCGTCCCTCCCTTCCCTCCTTCTTTCCCCCCAGTTAGAAGTCCTTCCTTCCTACCCTTCCCTCCCTCCCTTCCTTCCCTCCCTCCCTTCCTTCCTTCTTTCCCCCCAGTTAGAAGTCCTTCCTTCCTTCCTTCCTCTCCCTCCTTCTCTCTTTCTTCCTTTCTTTCACTCCTCTCCCCTCCCCTCCCCTTTCCTGTCCTTTTTTCTTTTTTTCTCTTTCCTTTTCTTTCTGAGATGGAGTCTTGCTGTGTCGCCTAGGCTGGAGTGCAGTGGCGTGATCTCAGCTCACTGCAACCCCCGCCTCCCAGGTTCCAACGATTCTCCTGCCTCAGCCTCTGGAGTACCTGGGATTGCAGGCACGTGCCACCATGCCCAGCTTATTTTTGTATTATTAGTAGAGACGGGGTTTCACCATGTTGGCCAGGCTGGTCTTGAACTCCTGACCTCAGGTGATCCACCTGCCTCAGCCTCCCAAAGTGCTGGGATTACAGGCGTGAGTCACCGCGCCCAGCAGAAGAATTTCATTTTAACATGCAAACACCTCAACAAAGCCAACTGAGCCTACTTCTAAAAAGCCTCCAGACATATCCCTTCCTCTCCAGTCTTGCTGGCCACTGACCTCTCCCAAATTCTCATATGCACTTAACATTCATTTTACAGCAACAACCTCCTAACTGGTCTTTTTGCCTCCAGAAAAAAAAAAAAAAAACATATTCAGCAACTAAAACAATTAAATTCCTAAAGGCCAATAGATTATATATTCTACACTGCATAGGTGTAAATTCTGTGCCATATATTCAAGGCCAGAGCAGAGTTTGAGGTTATAGCCTGGCAGAAATTTCAGAAATGGGTATTCCCCCAAGGAAGGTTTAAATTCTGCGTTTGAAGTCCAGTAATTTTACCTGGCCTTCTTTTTATTCAGATGACCAACCAGCACTGGAGATTTACTAGCCCGTGTGCAAATTTTTGTCAATCCCACTTGTCATTAGAAATCCCACATGCTACAGAGAGAATGCGATTTGCAGATAACTCGAAAACATAAGAAACCCAAACACAAATCACTTAATCGGAGAAAACATTACTCTCTTAAATTTAAACAGTTTTTTTTAAAAGCCAGATGTACTTATTGTCATTTCCAGAATTACTCTTATAAGTATCTGGTTATCATAACCACAGAAAGACAGTTTATTAGTTTTAACTGCTGGATAAAAGCATGTAGCATTTTCAAGATTTCTGGTTTCACCCTTTTAACCCAAAGAGTAACTATAAATAGATGGCAAAGTCTGGGATTTCCACAGCTAAGTGCTGCTATAAATAGTTTTAAACATTTTCCCACTTCATGCTTTCAAAAAGAACATTCTCCACTTCCTTTCTTGGATAACCTCTGGGAATAAAGTGAATCACATTCAGAATTTTATTAAGGGAGTTTAACAAAACTATTTTAATGAACCTTTTAGCAACTCTAAACATATCTCAGACGCTGAAAAAACTGAGAATAAAATGATTTAACAAATGTGTTAATTTAAATAGATATTTAAATTGAAATAGATATTTTTGACAAATGCATTTAGAAATACATTTCTAACCACCGAAGTGGTGACTAAACGAAAGAAACATATTTCTTTCAACATTCCTTCCATGATAACATCTAGAAAAAGGGGTGTGAATTCATGCCTGTTGTCAGGTATCCAGGCTGACTTCTTTCTCAGGGAATATTCATAAGACAGAGACACAAAGAGATACAAAGATCCTCAGTTCTTTGTGAAATCCCTGCCATGGATCGCTTTCCCAAGGGACATGCCTGTGGCCGTCAAAGCAAAGCGAGCACTGTGCAGGACCGTCCCATCTCTCCACAGCAGAAAGATTCCTAATGCCTGCCTTCTAGCAACCTCTGCTGGTAGTTATTTCTGACTGGGAAGAAAGTAGAATTAGCCAGTCTTCCCCATGGCAGGAAAATTAAGCAAAGAAAAAACAGCCACGAAAACAGGTCATATCAGTGAAACACATGTTTCTGTTTTATATTTTAATGAAAAGGGACAATGGAAGGATTATAAATGATTTTTAAAATATTCGTGTTTTCTAAAAAAAAATAGCTATTTTTGAGCAGTTTTAGGTTTAAATATTGCACAAAAGGTATAGAGCGTTCTCATATATCCTGTCACCCTCAATTTTCCCTATTTTTAATATCTTGCAATAGTGTAGTACATTTGTTACAATTGATGAGCTAATATTATTATTATTAATGAAACTCCACAGTTTACATTAGGGCTCACTCTTATGTTGTACATCCTATGGGTTTTGACAAATGTATAATGATAGGTATCCGCCATTATAATATCAACAGGAATGATAGTTTCACTGCCCTAGAAATTCCCTGTGCTCCATCCATGCACCATCTTCACCACAACCCCTGGCAACCACTGATCCTTTTACTGTCTCCATAGTATTCCAGAATGTCACATATCTGGAATTCTACAGTAGCAGCCTTTTTAGATTGTCTTCCTTTATTCAGTAAAATGCATTTAAGTGTTTATCCATGTCTATACATAGCTTGATAGCTCATTGATTTTTAGCACTGAATAATGCCCATTGTCTGGATGCACCGGAGTTTCTTTACCTGTCACCTCTACTCAAGGATATCTTGGTTGTTTCCAAGTTTTGGCAATTATGAATAAGGCTACTATAAAGATCTGTGTGCAGGTTTTTAGGTTGACATGAGTTTTCAGCCCTTTGGGGTAAATGCCAAGGAGTATTATTTCTGGATCGTATGGTGAGAGTAGGTTTAGTTTTGTAAGAAACTGCCAAGCTGTCTTCCAAAGCGTCTGTGCCATTTTGCATTCCCACCAGCAATGACTGACAGTTCCTGTTGCTCCACATCCTCGCCAGCCTTTGGTGTTGTCAGTGTTCTGGTGTTAATTGCTTTAGTTTTTCAATATGTTTTTGTCTCCTAGGTATGTAGTGGTATCTCACGGCTGTTTTACTTTGCATTTCTCTCATGATATATGTTGTTGAGCATCTTTTCATGTGTTTATTGCCATCTGTATATTTTCTTTGGTGAGGTGTTAAGATCTTTTGTCCTTTCCTTAATGGTTTGCCTTCCTATTATTGAGTTTTAAGTGTTTTGTATATATTTTGGGTATAAGTTTTTATCTTATATATACTTTGCAAACATAGACTTTTTTCCCCTAAATCCTGAATATAGTGGATATCCTAAAAAACAATCCTTCTTCTTTGTTTCCTTCATTCATTTAGTCATTCAGTCGGCATTTGTTATGTAACCTACTACAAATACTAGGTGCCAAGAGTACAGGATAAAAGGATGGTCCTGACACTTAAGGAGCTCATCCTACAGTACGGAATGTTAAGAAAGTATAGATATGCTGCAAGAAGTATCACATAAACCTTGAGGACACTATGCTAAGTGAAGTAAGCCAGTCACAAAAAGACAAATACTGTATGATTCCACTCATGTAAGGAGCCTAGAGTAGTCAAATTCATAGACAGAAAGTAGAGCGGGGGTTATTAGGGGCTGTGGAGAGGTGGGAGTCAGGGGTTGTTGTTTAGTGGGTGCAGGGTATCAGTTTTGCAAGATGAAGGAGGTTGATGGTACAACAACATCAATGTGCTTAGTGCTACTGAACCGTATACTTAAAATTGGTTATGATAGTAAATTTTAATTTATATGTATTTTGCCACAAAAATACATTAATTTAAAAACTAACTGTTATGCAGAAGTGTGGATAAATGGCACAGGAAAACAGGTACAGGAGAGATTAAACTTCTACAAGATGTATATAATCACATAGATCACTATACTAAATACGGCAAGAGCTTCAGGTCAATTTGTCTTTTATTCTTTAAAAGGTTTTCTGGGGCCGGGCACCGTGGCTCATGCCTGTTATCCCAGCACTTTGGGAGGCTAAGGCGGGTGGATCACGAGGTCAGGAGTTCGAGATCAGCCTGGCCAACATGGTGAAACCCCATCTCTACTAAAAATACAAAAATTAGCTGGGCGTGGAGGCGTGTGCCTGTAATCCCAGCTACTTGGCAGGCTGACGCAGGAGAATCGCTTGAACCCGGGAGGCGGAGTTTGCAGTGAGCCGAGATCGTGCCATTGCATTCCAGCCTGGGTGACAGGGTGAGGCTCCGTCTCAAAATAAATAAATAAATAAAAATATAAATAAATAAATAAATGGTTTTTTGATATAAGTGCAAAAGATGAGACAAAGGGAATGGCACGCTAGAACCTATACTAGGGACGGAAGTGGAATAAAAAGCAAAATGTATGCTTTGAAGATCTAAAATCTGAAAATTGAGCAAGCTTTCTTGCATCCAACATGACAGCAGAGGATCAGTTGAACAAATCCGTGTCCAAAAGAAAAAAAGACAAGCCATTCGCTTAGCGGAGGAAAACTTATCCTAATTAAAAACAAAATCCCAACCTTGAAAGAGCCACAGATCTTATCGTGATCTTACTACCGTTATACCAACATTCATGTCATTAAAAGCAATTATCTGGAGCAATTATCCAACTATATACATATATATGGGCAAGAACTAGAAGAAACCAGAGAATTAAGAAAATAGTTTGACACTGATATATTCATCTAATATTATACTTAGTGTCTTCTGTGTGCCAAGCACAGTCCTGGGTGTCAGGGACACAGCAGTGAACAAAACAGATAAAACTCCTTGCCCTCATGTGGTTTATATGCTAATGTGGAAGACAGAAGATAAACTACATAGATAAGGGTGGTAGGTTGTCTTCAAAGATGACTGCCAACAATTCCTCTAATTGCTGCACACACTTGCCACTCTCCCCATCAAGAGGTGGAATCTATTTCCCTTTCATTTGTATCTGGTTGGCCCTGAGACTTGCTCCAACCTATAGGATATGATGCAGTGCACACATGCCTTTTACAGGACCAGCTCCTGAGAGACCTCACAGCTTCCACACTCCCTCACTTGAAGCCTAGAGTCATCAGGTAAGAAGTTTGGCTGTCCTGCTGGAGGGAAGAGACTCAGCCAGCCCCCAGCTGAAGTGCAGATGTCTGTGTGAAGCCAGGTGGGTGTCCCAGTCCCAGCTGAGCTTCCAGATGAAGGCAACAGCGTTGTGACTCCCACTGGCACCATGTCCAGCAGAACGACCATCCAGCTGAGCCCAGTCAAATCACAGAATCTTGAGAAACCATAAGTTGTTGTTTTAAGCCCCTAATGCAGCTAACTGAAATAATAGGCTAAATGTAGTGTAGGTTCATTACTGATAACCCAGGGCAGTGCTAGAGCCTGTGAGTATTGCCTCACAAGAGGCAATAAATTTTCAGGAGTTCTGTGAGCCATTATTAAGAATTACATTATATAAGCTTATAATTACAAACATTTAAACAAATAATATTCAAATATGTGTAACTATTTTACTACTATCTCTTCTTGAGGTTATTTGCATGCACTGGGTCTGCACAGTGGAAATACCATGTCACGGTACGCTACTGTGCATCTCTTCCCACCTCCATGTTCAGCCATGGTATGAGTATTTACACCAGGGAAACTAGCAAGCTCTATAAACCAGAGCTTGATTGTTTTCTTGTTTCTCTGGACTTAAGAAAATGATAGAGAAAAATGTTACCGTGGATTAAACTTAAAAGTGTATTATGGCAGGGTGCGGTGGCTCATGCCTGTAATGCCAGGACTTTGGGAGGCCAAGGCAGGCGGATCATGAGGTCAAGAGATTGAGACCATCCTTGCCAACATGGTGAAATCCCATCTCTACTAAAAATACAAAAATTAGCTGGGCATGGTGGCGCATGCCTGTAATCCTAGCTACTTGGGAGGGTGAGGCAGAAGAATCACTAGAACTTGGGAGGTGGAGGTTGCAGTGAGCTGATATCGTGCCACTACACTCCAGCCTGGCGGCAGAGCGAGACTCCATCTCAAACAAACAAACAAAAACTGTATTATGTCTATAACTGCCACATTATGAATAGCACAAAAATTTGAGGAAATATTCTTCCAGAAAAGCATCAATCAATTCAGGAAACAAATGGGTGAGGTTTTAATATACATCTTTGTAGCCATTTTACTTTGGTCTTCCTCATAAACATAAATAAATGCAGCAATCAACATTCATGCTGGAACTGTATTCACTTGACAATTGAAACCAGAGGTTGGCTACAAGATTACTGCAAAAATTAACAAAAATGCTCTATGAGAATTAATTATTTGGAACTTATAAGACATACAGTAGGGAGTAGTGGGTTTTTTTAATTTATAAATTGATGCCTTTTCTATCAGTAAAATTTATAATAAGCTTATTCCCCAGATATATATGTGTATATATATGTGTATATATATGTATATATATGTGTGTATGTATGTATATATATATATGAATGTCTTCCCCTGCCCTGCTCCACTCCCCCCACCCCTGCTCCAAAGAACCAGTCGTTAAACAGTTACCAGCATTCTTCCGGTTATTTCTCACTGCAGTACAACCTAGCCTCTTTAGCCTATCTTCACTGATACATTAGTAAATCAAATAGAGTGACTTCACCTAGTTGGTTTCTACTTCATCTCTTCTCAAACCACATTTTTGTTATGTTTAATGTGTTTTATGTTCAGCATATTACATCCTTCTCTTTAGAAGCCTGGTGGAAGTATTTCTTTAGTGGCAGGTGACGTGGTGTTCTGGATTTCAAAGCATTTCCAGTGATGCTGTGCCATGCTACACTCTAAACAGCCACTTCTCACTCCCCTTCCTAGCGCCTCGGGGCCAAGCATTTGCTCCCTGACTCCTGAGAGCTGAGGGAGCCTCTTTTTCTATAAAAACAGTCTTATTCGCCACATTCAGGGCACTAGGGTCTGGACAGTCATTCCCAACATGGTCAGTCTCTATGACTCTATCAATTAACATATCTCTGGACCCTATGATGGGTTTTTGACAGTCTAAGAGATTACTCACATGTATTAGATCAGCAGACATTCAAATAAGCATAAAAGAATAAAAATAAGTGAATTAAGATATAAATGGGGGTGTAAGCCATTACATCTGTTTTACACATGAACCTGCAAATCGGGCAGGGCTCTGGGGGCTGGCTCCTTGGGTTGACCTGCAGGGCTGGTGGTGGGATCATTTACAGGCTCGCCCCCTCACATGTCTGGTGCCTGGGATAGGAAGACTCAAGCATACAGAGTTGAAGGGAAGAATTAAACCATTTCTAACTTTAATTTTGTTTACTTTCCCACACTGCACTGATGTACATACTTTAAATTTAGAAGAAGTCCAATTTACCTATTTTTTTCATTTATTGCCAGTGCTTTTGGTGTCATTTCCAAGAAATTACTGCCAAATCCAATGTCATGAAGGTTTTCCCCTGTGTTTTCTTCTACGAGTTTTATAGCTTTAGCTTTTACATTTAAGTCTTTGACTTATTTTGAGTCAATTTTTGTATGTGGTATAACGGAAGAGTCCAACTTCATTCTTTTGCATGTGGATATCCAGTTTTCTCAGCACCATTAATAAGACTACCCTTTCCCTGGAGAGGGTTTTTTGGAGCCCTTGTCAAAAATCAACTGATGATATATGCAGTGGCTTATTTCTTGGCTGTCTTCTCTATACCATTGGTTTCTCTGTCTATCTTTAAGCCAAGATCACACTGTTTAATTACCATGGCTTTGTAGTAAGTTTTGAAATCAGGAACTGTGAGTCCTCCAACTATAGTCTTCTTTTTCAAGATTATTTTAGCTATTCAGGGTTCCTTAATATTCCATATGACAGACAGGTGGAGTAGTACACACCTGTAATCCCAGCTATTCAGTAGGCTGAGGTGAGATGATTATTTGAGCCAAGGAGTTCAAGTCCAGCCTGGGCAACATAGTGACACCATGTCTTATAAAAAGAGAGAGAGTGACAGAGAGAGAGAGAGAGATTTTCTGTAAACTTTAGGATGGGCTTTTCTGTTTCCATAAAAAATACAGGCCACGAGCAGTGGCTCACTCCTGGAATCCCAGCACTTTGGGAGGCCGAGGTGGGCAGATCACCTGAGGTCAAGAGTTCAAGACCAGCCTGGCCAACACAGCGAAACCCTGTCTCTACAAAAATACAAAAACTAGCCAGGCATGGTGGTGTGTGCCTGTAATCCCAGCTACTTGCGAGGCTGAGGCGGGAGAATTGCTTGAATCCGGGAGGCAGAAGTTGCAGGGAGCCGAGATTGCGCCATTGCACTCCAGCCTGGGTGACAGAGACTCCATCTTAAAAAAAAAAAAAAATACCATTGAGAGAGATTTCATTGAATCTGTATATCCCTTCAGGTAGTATTCCCACTTTAGCAATATTATGTCTTCTAGTACATGTACATGGGGGTAATTTTTCATTTACAATTTCAATATTTTGGGGGTTTTCAGTGTACAAGCCTTTCACCCCCTAGGTTAAATATATTCCTAAGGATTTTAGTCTTTGTATTGTAAATGAAAGTTTTAAAATTTCCTTTTTAGATTGTTATTGTTAGTTACAGAAATGTAACTGATTTTTTGTATGTTGATTTTATGTTGTGCAATTTTGCTGGACTTGTTGATTGGCTTTCATTCAAAAACGTATTTTGTCTTCATTTCTGAAGGACATTGTTGATGCACATAGAATTCTGGGATGACAGAGTATTGTTGGAGGAATGGGGTTTGGCTGCTTGTTTTTTTCTTTCAGCACTTAGAAGATGTTCCACTCTCTTCTGGTCTCCACGGTTCCAGTGAGAAATCTTCAAATTTTTCTTCCCCTATATACAATCTGTTGTTTTCATCTACCTGCTCCCCATCCCTCTTCTTCTTTTCCTCTTGCAGTTATTGTGTCTTGGCACAATATTTTTCATGTGTATCCTGATTAGGGTTCATGGAAGTTTGTTTTTCCCTGAATTTGGTAAGTTTTAAGCATGCCATTATGTTTCAAATAATTTTTCCACACCTATTTCTCTTCTCCTCTGGGACTCCAAGGATATAAAGGTGAAACGTTTTGATATTATCCCACAGGTCCCTGAGGCTCTGCTCATTTTGTTTTAAATCTTTGTTCTTTCTCTACTTCAGACTGGATAATTTCTATTGATCATTTTCCACTGTTTCTCTGACACCTCCATTCTACTATTAAGCCCATCCAGTGAATCATCTTCTTGCACTATGTTGTATTTTTCAGTCCTAAAATATTCATTTTGTTCTTTTTTATAGTTTTGATTTTCCTACTGAAAACTCATTTCCATTTTTTCATTTATTTCAAGTATAGTTATAATAGCTCTTTAAACTTTGTGTGCTAATTTCAATATCTGGGTCATCTCATGGTTGCCATTTGTTGATTGTCTTTTCCCTTGGGAAATGGGAATAGTTTTCTGGTTATTTGTATATCAAATAATTCTGCATTCTATCTTGGACATATTAATATGTTGAGCAGCTCTGGGCTTTGTGTGATCATGCTGATTTTTTGTGGTTTGTTTTGCAGCCTGTTTTGGTTCAGACGGCAAGTTCCTTTTTGCTTTCTGTGGGCGGTGTTTTCTATCTCAGTTCTCCAGGCTTTTCTTATGCTTCTCTGGGTCTGTTCTGTGCACTCACAGCTCTGGATGAGCTCGAGAGTTGGCTAGATTCATACACATAATTAGGGGGTGCCCTTCTCCAATGCACTTCTCTCTGAGATGTCCCCCACATGGTCTGACTCCCAGAAGCCCCTTTTCCTGGTTCCTCTGATCATAATGATAGTTTTATCTTGGGGTTTCAGCTGCCCCCATCATCACCACAGTAGTATAGCTGTGCAAGGTGAGCTGCCCTTGTGGCTGGACCAAAATAGAAAAAAAGGAAGAAAAGAAACGTAAATAGGGACTTCCCATCCCCTGCACTCTTGACTTGTTTTTCTGTGGTCAGAAAGGAAGGGTTTCTTTCTCTTTTTTTTTGAGACAGAGTCTTGCTCTGTCACCCACGCTGGAGGGTAGTGGCATGATCTTGGCTCACTGCAACCTCTACCTCTGAGATTCAAGCAATTCTCATGCCTCAGCCACCTGAGTAGCTAGGACGACAGGCACACGCCACCACACCAGGCTAATTTTTGTATATTTTGTAGAGACAGAGTTTTGCACGGCTGTTCTCAAACTCCTTGTCTGAAGCAATTCTCCTGCCTTGGCCTCCCAAAGTGCTGGGATTACAGGTGAGAGCCACCACACCTGGCTGAAAGGAAGGGGTTCTCTTAAGAGTTTTTGCTCTCTGTGTCCACTGTGAAGCTCTATAGTTCATGCTGCAGGCCACCCTTGTGTGGAAGGCAAAAGATGAAGAAAGAAAAAAAACTTGGAAACTCACTGGTATTGGTCATTTTTCAAGTTTTTATTTCTCTCCCCTGCTGTTGTTTACTTTTCAGAGTCTTCAGGTAGATGCTTTTTGTTCTCAAAATTAGTTGTAATCAGTGGAAGAGTTAGCGACTAAAATATTCTCATTGAATTTAGAAAAGAGTTCTGGTCAATCTCACTCACTGGGCTGTTAGCTCCAAGAAGGCATGGACCATGTCTGTGATACATGGTAAGGTCAAAATAATTGTTAAGTTAATTAATATTGGGCAAAGAAAAATGAACAACAAAATATTGAAGTAAATTTTTGAAAACTTTAATTTAGGTTCAGTGGCACATGTGCAGATTTGTTATATAGGTAAACTCATAACACAGGGGTTCGTTGTACAGACTATTTCATCACCCAGGTACTAAGCCTACTACCCAATAGTTATTTTTCCTGATCCTTTCCCTCCTCCCACTCTTTACCCTCAAGTACGCCTCTGTGTGTGTTGTTCCCCCTTTGTGTCCATGTGTTCTCATCATTTAGTTCCCAGTTATAAGTGAGCACATGTGGTATTTGGTTTTCTGTTCCCGTGTTAGTTTGCTAAGGATAATCACTTCCAGCTCCATCCGTGTTCCTGTAAAGGACGTGATCGTTCTTTCTATGGCTTCATAGCATTCCACGGTGTATATGTACCACATTTTCTTCATTCAATCTGCCACTGATAAGCATTTAGGTTGAGTCCATGTCCTTGCTATTGTGAATAGTGCTGCAATGAACAGTTGCCTGCATGTGTCCTTATGGTAGAATGATTTAGACTTCTCTGGGTATACACTTAGTAATGGGATTGCTGGGTCGAATGGTAGTTCTGTTTTTAGCTCTTAGAGGAATTGCTACACTGTTTTCCGCAATGGTTGAACTAATTTACATTCCGACAGTGAATAGGCATTCCTTTTCCCCCACAACCTCGCCGGTGTCTGTTATTTCTTGACTTTTAATAATAACCATTCTGACTGGCATGAGATGGTATCTCATTGTGGTTTTGATTTCTCTAATGATCAGTGATACTAACTTTTTTCATATGCTTGTTTGGCGGTATATATGTCTTCTTTTGAAAAGTATCTTTTCATCTCTTTTGTATTAATTTTTAAAAACACTTTATGTAAACAGAATATATGTAGTGTGTCTAAGTGTGAGATAATGTTGTAGGAGTGATATATCTTTTGCTTAAGACTTGCAATTAATGGCAAAATTTCTGTAGGCACACCATGGTTTAGAAAGATTTAAATGGGAGGAATTTTTTTACCGTTGTAATATTAAATAATAAAGCTCTTGGCAGAAAAAGATAAATCTGAAAGTAATATACTATTGAGGAAACAATAGAAATTGGCATGGAGTTACAAAAGAGAAAGAAAATCATTTAAAAATCCAAGTTTCAAGTTTTGATAACAAAAGTAACAATAATGTGCCGTAGAGAAAATAAAGGAAGCAAGGAACCTTATTATCCCCTCTTAACAATATGTGACACAAGCCTTGACAGCCGAAGTCAATGGAAGCTGTACCTTTGAACTCTTCTTTGAGGTATCAGTGCCTGTCCAAAGGAGACAAAGCCATCAGAAAGACATGGAGAAGGCCGGGCGCGGTGGCTCACGCCTGCTATCCCAGCACTTTGTGAGGCTGAGGCAGGCGGATCATGAGGTCAGGAGTTCAAGACCAGCCTGACCAACATGGTGAAACCCTGTGTCTACTAAAAATACACAACAAATTAGCCAGGCATGGTAGCACACGCCTGTAATCCCAGCTACTCCGGAGGCTGAGGCAGGAGAATCGCTTGAACCCGGGAGGTGGACGTTGCAGTGAGCTGAGATCGCGCCACTGCACTCCAGCCTGGCCAACAGAGTGAGACTCCGTCTCAAAAAAAAAAAGAAAGACATGCAGAAGCCCGATAATAAAACGGTCGCAGGCCAAGGCCAGAGACACATATCTGGGGTCATCTGTCCACAGAGAGTAACATTACATAAGATGCTGTTGACATCTTTTGGCAGAGGCGAAGGGGGATTATCACGGGGGTCCCCTCGTAGGCTGGAAGAGTGATTGATGTTCAGGCGCAAATAACTATGGCTCATTCCAGTGGTTTGTCTCCAGTGTTTTCTTTACAGAAATGAAAGGAATCAGGGCAGGGGACATTTCCAAAATATATATCTTTCAACAGAAAAGAATAATTTGTTTAAATGACAGAAATTATTAGAAGATTACAGAAGAGAGAAATGGTTTGGTTAAATCTTTTTTTTTTTTTTTTTTTGAGATGGAGTCTCGCTCTGTCGCCCAGGCTGGAGTGCAGTGGCGTGATCTCGGCTCACTGCAAGCTCCGCCTCCCGGGTTCACGCCATTTTCCTGCCTCAGCCTCCCAAGTAGTTGGGACTACAGTCGCCTGCCACCACGTCCAGCTAATTTTTTGTATTTTTAGTAGAGATGGGGTTTCACCGTGTTAGCCAGGATGGTCTCGATCTCCTGACCTACTGATCCGCCCACCTCGGCCTCCCAAAGTGCTGGGATTACAGGCATGAGCCACTGAACCCGGCTGGTTAAATCTTAAGGGTCTCATTGTTTCAGAATTTTTGAAATGATTTATAAGAAAAAAAATTTTGAAAAATAAAGTGATTTTCAACACATTTTAAATAAAGCATATAGATCCCTGAACACTAAATATGACCACACTGTTAAGTATTAAAAGTAGTGTTGAAAAATAATATTAGACTATAAAACTAAAAGCTAGGAGTGAAGGAAAAAATGGAAGACAATTTAATGTTTTTAAAAGGCAAGCTAAATGCAAGGGGTTTATTGGATTGGTGCCCGGACCATCCATAGCGAACGGCAGCAAGTATCATTCGATCATACACAGAAAGAAAAATAGGTGGTGAGTGGTGGAGGTGAGGAGGGACAGCTGGCAGTCATGACGCCTGCAACACACTTCCCCAGAGTATCATAAGGAAGCTGGAAGCAAAGCCTTCTACATTCCTACACCCCTGGCCGACCGATCGAAAGGTCTTCAAACCTGTAATTGTACACTTTAGTTTGCAAGGCAATCAAAGACTGGATTTCACTCACAATAGTCTTTCAATGTGACTTTTGTCCTACTGGATATGCTATAATAAAACCTAAGTTACAACGCAAAGAAAGAAATCAAAACAATCACTATAAAGTCCATTTTCTCTGCCAAGATGAGTGGAAGTATATGAAGTCAAATTTGAATCTGCATGGAGGATTGACAATATGTACAAACACGTAAGCCAAGGTGAGGACATAGTGGAGGAGTTAAAGGAATGGTGAGCAGTGACCTGGGAATTAGAAGTCGTGGGGCTTGGCCCCAGTGCCATTGGTACCAGTTGTGGGACCTAAGCAGACTGTGGCTCGCTTGGCCTTGATGTCCTGGTTGTTAAAATTATAGGCTGGCTCAACATCCCAACAACCCTTTCTGGCTCCTCTTATGGTAACTTTTGCATAAGTGGAAACTGCAGAAAAGAGAACACAAAGCCTCTGACATGCAGATGGCAACGCTTTAATATCACCAACTCAGAGGTTCCAAATAGGCAACAGGCCCTGCAACCTAATCACCATCAGTAGGAAGGGCTAGTGGGCTGAGCACGGTGGCTCACAACTGTAATCCCAGCACTTTGCGAGGCCAAGGCAGGAGGACTGCTTGAGGTCAGGAGTTAAAGAGCTCCCTGGGCAACACAGTGAGATCATGTCTCTACAAAAAATTTTTAAAGTTAGCTGTGAGTGGTGACATATGCAGTCCCGTCTACTCGGAGCCCTTGAGTTCAAGGCTGCAATGAGCTATCATCACACCACTACACTCCAGCCAAGGTGACAGACAAAGACCTTGTCAAAAAAACCAACAAACAAACAAAAAACAAGAAGCAGCAGGAAGAAAGAAGAAGAAAAAAACTATACTAACACGAAAGTTGTCAAATTTTGTAGCCTGGTCAACATAGCAAGACCCCATCTCTAGGGGAAAAAAAAAATTGCCAGGCATGGTGGCATGCACCAGTAGTCTTAGTTACTAAGGAGGCTGAAGCAGAAGGATTGCTTGAGCCCACGAAATAATGGCTGTGTGACCCGAGATCATGCCACTACACTCAAGCCTAGGTGACAGGGTAAGACCCTGGTCTCTAAAAAAAAAAAAAAAAAGACTTGTGGATACAGCTAAAGAAGTACTTGCAAGAAAATGTATGGCTTTAAATTCATTTCTGAGAAAAAAAGGTTAAAAATCAACAAGCTTCCAACTCAAGAAGCTAAAAACCATCAAATTAAATACAGAGAAAGTAGAAGGAAATAAATAAAAAGTTAGGTCAGCTGGGCACAGTGGCTCACACCTGTAATCTCCAGTACTTTGGGAGGCCAAGGTGAGTGGATCACGAGGTCAGGAGATCGAAACCATCCTGGCTAACACAGTGAAACCCTGTCTCTACTAAAAATACAAAAAAAAAAAATTAGCCGGGTGTGGTGGCGGGCGCCTGTAGTCCCAGCTACTCAGGAGGCTGAGAGGGGAGAATCGTGTGAACCTGGGAGGCGGAGCTTGCAGTGAGCTGAGATCTTGCCACTGCACTCCAGCCTGGGCGACAGAGCGAGATTCCCTGGGCAACAGAGTGAGACTTTGTCTCACAAAACAACAACAACAACAAAATTATAAAATTGACAAAGTCCTTGCTTGTTTGTTCAATGGGGAGAAGGTGGGAAAACAAGATCACCAATATCAGTTATGAAAAAGAGGACATAATTACAGAGATAAAGAATATTATAAACAATTTTTTTGCTAGCAAATTTGACAACTTAGATGAAGTGAACAAATTTCTTGAAAACCACAACTTATCAAATTTGACACAAGATAAAATAAGTTCAATTGTATATATCTGAAAGCCACTAAAACATTTAATTTTTAATTTTCAAAATCAGTGTGTATGTGTGTGTGTGCGCGTGTGTAAAATCTACACTTAAAAACCCTTCTACAGAGAAACCCAGGCTGGGCTCCAAAAGCTTAGCATTGACTTTAGCCTAAAGTTGTGCCTAACCACAGAGGGTCTGTGCAGCACTGACTTCATCTTGGCCCCCCGTACTTGCCTACTCTTCACAGTCTTTTGCCTCATTTCATTCTTTGTTTTATTCTACTGTTTTGCATGCATCATTGTAAGTCACTGTGCAGCTTCTTTGCAACAAAGTGAAATATAGTCATGCTATACTTAAAGATGGAGATACTATAAACACTGTACACTTACAGGCTACATTACATTTATTTTTTAAAATCTATTTCTTCAATAATAAATTAACCTTACTTTGCTATAACTTGTTTTAAAACTAATTTTTAAAAACGTTTTGATTCTCATAACAGTTAGCTTAAAATACACCTTGTACAGCTGTACAAAAATATTTCCTTTCTTCATATGTCTATTCTATAAGCCATTTAAAAACCTTTCTATTACTTTCTAAACTTTTTTTATTAAAAACTAAGACACAAACACACACATCAGCTTTGGCCTACACAGGGTCAGGATCATCAATATCACTGTGTTCCATCTCCACATGTTATCCCACCTCCACATGTTATCCCACTAGAAAGTCCTCAGGGGAAATAACATGGATGGAGCTGTCATCTCCTATGACCACAATGCATCCTTCTGGATTTCTCCTGAAGGACCTCACTGAGGCTATTTAGCAAGTGCTGCTATTTTCAGAAATATGTCTTCGGTGGTTTGCTTGGTTTGTTTCTTTTTTACATCACAGATTTGCCTGCAAACAGATAATGCACCATATACAGTCCTCTCTATTAATGAAAACCTTTCAGTGTTGGGCTCTATGTTTTCAAACTTTTTAAGGAGCTTTCTGAGGTCTACAAAAGCTTCTGCCAAACCCTTCATTGTTACTCTTCTTAGGAGTTCTTTTTTCTCTGTTTCCTCTTCTCTTGCCTCTTCTTCAGCTATGCATTCCTGTTCCAGTTCCAACAGCTCCTCATTCTTCAATTCCTCAAGAACCACCTCAAAGAGCTCCTCTACATCATCCTCATTCACACCTAGTTGGAGTCGTTTGCTATGACAACCACAGCCTTGGTTTTTGCAACCTCCTCATACTGGCTAATCCTTTGAAGTCATAGACAAACCTCTTGAGTGTCTTCGTCCAGATTCCATTCATACACGCCTTGGTGACCATGCCAAAGTTCTTGATGCAGTCATAGTAAGGGAGGAGACCACCCTTCATATTGTCTTATGCCCAATTTCTGCCTCCAAAGAAAGAAGTAAAAACTAAAAGGCAGAAATGAAATCCACAGGCAGACAGCCCGGCGCTGCCTGGCTGATCCACAGGCAGACAGCCCGGCCTGGTAGTTGAAGATCGACCCCTGACCTAACTGGTTATCTATAGATTCCAGACATTATATGGAAAAGCATTGTAAAAATCCCTGTCCTGTTCTGTTCCGATCTGATTACTGGTGCATGCAGCCCCCAGTCACGTACCCCCTGCTTGCTCAAACGATCACCACCCTCTCACGCAGAACCCCTTAGAGTTGTGAGCCCTTAAAAGGGACAGGAATTGCTCACTCGGGGAGCTCAGCTCTTGAGACAGGAGTCTTGCCAATGCTCCCAGCGGAATAAACCCCTTCTTTCTTTAACTAGGTGTCTGAGGAGTTTTGTCTGCAGCTCATCCTGCTACAATAGATGTTGTAATCCTTCTAGAGTTGCATCAGTGTCTTCTCAGCATCTTCCTCAGCCACAGCAATAGCCTAGGCAAAAGTCCTTCTCAGGTAGCAGGCCTTAAAGGCGCTATAAGTCCTTGGTCCATTGGTTGAATCAAAGAAGTGGTTTTAGAGGAGAAACACCACCTCAATATTGGGATGAAGATCACCAATAAAGGGAGTATGTGCGGGAGCATTAAGGGTAAGCACAATCTTGAAAGGTACCGTACGTTCTTCTCCAAACAATGCTGGCAGCTTCATTACTTCCTGCTCTCCCAAAGCATTAACATGTATGTGGTTTTGGGTTTCCATGTGATATGGTTTGGCTGTGTCCCCACCCACATCTCATCTTGAATTGTAATCCTCATAATCCCCAGGTGTTGAGGGAGAAACCAGGTGGAGATGATTGGATCATGGGGGTGGTTTGCCCCATGCTGTTCTCAGGACAGTGAGTGAGTTCTCATGACATCTGATGGCTTTACAAGCATCTTGCATTTCACCTGCTGGCACTCTCTCTCCTGCTGCCTTGTGAAGAAGGTAGCTGCTTTTGCTTAGCCTTCCACCATGACTGTAAGTTTCCTGAGGCCTCCCCAGCCATGCAGAACTGTGAGTCAATTAAACCTCTTTTCTTTAATAAATTACCCAGTCTTGGGTATTTCTTTATAGCAGCATGAGAATGGACTAACAATACACCATGGTACCAATTATGACTGTAATTCTCTATTACTTCTGTGCTCCAGTGCTTAGTTCTGTTTGGCAATTATTTTGTTGTTTCCAGTGACTTAATTATGTGGTCTATGACTTAATTACCTTGGATCCAATCACCAGGTGCTGAAGGGGACAATTTCCTAGTACAAACCTGGTTTTGTAGCTCTATCTCATAGAGCAGTGCCTCCAGGGAGTGAAACCACCTTTACAAGAGAAAATCATGATGGTGAAGGAGATCTGATCTAACCAACCCCCATCTTGCCTTTAACCTCCAAACTGCTCTTAATCATTCCTGGGCTCAGGCTAAGCTAACTTTAGGAGACATTTAGTTTACAGTTTAAATGATAATATCTCTTCCCCAAAACTAAACCGCCTTTGTAAAGCTAACAAAAGGCCATCAGATAGAGAGATGAAGGGAGCCTGAGTTCTGCTCAGGAGAAGATGTGAATGGTTACCAGCCATTATTCCAGAGGTCACAAGATTTGAAATTTCCCCAACTACTCCTGCAGGTAACATCACTATTGTAGAACCTAAGACTGGCCTTTTGAGATGTCCTTTCAGGTATTTGCATTTTTGACAACTGACACACTGGGACCATCAACTGGTCTTGTGGCCTCACCTAGAAGTAGACTCAGCACAGCATGGATGGGGACCATTTTCCACACCCCTATGATTGCATCCCCAACAAATCAGCAACACCCAAACTATCCTTGAAAAACTGTAGCCTCTGAACTTCCAGGGAGACTGATTTGCATAATAAAACTCTGGTCTCCCATTCCGCTGGCTCTGCATGACATTAAACTCTTTCTCTATTGCAATCCCCGTCTTGATAAATCAGCTCTATCTTGGCAGCAGGCAAGATGAACCCATTGCATGGTTATAGGGGCACCTCCCATGAGTGGGAAGGATTGGGAAAGCACCCATGTGCATCCACACAGCGGCAGTGTGCCGGGGACTTAGCATGGCACACAGATTCCCTCACATAGAGTCTAAGGTCAAAGGAGGGGGTGGCCCTCGGAGTGGCCGGCCAGGTCCCACACTCACTCGCTCATGTGCTCCCTCCCTCGAGGGGCTGAGTGCAGTGGGCCGAGTAGACCCACCCCTGCTGCAAGTCTGGTAAAGGGGGTCGAAACAAATCCCGTGTCAGTATGGGATCTAATTGATATGCGGCAAATAACTGGAGGGCACAGCTAGGCAAGGGTCTCAGAGCAAGGTGAGGCACAAACAATTCTGTGAGAAGCACCTGTGGGATCTATTGTCCTGAGAGGGCTGTTTACCCAGAGAAGCCTCCTGGTGTGCTGGGAAGGGGCTAGCCCGGCAGTCTATTGTTTGCATAAATGGACATTTAAGCGATTCCTGAAGAAAACAACAAGTTATTGACTGGTTTTATAGCCTTATCTTCCTGGACAAGAATTTCCTGCAACAAAGAGTTGAGAAAAGAAAAGAATTTTTATCTGAGGAATGCTAGTCCTTTTAATTATCAGGCCAAGAGAGACATTAAAATAAGATCACAGAAGTCCAGCAAGGAGGTGTGTGCCTGTAGTCCCAGCTACTCAGGAGGCTGAGGCAGGAGGATCACTTGAGCCCAGGAGTTCAAGACCTGCCTGGGCAACATAGCTAGACCCTGTATCATAAAAAATAAAAAAGAACATATAACAAGACCATGGTCACATCCTCCTTCCCCCTTGAGCTATATATTCATCTCTTAAAACTGTTTGCTATTGCCACAAGTAGCTATAAATTAACCTAATAATGCTGCAACTGACACTATAACCCACAGGCTACAGCTTAGCAATACATAGCCAATCACTAATCTATGTTATTTATGTGAACCCCAAAGAGATTTCCTGACAAACCACTTTGTATCAGCCCACTCTCTGTCCCCATTTCCCTTTAAAAATCCACTTGTAATCGCCGCTAATTGGAGTGTATATTCAGGGTAACTTGAAACTATGCTCCCGGGTTGCAATCCTCAAGCTTGGCCCCAAAACACTCCCTATTTATGTTAATTTTGCCCCAGCTTCTTCCTTTTAGGTCAACAGAATCAAGTCACATTGAAGTTGGCTTAGTCCTGACAGTCAGGTCATGGCACACCTAGGCATCCATGGTCTGGGTAGAGCTGTGTACTGAGGTCAGAGAAGCAGCTCATGGTACAGCCTTGCAGGCCACAGGCAGGACTTAATTTGGATTTTTTTCTGGGCTGGGAGTATTTCAAGCACAGAAGTGATAAGAGTTTGCTAGGGCTGCTGTAACACAGTACCACACACTGGGTGGCTTTAAAAAAAGGGCATTTATTGTCTCTCAGTGCTGGGAGCAGAAAGTTTAAAAACAAGCTGTCAACAGGGTTGGTTCTTTGTGAAGGCTGGGAGGAAAATGACACCAAATATTTCACCCCAAAATAGACTTCTTTGACATACTTCAAAATGGCTATTCAGAAGGCCTGTAAACACAAGAATTGCCCTGCAAATCTAGGCTCCCCTTTTGAGTTGGGGAGAGGGGAGGAGGTTTGCATCTGCAGAGGAAATAAAGTGAAGTCAACAACAGCTGTAAGAAGGCTTTCTCTGAAGCCCCTTTGTCCAGATCTAGGAAAGATGACCTGAGAGTCTCAAACCTTTAAAATCTGACATACACTTCCCATCGCCTACCTACCCTCTATTCTTCCTGAGGGCTGCTACCTTGGTTTCCTCTGTATAACAAGACTGCCTTAGGTGCGAGGTCTCCTCTTCTCTCCTCCCATAACCTGTTTTGCTTCTCGCTCTAACCTCAAGATGGTATAAAAGCATCAACTGGCCTGGAGCGGTGGCTCATGCCTGTAATCTCACCACTTTGGAAGGCCGAGACAGGCAGATAACTTGGAGGTCAGGAGTCCAAGACCAGCCTGGCCAACATGGTGAAACCCTAAAAATACAAAAATTAGCTGGGCGAGGTGGCGCATGCCTGTATTCCCAGCTACTCAGGAGCCTGAGGTGGGAGAATTGCTTGAACCCACGAGGCAGAAGTTTCAGTGAGCCAAGATTGTACCACTGCGCCCTGGCCTGGGCGACAAGAGCCTTGAGACTCCATCTCAAAAAAAATAAAATCAAAAAAAGCATCATCCAACTGGCCATTTGAGTTTTTCATATTTTGTATGACTTCTGTGCCTGAATGCATGTTAATAAACATGCTTTTTTTTCCTTGATCTGTCTATTCCCAGCGGTGTTTTTGTTTTTGTTTTGAGACGGAGTCTCGCTCTGTCACCAGGCTGGAGTACAGTGGCGCGATCTCAGCTCACTGCAATCTCCGCCTCCCGGGTTCAAGCGATTCCCCTGCCTCAGCCTCCCAAGTAGCTGGGATTACAGGCACGTGCCATCATGCCTGGCTAATTTTTTGTATTTTAGTCGAGACGGGGTTTCACCATGTTGGCCAAGATGGTCTTGATCTCCTGACCTTGTGATCCGCCTGCCTCAGCCTCCCAATCCAGTTGGCTTTATAGGATCAAATCAGTGAAGTCTGAGGGGGAAAAATAAACCCTATAGAGGGAAGGATCTGTTCCAGGCCTCTCTCCTTGGCTTGTGGACAGCCCCCTTCTCCCTGCAACTCTTCACACCATCTTCCCCCTACATGTCTGTGTCTAAATGTCCTCTTCTCAGAAGGATTACGGCCCATCCTAATGACCTAATGACCTAATTTTAATTGGGTACCTCTGTGGAGACCATAGCCAAATAAGGTCATGTGCTAAGGCAAGGCAGGGGGCTAGTCCTTCACCATGAGTTTGGGCTTTATAACATTGTGCCATTGTGCTTAAAATACTATTTTCAAAAACAATAAAAAATTTAGGAAAGGTAGCATTGTTTTACTTATTTTTTCACATCTTTCAGTTAGATTCCCATACCTGCTTCTGCATTCAATCTGCTGCCATGTTTTGTGCTTTGCTGTTGTTGTTGTCATTTTTGGCTGAAGTATATAAAGAAAATCCAGCCTTATATAGATTTGTAATTGGAAAAAGGGAGGGTTTTTTTGGGGGGTGCAGGGGAACCGGGTCTCACTCTGTCCTCCAGGCTGGAGTACAGTGGTGTGATCTCAGCTCACTGCAACCTCCTGGGCTCAGGGGACCCTCCTACCTTAGCCTCCTGAGTAGCTAGATGAGACTACGGGTATGCACCACCACACATGGCTAATTTTTGTATTTTTTGTGGTGAAACATGGGGTTTCGTCATGTTACCTAAGGTGGTCTCAAACTCCTGGGTTCAAACAATCTGCCCACTTTGGCCTCACACAGTGCTGCGATTATAGGCATGAGCTACCTGTAGTGCCCAGCCTGGAAGGGGTATTTTTAAAGCCTTTTCAGATAATGTGACTATTCTTCTTTCATATTACACTAAAACTCAGGAACTGGTAATTGCTTAAAGGTTAGTAGCCATGTAAAGTCTGAAATTATATCAATGAAATTTTTGTAGTTAAATTAAAACCTATTGGTATATCTTGTGCTTGCAAGAGCCATTTACCCATTCATCATTTTAAAATATCATGCATTATTTAAAAAACATTGGTTTGGTTTACTGCATTGTGCCAACCTTCCAAATTCTGACACATTGCATCATACAGTATTGAAAAATCACAATGGTTGCTATTACCACAGTCCTCATGAAAAAGGTCTTCAAGAACTGAGAAGGTGTCAAGCTCATAGAGCAATATAAGTTTTCCAAGATTCAAGTTTTCACTTGAAAGCTTCAATTTTATTGTTGGCAACATTACCCACTGTTTTCTTTTGAAGTGAATTTGTTTTTGAAAAAAGTGTCTGCCAGACTCACCACTTTATCTGCTAGTTATTCTTTCAAGCAAAAGTGATGTTCCACGAAAAAAGTAGCTCTCAGCTTGCAGCTCAGAGGTTGTTTCCTACAGGGGAGCTATTGAGCTTTGGTATGCTTCCCATGTGCTTCATGCAAGTTCCATTTAGTCACATGGAGTATTCATAAGATGTGTACTCCACAGTTGACATTTAATAAAATTGACTTTTTTTTTTTTTTTTTTTTTTTGCTATCACATTCAGGCTATTCTTAAGCGTTTTTCTGCCATGATCACATTGTGATGAAGAACATGATGGTCACTAGTAGGTAACTTTCTGTGTCATTGCCTTACTCTCAGTGAGGTGCTAGTGGATTTACCTACCCCTGCTTTTGCATCACCACTGTAAATCTAATAGTGAAAAGGCAAATGATGTCTCAGTATCACTGTGAAAACATTTTTCCCTTGGACCAGCTGAAAGCATCTTGAGGAGCCTGAAGGCTTCAAGGTCCACACGTCAAAAAAACACAGCCCTAGACTGATGGTGGCCCATTATGGGTGGGGTCAGCTTCCCCCTAGATCACATGGGTTCTGTTGGGAGGGGTGGCTTGTCTGCATGACCATCTTAGTCACCTCAAGGAGGGAAGGGGCAAAGGATTGCCAAGCATCTACTGCGTAAGTAGATAGCTGTAACCTCTGGGTAAGAAAGTGGGATTGGGTGCGGCATGAGGGAAATGTCCACATTTCATTCAATATTCAAAACATAGGATTGCTTACACTTTTTATAACAGGAATGCCTTCTTGTTTTATCTGTGCAAACAGCAAAATAAAAGCATGAATGGGAACTGACCAAAGTTTTATTTAGTTTTTACAGAAATAGGATCATAGTGCATGTATTATCCAGCAACTTGCTTTGTCACCTAGTGTCCTGGAGATCTGTCCACGACTACGCATTTAGTGCTACTTATTCCTGTCCAACTGCTGCATACCATTTCACTTATCAGTACTGTGTATCCACAAAGCTATTCTGCTACTGATGTGCACTTAGGTAGATGGACTGATTAAAAGGGTATCTGTCTGTATTAGGCTGTTCTTGCATTGCTATAAAGAAATACCTGAGACTGGGTAATTTATAAAGAAAAGTGGTTTAATTGGCTCACATTTTGGCTGGCTGTACAGGAAGCATAGTGCTGGCATCTGCTCAGCTTCTGGGGAGGCCTCAGGAAACTTACAATCATGGTGAAAGGAAAAGGGAGAGCAGGAGCAAGAGTGAGTGGGGAGGTGCTACGTGGTTTTCAACCACCAGATCTCGCGAGAATCACTCACTATCCTGAGGACAGTGCCAAGAGGGACGGTGATACCTATTCATGAGAAAACTGCCCCTGTGATCCAATCGCCTGGCACCAGGCCCCACCTCCAACATTGGGGGTTAAGACTGATAATGAGATTTGGGTGGGGACACAGATCCAAACCATATGGCTGTCCATTCTTAGAACATACTGTCAAATTTCCTTCCAAGAACACTGTACATGAGGGATTCGTTTTTCTCTCCATACATGGTCACCACCAAAGGCTAAGCTACCATCATCCTTTCTAGCTGGGAGTCTAGCTATAGTCTCCAAACTGTTTAAAATATACTCTCCACAATGCCTGAACAACTTTTAAAAAGATCAAATATAAGCATGTCACTCCTCTCCTTAAAATCTCAGTAGCTTCCCTGTCCTTTGGGATAAATTCTAAAATCCTTATGTGTCCCCCAAGACCCTGCTGTCATCTGGTTCTTGCCTATCTTTCCAGACTCAATCCCTAGCATCCTTGTCTCCTTTCCTTACCCCAATTATTTCTGTAAAAACAATCTTCAAATGGAGGCATGCGTATCCCTGAGAATATGGACACGTGGTCATGAGGAGTTTCAAGGGATTCAGTTTTCAGATCCCAACTCTTCTAAAAGTGATCTGTCTGAGGACTCCTGCAGTCCAGGCCCACCTGGCATTTCATAATGGCTCCTCTCCCCCCTGGCACATCCTAAATCTTACTACATTGTGCTGCCCTGCTGAGGTAGAAAGGTGTAATAAACCTTAGGACACCAACAGAGATAACTTATTTAAGAGATGCATTTCTTGTAACTTTTTTTTTTTTTTGCCTACAATTCCTTATCAGATTTTGTGAAACACATTGATTAAACTGTGTATTGCTAATAATAGTAACAGTTCAATCCAGAAGAAAATTTGCTTCTTAGGACCCTAATGATACAGTCTGATCAGTAAAAAACTTTGAAGGATAGAGCATATTCAATTATGATAGAATCCTGTGGTAGAAGTGAAATAAAAATATTTTCAGGGAGAAAAATAATCAATGCAAAATTTTCAACTGGTCAAAGGCTTAAGTATTTTTGAAATGAATGATGGGGTGGATATTAAGTCACTATAATATTTATAACTCACTGCATACATTTAAAAATTTTCTGTAATCACTTTATTTTCAAAACATCATTCATAACTCATCAGAACTTCATAACTACTTAAATTTATAATTAAAAGCCTTTTTAAATTTATCATTAAAAGCCCCCCTCTCCCCACCTTTTTTTTTCTTTGAGATGGACTCTTTCTCTTTTGCCCAGGCTGGATTGCAGTGACGCGATCATGGCTCATAGCAGCTTTGAACTCCTGGGCTCAAGCAATCCTCCCAACTCAGCCTCCTGAGTAGCTGGGGCTACAGGCATGCACAATCACACCCAGCTAATTAAAAAAATATATTTGTAGAGATGGAGGCCTCACTCTACAAAGCGCTTAAGTGATCCTTCCTCCTTGGCCTCCTGAAGTGCTGGAATTACAGGTATAGGCCACCATGCCCAGCTGAGAAAAACATTTAAATATCAGTTTAAGAATGTGTGATGGGAATACACAGCATTCTTTCAAGGGGCATCTCAACAAATTTTAAAAAGAACACTGTGGCCCACTCCAGTGCTATGCATGAGAATATGGTGATTTCTCAGCTTCAGGCGTTCAAATGTGCCATTCTCCCATGGAAAGCCCACTAAGTCCCTCAAGCTTCACCTGAAATACCATTTCACTGAGAAGTCTTCCTTGTCTCCAGACTAAATTAGATTGCCTTGATATATGCTCCCAGAGAACCAAGAATGTCCCCTTTTCATCCCACAGGTAACTCCTTGTTAAATGTTGTACAAGGAAGGCATAGACAGAATTCACCTTTCACTGTTCCACTGGTGCCCAGCAGGGTATGCAAAGGAGGAAATCAGCTGTGCTCTGAAAGAAGCACCATTCCAGTAAAGGGGAGGAAAAGGTCATCAGACTGCAAGGGCTCAACAAAAGTACAAGGTAAGGAGGCAGAGGGTGTGGGCTGATTATCAACTAAGAGGTTTGCACGGAAAAAGGGAAAAAAAAAAAAACAGAAAAACAGGGCCGGGTAGTGGCAGAAAGAGAGGGTGGATCTGTGACTGTTCGCAGGAAGAGAGGAGCGGGAGCAGGACAGACAATAACTGATAGTCAGGAGCTGGGTTTGGAGATAAAGAGGGAACAAGAGAAAGTTAAGTTCTGTGTTTTCATGGCAAACATTGCACAAAAGTTTACAACTTCGTGACTAACAGTAATCTGGGGTGATTCACAACAAATTTACACATAAACACATATTTACTGACTTTATACACAGCAATCCTAACGTGAACACAGAACCTGCTTTATCTTTTCGCACACTGTTCTAGTGTAGAGATGTCTGGTCTCAGTTAAAGAAAGCATAAGGAGCATTAGTTGTGCACACTGTCCACACCTGTGACTTTTTTCCACCAGTACTAAACCTAGTGCTTCTTACAGTACAGGACAATGACAGCCACAGAAAGAGAGAAGCTCCTTTTACTGTGTAATGCTTCCTGCTGGCCTTCAAATACTTGTTACTTGAGAGATCTCCATTCACCTGGCTTTGTCCCCAAAGGTCATCATCTACCAATGATGTTGTTATTTGATGTTAATCATGTATAAAGAAAGTAGCTACCATCCTGGCCCTGATTAGAACTTCCCACTGAAATACCGTCCTGCCTAAAGGTAGCACAGGCTCCCATTATGGTGGTGGTGGGGAGGGGGCGGGAATATATATATATATATATATATATATATATATATATATATGGTAAAGCATTCGGCATTCTTTTAAAGTACAACTATCCTTGAAAAGGGTTACATATTAAACCATTTTTACCACAGCCAAAGGGGAGGAGAAAGATCCAAAAGTCCTGTGGATCTGCTTTAACATCAATAAAACAGTTATCCACCCTTCGTAGCTTTTAGTGAAGGCTACAAAAGTATGCTTTTTATGGATTACACATGTGCACGCAACTACTTTAATTACTACAGAAAAAAACGAGGCTCCTTATTAAAAAAAAATCAGAAACAAGTCCAACAGACTCTGAGGAAATGAAGCAAGAGTGAATTCTGAAAAGGTCTAATAAACAGTATGGAAATATCCTTGTGGGATTGTTCTTCAGCTATGCATAAACATGTAATTATCATCATTACTGTGATGGGGAAAAACACGGACCCTAATTCTGAAACACCCTGGTAGCGAGAGACGGGCAGGAGGGGCTGCTGCGCACTCAGAGCGGAGGCTGAGGAGGCGGCGTCCCCTTGCAAAGGACTGGCAGTGAGCAGATGGGGACACTCGAGCTGCCCCGCGACCTGGGCCGAGCTGCCTACAACCTGGGCCCAGGTGCCTGCAAGAATTAGACCTCCGATAACGTTAACACCCACTTTCTCACTGCTCTAATTGTGTGCATCCCGGCGCCCAGGGGCTTGTGAGCAGCAGGTGCGCGTTCCAGGCAGCTCCAGCGACCCTTAAACCTGACCGCGCGCACGTCCGGCCCGAGGGAGCAGAACAAGAGGCACCCGGACCCTCCTCCGGCCAGCACCCACCTTCACCCAGTTCCGTCAGTCGCCACCACCTCCCTTCCCGCGTCCGCAGCCGGCCCAGCTGGGGAGCATGCGCAGTGGCCGGAGCCGGGTTGCCCGCGCCCCAGCAGGTAGCTGTACTGCAACTGTCGGCCCAAACCAACCAATCAAGAGACGTGTTATTGCCGCCGAGGTGGAACTATGGCAACGGGCGACCAATCAGAAGGCGCGTTGTTGCCGCGGAGCCCCCTGCCCCGGCAGGGGGATGTGGCGATGGGTGAGGGTCATGGGGTGTGAGCATCCCTGAGCCATCGATCCGGGAGGGCCGCGGGTTCCCTTGCTTTGCCGCCGGGAGCGGCGCACGCAGCCCCGCACTCGCCTACCCGGCCCCGGGCGGCGGCGCGGCCCATGCGGCTGGGGGCGGAGGCTGGGAGCGGGTGGCGGGCGCGGCGGCCCGGGCCCGGGCGGTGATTGGCCGCCTGCTGGCCGCGACTGAGGCCCGGGAGGCGGGCGGGGAGCGCAGGCGGAGCTCGCTGCCGCCGAGCTGAGAAGATGCTGCTGTCCCTGGTGCTCCACACGTACTCCATGCGCTACCTGCTGCCCAGCGTCGTGCTCCTGGGCACGGCGCCCACCTACGTGTTGGCCTGGGGGGTCTGGCGGCTGCTCTCCGCCTTCCTGCCCGCCCGCTTCTACCAAGCGCTGGACGACCGGCTCTACTGCGTCTACCAGAGCATGGTGCTCTTCTTCTTCGAGAATTACACCGGGGTCCAGGTGAGCCGCCTCCCGCTCCCGGGTCTCGGCGTCCACCCGAGCTCCCGGGGGCGCGGACCTCTCCGCTCCCCCACAGCTGGCGAGGGTCACCCGGCCGGCCCGGCGGACCCAGCACGGAGAGCACGTGCCGCCTCCCCGCCTTCCTCTCCGCATGCTTCCTGCCGTTCTGCCGAGATCGCTCTCTAGGAAGCTGTGGCTGCGTCGTCCTGAGGCTACGAGTGGGACCCGCCGCCCCTTTCCCCGCCCCTCGCCTGGGTCTGATGCTGCTTAGCAAAGTGGGTGCAGATGCACGTTTTAAATAATAGGGCACGCGTTTAGCAGTTTCTGGCCTTTGGTCCAAAGAGGTGGTCATGTTGGAACAGATCGGAGACGTCTACACTCCGAAGTGCGCTTTTACAGTGACCTCTTGAAACAGAAGTACAATTCGGTCTTGTGTTCTTTCCCCTGGACAAGTGAAAGCTGGGCGAAGAAATGAATACATTTGTTAACCGTAGAAGCCTAACTAGATACATTTCTTGCCAACTTTAACTGGGCTTGAATGTGTGGGTGATCTGTTGTCTGATTACTTTCTTTCTGTTACTGTTTCTCTGTAGAGATTGGATTCGTAGATTAAACTTGAGAAACAAACCATAAAAGTGGAAGGCCCTCTTTAACAGTAGGTATTTGAAGTGTTATAAAAAAAAAAAAAAGGTGAATTTTTCTTTTATTTCTCAGTTTGAAAGAACAGCTTTATTCTTGGTTATTCCTAATGTCCACCTAGTCCTCTTTTACTTTTCTTGGTAGGGTTAGGGTGGCATGGGGAAATGGGACGGTATCATTTTGTCTTTTTAACTTTTTTTTTTTCCACCTACAGCAGCTGTTTTTACCCTGTGGTCAGTCAGGTACTATATTTAGTTTGCAGTTGCACTGCTGATCGACCCTTGATGGCCCCAGTTGGAAGTTGTTTGGGGGGAAGGAACTAGGAGAGGCCAGGGCCTCCATTTAAACCAGTGTCTGTAAGTGTCTCCTTGGAAAGAAAAAAAGATACTGTTCCAGGTCATGGTTTCCTGGTAGTTGACGTTTAAAATGGGCCTCATTTAAAAATTTCAATAATTCAGGCTAATTTTTTCCCTTTATATGGTAACTCCACCAAGTTTGTCTAAATGTATGATTTTTATCATGATTAAGTTTTTACTTCCACATCATGTGACAACTGGCCTGGGATGGGATATAAGCTCAGAACACAAAGTCATTCACCTCTTAAAAAAATAATTCTATCTGTGGCGGGTTATGTTATTTTTGTTCAAAGAGGACACAATATGATGCAGAATACACCATTGAAGGATTTTTTGGTTTGGCAAGTTCTTATTTTTTTAAATGGCTGTAAAACCTAGCAGTGTTTCTGAAATTGCATACCTTACCTGATGTTCAGAGATCCGATTTACTTCTTGATTTCCCAGCAAGTGATTTTGAAAACATTTAATCTAATCATTCCCCCCACCGTCTGTTCAAATCAAAGGAAGTGGCATCCAGCACTAATTTTCATGCATTTATGAAAGGATGCCTGAGGACCCTTAAGTATAATTCAAAATTTTGTTTAATGTGTGTTCCTTGATGAAGTTCTTTAGGAGTCGTAGAACGAACTGATTGCCCACTGATCATCAAATGCAAGTTATGAACATTTAATAAAAATTTAAAACCAAGAGTTTCTTGTTCCTGCATTTTTATTTTTATTGTATGGAGGGGACAAATAATTATTTTCTGTTTAGTAACAGAGCAGGGTATTTTGAATTTATTAGGGTCTTTTTCTGCAATCTGGGTTTCCTGTGTACACAAAGCTACCTTTCAATATTTTTTATTGTTTCTGTTAAGATTAAATCAATAGAGGAATAAATAGCTATCTTCAAACATAAGACCCAAAGGAAAAAGATTTATAGTGATGTTCTGTCACCTTATTTTTTACCTGTGACTTTGTACCATTAACTTTGTCACTGAGATGTTTTGATTAAAATTTTTAGCTTGCTTTTCTTGTTTTGTTAGGACACTCTTTTTTTCTTGAATTGTTTTTATCAGCTTTCGTTTGCAAGGCTAGTGATGATTCTCTTGTTCTGTATAAAGTATTGTTGACTCATTTCTGAAGGGAGTTTTAGTAATTTAAGAGGTTATAAGTTTTTAAATAAAAGGTTTATTAATTTATATATATTAAAGAGGCATTTTAAAATAAAATTTTTTTTAAATGACATTTTTACACCTTTCAACTCTAGGTTTAAAAAATAAGTGGTTCACAGTAGTTCTTGCAGAAGAATATTTTCTTTTACATAGAATTTTTAAGCTGAAGAGAAGTAGTAGTAGGTCCATGAGATTTATGATCTGTGCTTGGCAGGTAAACCTGCTTCCAACAAATTTAGTTGGATTTTTCTTGGATTCTGGGTAAATACCTTTTTCTTCCCCAATTTCACTACTTTATTTTCATATGTATCTCTGAGATAGAGAAATATTTCAGTCAGTGCTGCTAAAATTGTTCCTTATAACTCGTTTATCCTTTTAGGTCCTTCCAGAATCTCTCATTGGTACTGAAACTCAAATGGGTACTTTCTTCACCATTTATTTCTTTAGAATAAGTAATAAGAATTTTATAAGCTTTTTTATATTTCACGTAATTTGAGACTATTGAAAATCCAGTTAAGTCTCTCTACTGTGTTGAGAGGCATTGATTCAAGTACCTGTGTTACTTTCCTGTGCTGCCAAAACAGATCACCTCAAACTAAGCGGCTTAAAATAATAGAACTTAAGTTCTCGTGATTCTGGAGGCCAGCACTTTGAAATCAAGGTGTAGGCTCAATTTTACTCCCTCTGGAGGCCCTAGGGGGAATCCGTTCTTGTGGGTTTCAACTTCTGGTGACTGGTGGCATTCCTTGGCTTGGGGCCCCATCACTTTAACCTCTGCCTTACAGTCCTTGCTGCCACCTCTTCTGTCTCACATCTCACTCTCCCTTTCTCTTAGAAGGATGCTTGTCATTGGGTTTAGAGCCCACCTGGATATTCCGGGATGATCTCTTCATCTCAAGATCCTTAATTATAACTGCAAAGAGCCTTTTTCCAAATAAGAAAACATTCACAGGTTCCAGGGCTTAGGATGTGGACACATTTTTTGAGGGGCTGCCCTTCATTCCCCCACAACAATGAACTCCATAGTTCTGCCTATTCAGTATTTTGTAGTTATTTCGTAGTTTAACTTGCCTTATTTCTTTAGGTATTTACGTATTAAAGCATTTTGGTCTCTGCTTTCTTTAACAGAGAACCTGGTTTTCTGTAATAAGTTTACTTACTTTCCCATAATCTTTTAGTTTCTTATTTACAGATTTACCTTCACATATCCCTTAAGTAGAACATTTGATTAACTGTTTTATTTTCGGAACAAATCTGCATTCTGTATAATAACCAACTTATTCATATTTCGGTATTCTTTTAATTCTTATCTGATTCTGAAATTACCATCTTGTGATTATATATATATATATATGGAAATAACTGAAATCCTGATAAATTAAAGGTGATATAACTTCTAAGACAATTAATTATGTATGATGTGGTGAATATACTGGTGTTTGGTTTGTTTGCCACTTAAAAGCCCTATCTATAGGATAGGAAGTAACTTGAATGTGGAATGCTTAGAGACTCAGAGTAAGAGGCCGTATATATATCCTTGAGCTGGAGTTTAAGGAAAACTTATGGGAAATTAAAAGGAAAGTTGGAGTACTGACAGAGGATTGGGTAGGACTCATGAAAAAGGAATGAAGTTACCTTAAATTCTATCATCGTGAGTTAACGTGAAACTAGATTTATGTTAGTTTATAGCCTAGAATTCTATCCTAGGAATCTAGATATATCCTAAATGTTGAGATAGCTGCATAAACAATAACTGTAATCGTTATGATAAATAATGACAAATCTTTTTAGCATGTTCTGTGAAGCTGATAAATGTTAATAGGATGTCTTCAAATGTCAGAATTCTTTTTTCTTTGCTTCTTTTTTAAAAAATTTCTTTTCCCCCATTCCTATGCAATACACTGAAAACTGATCATTGAAATTTGTAGGCCAAAAAATTAATCAACACGTAATAGATTGGGGTTTGGGTTTTTTTGAGTCAGGGTCTTCTTCTGTCACCCAGGCTCTGGTGCGGTGGCACCATCATTGCTCATTGCAGCCTTGAATGCCTGGGTTCAAGTGATCCTCCGGAGTAGCTGCCGTGCCATTATTTCTAGCTAATTTTTAAAAGTTTTTGTAGAAATGGGGTCTTTCTGTGTTGCCCAGGCTGGTCTTGAATTCCTGGCCTCAGGTGATCCTTCTGCCTTGGCCTCCCAAAGTGCTGGGATTACAGGTGTGAGCCACCATGCCTAGCCCCTAATAAATATTCTAATTACCGATTTATCTTGCTTAAATCAGTTGGTAACACTTGGAATTTACTTCAGAATATATTTTACATTAGTGGCTCTGACTGCTAATTCCCCCTTCTCCAAATGCTAATGTAATATAACAATAAAATGCACAGTTCTTAAGTTTATATAAAATAAACAGGTTTTCAGTTGACCTGCTTTAAGTGTAAAATAGTGTGAAAAACACAAGAAAGAAGATAAAGAATTTAAGATTTTGACATTTCTCTAATATGCCCTTAACTTCTCCAAGGATTCATACTTTTTTTTGTAAGACAGAATCTCACACTGTTGCCCAAACCAGAGGTGCAGTGGTGCAGTCTCCACTCACTGCAACCTCTGCCCCCGGGCTCAAGCGGTCCTCCCACCTCAGCCTCCTGAGTAGCTGGGACTACAGGTACACAGCACCATGCCCAGCTAATTTTTTTTTTGGTATTTTTTAGTGGGGGTAGAGACGAGATTTTGCCATATTGCCCAGTCTGGTTTTGAGCTCCTGGGCTCAAGTGATCCGTCCTTGATCCACCATGCTTAGCTGATTCATACTCTTAACTGAAACATTGTTCCAAGTTTCTCAGAAACAGTCAAGGCTTTTTATCTAGAGAACATTTATAACTGGATCTTTCTTTGTGTAGCACTGATTCATCAAACTAATCCTAAACTCCTAATGAGTTAAATTTATATTCTGAATCTTGCTGTAAAAGCAGCCATTCATTAGAATGAAACATGTTTACTTAGAATTGGAGAAGGGAGCTTATAAGTCATCTAGTCTACTCCCTTTTATGACACTTCTACATTCTTTCTGCACTTCTGCCAAAATGTTGCCCAGCGTCGTCTCTGATACCTATAGTCCTAACAAGAATATGAATCATACCTTGTATCCTTAATTTTACTCTTCTCTGCTTATTTGCCATTCATGTGAAGACCTTAAATAGATCTTAAATTGCTTCCTTCACTTTAGCTGAGAGTGACAGGACTGTGTAGGTGTGGGTGTGTTTCTGCATTTGCTTATTTAAGCAGGATAATAAAAACTTTTACTATAGGAAATTAAACATTTCCCAATCAAATACAATTCCAGTCTAACACAATTAAATTCTGGTTAGGGAACTGCTTAACTTACTAGACTTATAGGAAAATACTAAAAAAATGTAACTAGAACTCTATTTTTACACTTTATAAATATAAACCTCTGTGAACAAACCAGTTATTTCAGGTTGCATTTGTGTATAGTTTTTTAATGCCTGATTTTTCTATTTTAAAATCACAGATGCAATTATACATTCAAACACTGCCACAATACTTTGAGAAAGTTAAAGTTTCCCCTACTCCTACACTGCGTACACCTTTCCTAGGTACATCCCAGTTTGGTGTGTAACTTTAGATTTCTTCCAAGAGCTTTTGAGTAAGTGTTTGAATTGTGGGAAGGTTCTTTAGTTAAATGAACTTCTTACAGATCAGTTTTTTAGTACAGTAGCACGAAATATACCTGCATACCTATGGGGATACCTCTGTGCCATTACGATGGAAGGCACGGGAAAACAGCACTCCGTATATACCTAGTTTACTTTCCCTCTTTTGTATATTTGTCTGATTTTGTGGAGCTGATGCTTCTCAAGTGGAATCAGAAGTTAACTTTTCCTTTACTATTTTCTCATTTTATTATGGTTTCTTAACTAGAGGTTGATGTTAGTGGTTGGACCATTCAATAGTAAGTAATGACTTTTCAGTAAGGGATCTCTAGAACCCAGATCCCTTAATTCCTGCAATATTCCCGTGTGTACATTGTTCCAGGTGCTGTCCTGGGTACCAAGGGGTACAATGTTTGATAGACAATGTACCTGCCATTATGGAGGTCACATTCTAGTGTGGGAAGACAAACAATAACAAGAAAATGAAAATTTACTGTGCCATGCCAGGTTGTTTAGCCTGGTGGGTGAGAGGTAGGGGTTTGGAAAATCTTACTGAGCAAGTGACATTTGTGTGGAGCTCTGTAAAAGGGCCAGCTTGGAAGGTAATGTAGTCATCCAGGTGAGAAATGATGGTTAGGGGAGTGGAAAGAGTGGATGTTAAGATTGAAAAGAATTCCAAATCTATTTTAGTGGTAGCTGATAGGGCTTTGTGATTGAATGTGGAGGAAAAAGAAGAGGGTGGGTTAGTAACACACTCAGTCGCAGTTAGTGAGTGCTGCTGTGTGCAAGTATTGTTCTATTATGTAAATAATTCCATCTTTACAAAGTAGGCACCATTCTTCCTCTTTTACAGACAAGGAAAAGGGAACACCCATGGTTCACATCTGTAGTAGCCTAGCCAGGAGTTTCAGGCACTTATTTTCTGAAGATGCTCTGCCTGGCAATGTGGTTATATTGGTTGAAATGAGACCCCCTACTTTCAAGGTATTCATCTAGGAAAGACATGAACTGCCAATTACAATATAGGATAACACTGAAATTAGAGACGTGTTTATTAACTTTGCCATACAGAGGTAAAGTAACTCTTTAAAGTAACTCTTTGCTTGGGTTAGTGGAGAAGGCTATAAAAATTACTTGGAGTTTTTACTTTGAACATGCGTAATTAACATGGAATGTTTAGGGAAAAGAGGTTTTCAATTGATAACATAATAAACATGAGGAGTTTGAAGCATGGCATTCAAGGTTTTCTAAATTCTGCCCCGGTTAACTTTTCCATTCGTTGGTTTCATTCTAGTCTAGCTTTTCCTTCTGGGCCGCCCCTCCCCACATTAGACCGCTCCTCTCTGGAATTCCAACTCAAGCCCTTGCTTTTCTCCATCTGTCATGATGTTACCCCATCTCATTGTCAGGGTAACTTTTATGTAATATTAACATATATAATACTGATATAACATTAGCATATTTTAATGTATGGATCATCTCCTCTGCAACATTGTAACCTCTTGGAGATGGCAATAATGGGAAGAATGACTTGATTTTACTTTTTCTTTTAACAAAAATGGTGGAGTAGTCTGGGCACGGTGTGGCTCATGCCTGTAATCCCAGCATTTTGGGAGGCCAAGGAGGGTGGATCACTTGAGGTCAGGCATTCGAGACCAGTCTGGCCAACATTGTGAAACCCCATCTCTACCAAAAAAATACAAACACTTACTGGGCATGGTGGTGTGTGCCTGTAGTCCTAGCTACTCAGGAGGCTGAGGTGGGAGAATCACTTGAACATGGGAGGTAGAGGCTCCAGCTTGGGCGACAGAGTGAGACCCTGTCTCAAAAGAAAAAAAAGGTAAAAGGGCCAGGTGCGGAGGCTCACGCTGGTAATCCAAGCACTTTGGGAGGCTGAGGCAATGGATCACCTGAGGTCGGGAGTTCGAGATCAGCCTGACCAACATGGAGAAACCCCTTCTCTACTAAAAATACAAAATTAGCCGGGCGTGGTGGTGCCTGCCTGTAATCTCAGCTACATGGGAGGCTGAGGCAGGAGAATCACTTGAGCCCAGGAGACAGAGGTTGTGGTAAGCCAAGATGGCACCATTGCACTCCAGACTGGGCAACAAGAGCGAAATTCCGTCTCAAAACAAACAAACAAACAAAACAAAACAGAGAGAAAAGGCAGAGTACTCTAGGGAATTCTAGTCTGTGTTTCTGTGGAAATGTATATGAATCTCACTTTTAAGGGATGGAGATTTTTGAATGGCATAACTAGTTGATAAGTTTTGCTCTAACAGGGTACCCAAGTCTAGTGAGTCCGATTCATTCTTTCCTTAAATAGATGAAGGAGGAAGAAACATGACTCCACCCTCAAGAGTAAGGCAGAATGAGCAAAGTCAGAGAAGTTAAAAAAGAATTCTCACGCAGCCAGCAGTGCAGAGAAACCTTGGTTTAGTTGTGAATCAAAACCAGTACTTTTTGTAATTTTTGAGCCTATGCAATTCTCCAAGGTTTTATGTTGTTTCTTCTGTTTCTCTGTAGGCACCAGAAATCAAAACCCCAAATAAGAAAGTGTTACTTGAAGATTTTAGAGTACTTATTTGTGTATAAGTGTAAGTAATATTTGGAAGACGACTTTACTGCGCTCCTCCAGCTTGGCATGAGAATTCCAGGGGCGGAAAGAAAGGAGGGTGATGGTACCTGGAAAGGAGAGTCATGTTAAGTCCCAGCCACATATTAAGTGCTAACCACCTACTGTTAAAAGGTGTAATGTTCTAGACTGACAAAATACATAGTCTCTACCGTAAAGTAACACATAATTTAGCAGTGCAGAAAGATGTCACTTAAAAGAAAACTTGAATATATGCTGAGATAGTTCACAAATTAAAGAAATGAACAAAGAACTGAGGAAATAAAGGAGGAATACAACTGTGTCCAAATGAATACTTAACTGGGTGGGAGCTGTTGCATATGTAAGCAGGTGGTTCACCTAAAAGTTGGATGTAACGTAGTTAACGCCAGCTCTTGGTGCACTTACATATTGCATTGCTTCCGGGCTTAATTTGTGTTCATATAGGAATAAATTTTTTGTTGGTTTTTAATTTTACTCCTTGTAATTCCGTAGTTGATATTCAAAGTGAAAAAAATTACATAAGCTTCTAATATATGAGAAGTCTTCTCACTTGACATTTTTTATTTGGAATTTTTGCAGAGAGTAGTTTTGTCACAGTCAAAAGATTTTGGGATCTTGCAGTGAGAAACCTAGGTGTAATTCCTATTTCTCTGCCATTCCGTATGTCATCTGGATTAAGTGTCAACTTCTCAGTCTCAAGATTCTCGTCCTTAAATGGAATACTTTTTGTCATGCTATTTTGAAGACAAAATGAGATAATACGTGAAACTGCCTAGCTCAGTGAATGGTACATCATAGATACTCAGAAAAAACACACCCTCTAAAATAAGAACAGTACCAAAAGACAGGATGTAAAATAAGGGCAGTACCAAAAGACACATGCATGCTGAGTGTATGAGAAAGAACTTTGTGGCCTTCTTGGGTGGCACAGGCCATGGCAGTTCCACAGCATGACGTGGTTGCTGTGGGTGGTAGAGCAGACATGCCGCTCCCCGTCACTGCCTGGCTTTGATGCTTGCTTTCTTCAGCTGAGAGGACGCAGCTGTGATATGAAGGTCTTGTGTGTACAGTCGTGACCTCACATTTCCAATTTCCTGCTGGCAGAACCCACAGTCTACAACGTACGAGCACCAGAGTTGACGTGAGACAGACAGCATACAGAGGCTTGTAACATCCTTCTGGAAAACACTGTGTAAGCTTTCAGTGCGAATAAACATGATCAGTGGCAAGTTCTGTTAGATGTAGTCTGCAAGCATCCTGATTTTACTGGGCAAGACTATGTTGATTTACAGGCGGCTGATGATTCCATGGATAGCCCACTACTAGTATTTTTACAAATTTCACAAGACATTCTTACTGGAAGATTGCCCTGTTCTTATGATACTGCTGCCCTTTTAGCTTCATTTGCTGTTCAGACTAAACTTGGAGAGTACAGTCAGTCAGAGAACTTGCTAGGCCACCTCTCAGGTTATTCTTTCATTCCTGATCATCCTCAAAATTTTGAAAAAGAAATTGTAAAAATTACATCAGCAACATATAGGCTTATGTCCTTGAGAAGCAGCAGTTAATTACCTAAACACAGCAAGTACCTTAGAACTCTGTGGAGTTGAATTGCACTATGCAAGGGATCAAGTAACAATAAAATTATGATTGGAATGATGTCAAGAGGAATTCTGATTTATAACAGGCTATGAATGAGTACCTTTCCATGGTCGAAGATTGTAAAAATTTGTTTTAAGTGCAAACAGTTTTTTATTCAGCTTTGAAAATGACTTGCATAAATCTGGAGAAAGATTATCAGGATTTAATATGGTGAATTATATGGCATGTAAACATTTGTGGAAAGCAAGTTTAGAACATCACATATTCTTCTGTTTGGACAGACCACTTCCAACTAGAAAGAATTTTTTTGCACATTATTTTACATTAGGTTCAAAATTCCTAATGCATGGTGGGAGAACTGAAGTTCAGTTAGTTCAGTATGGCAAAGAAAAGGCAAATAAAGACAGACTACTTGCAGGATCCTCAAGTAAGCCATTGACGTGGAAATTAATAGTTTGGGAAGTAGTAGGCAGGAATTCAATATCTGATGAAAAGATTAGAAACATAAAGCCTTCCATCACAATTCCCACCCGGAACAGGAATTCCTACTCATCAAAATTCTGCATTCATACAAGAGGGAACCTGATTATGACCATCTTCTGTTGGTCATTTGGTAGATTATGTGGTTCACACTTCTTCCAAATATTTGCAAATCAGACATCACCATTATCAGCACAAGCTAATAGCATCATTCGGGAATCATCACTATTACAGGACACCCCTGGAGATGGGTAGCCTCCAGCTTTACCACCCAAACAAGCTAAGAAAAACTGTTGGAACCAAATTCATTATTTACATTTTCAACAAGATCTGGAAGATCATATTAATGAAACGTTGATGTTCTATCTTCTCTTAAAAAATCTGCTCCTAATGGTGGTATTCTACATGATAATCATGTTCTAATCCGAGTGAACCTGACGAAAATGGAAGGTTTGGAGTCAATGCAAAGGGGGATATGATCAGAAGATGTCTGTGATCGTGTCCTGAGAAGCACCAGGAACACCTTTGACCTCAGTGACTCTCGATTGAAGAGAAGACCAAGTTGTATTGATCAGTGGTTGGGACTTTACAGAACACACCCATGATTGGATTGTCCTGCTTTTTAAAGCCAACTGTGAGAGACATTCTGGGGAACTCATGCTTCTAGTTCTACCTATGCTGCATATGATGTAGTGGAAGAAGTGCTAGAAAATGAGACAGACTTCCAGTACATTCTGGAGAAAGCCCCACTAGATAGTGTCCACCAGGATGACCATGTGCTGTGGGAGTCAGTGATCCAGCTAACCGAGGGCTTATCGCTGGAACATTCTGGACACAATTTGATCAACTTATCAAAAAAAAAACTTGGAATGACAATTTCTGGTGCCAGATTACCTTAGAACCTTTGCAAAAATAGATAGAGATAGTTTTCCTTATGATGTTACATGGGTTATTTTTAAAGGTAATGAAAACTACATCAGTGTAATTCCAGCATCATAAGTCAGAACAGTGCTTGTCAAGGGGCGTTACCACACACTTGAACAGATTTTTGGCAGATGACTTGGGAACAAGGCTCCTCCATGTTTGTAATGTTGACCACACAAGTTGAATGTGGCAGAGTTAAATGACCCCAATATTGGCCAGAACCCACAGGAAGTTCATCCTATGGATGCTACCAAGCCTTCTGCCACTGAGAAGAAGGAAGCACTGTCTTTATCTTCAGGAAGATCACACTGCTGTTTAACCAAGAGAAAAATTAGAGAGTCATCAATCACGCAGATCCAGTACAGAGGGTGGCCTGACCATGGAGACCCTGATGATTCAGTGACTTTCTGGATTTTGTTTTTCATATGCAAAATAAGAGGGCTAGCAAGGAAAAACCCCTTGTTGTTTCTTGCAGTGCTGGAGTTGGAAGAACCAGCGTTCTTAATACTATGGAAACAGCCATGTGTCTCATTGATCTCATTGAATGCAGTCAGCCAGTTTATTCACTAGACATGGTAAGAACAATGAGAGAGCAGTGAGCCGTGATGGTCCAAACACCTAGTCATTACAGTTTTGCGTGTGAAGTACTATTTTGAAAGCTTATGAAGAAGGCTTTGCTGAAGAAAGCAAAAGGAAAAAAAGAACTTTGTCATCTGTTAGGTTCCATTTATTGCATGATAATTGTGTTTGTATTGATTATTGGGCAAGTAGCTGTTTGCTATTTTGATCTTATTTCAGAAGGGCATAATAATTTTACTATTCAATGAAACGTTTTAAACGGGGTAGAAAAAGACTAGTTTTTGTATGCTTTACAGCAGAAATCTTATAATGATTAACTGGTAATATATTTCGTTGGCATAAAAATACATTTAAAAGTTCAAGTAATTATAAACATTGTAAATTGTATATGTAATCATATTGAAATTGAAATTCTTTATAGCTGTACTTCTGTGTAATCAAAGACTGGGGAGAGATAGACTAGCTAGCTCTTTCTCTTATCCATTAATCACTTAACAGAGTTTTGAATAAAAAGTTCCATTTCATGGGATAAGAATAATGACAGGTTAACCTATTTTAGTTGGTTACTATGTTCTAGGTGTTGTATGAAGTAGTTTACATAGTTTCACTGATTTCACTACAATCCCAGGAGGAGTAGTTACTATTATTACACTCATTTTACAGGCAAAGAAATAGGTTTGGAGGGGTTGGGTGTTTTGCCCAAGTTCTCATCGTAAAATGACAGATGAGGATTCAAATTCAAGTCTTAATTGAAGTCCATTACTTTAGAACCTACCTCTTAGTGGCTCTTATGTTACAGTATAAGGGAGAGCAGACTGTTCCTTTACCCTTGTAGGGTAGCTAGGGCTTGTGAATTAAGAGACTGATTAACAGGAGAAGAGGCATACACATTTTTTTGACGTTAGTATTTTTACATGCACAGGGAAGGAGGGTTTTATTTTTATTTTTATTTTTATCTTTATTTTAAAGAGACAGGGGTCTTGCTGTGTTGCCAGGGCTGGACTCAAACTCCTGAAGCCAAGCGATTCTTCTGCTTGAGATTCCTGAGTAGCAGGGACTATAGGTGTGCTCCTCTGTGCTTGGCTAAAGAAGGGGTTTGTATGTGATTTTTAACAAAGGCTGATAAATTGTGAAAAAGTGACTAGTCAAAGGAGAAGAGGATTTCAGCTCCCAGGGGTGGTAAATTGTGGGAAGATGACTAGGAAATGTATAGTAATAAGGTTTGCTATGCAGGTTTATTTTGCCAGTTTCTGGTCTCCTAATAAGGGACAGGGAAACACCTTTACAGATGGAAATTCATATCACCTTTCCACAGGGAAATTTATGTCCTGCCTTAGGCAGTTAGGGGAAGGGCAGAGAATTCTTCCTGTATCTGCTGTGTCTCAGGTGCCTTCAGCTCAAAATAATCCTTATGCCAAAGTAGCATATTTGGGTGTGGCATATTCTCTGATCTCTTTCAACAGCATCATCTATACTTAACAACAGCAAAAGTTTTTTTTAAAAAATCATGTTTCAAGATTTGCATGTGGAAGACAAATGGACATGATTGAGATAAATGAAGAATATATATTTTTTAACAAAGAATGCTGTATATTTATGTCTCTGTGACATTGTGTTATGGAGGCTAAGGTGTTAAGCATGTGATTACTTTAGATGCCGTATGACTACCTGTTTTTAAGATTAAAAAAGAATCAATAGGCAGTTTATATGTCATGGGAGCAAGTTAAAAACAACACAGATGTGATGAAGGCGAGGTGAAACTGGTCCGCATCTAATTCAGGCCTTCTCCTGAAAGCCAGTGTGTGCAAGATAAATAAGTTTTTTTGACGAAAGCAGAATAACTAGTTTGTCCTTTGTGATGAAGATAGTTATTCAGAAATCATTTTTATTGGCTACCTCTGAATTAATAAATGAAAAGAGAAATTTTTTTTTCTGTAGGGGATGTCTGATGAGTTCTTAAAAAGTGGATGAACCTGAAATTATCATGAACAAGCAATCATAATGAACTTAAAATTACTTAAAGAGTTATGAAAAACAAAAAGAAAAGCCGTATGTTTTCTTGTGCCTTATTTTGAAGTGACAAATTATTTGCAGGGTACATTTGTAGACGGAACTAATGTGATTTAAAAAATGAGTACTAGATTTACAGAATGAAGCCTTTAAAAAGTCACTGGTGCACTTTAATTATTTTATTTATGTTTATTCTGAAACTACCTTTATTTTGAAAATGAGGTATAGCTTTGCCTACTGGTGACAAAAGTGTAAATAATTCAGTAAACATCTGTTAAAAACCAGCTTGGTGCTAGGCTCTTGGGGTAGAAAACTGATCAGGCCATTGAGGAGCTCATAGTCCCTAAGGGGCTGGGGACTTGTCATTAGGTGTGCAGTGTGTTCTGGATGCTCCTGAAGGAGTGTGGGCAGGTGCGCACCACCATGCCTGGCTAATCTTTTTATAATTATGTAGAGACAGGGTCTGGCTGTGCTGCCCATGCTGGGTTTGAACTTCTGGGCTTAAGAGATCTTCCCTCCCTGCCCCTACCGACCCCGCCCGCCCACTCCACCTCAGCCTCCCCAAAGCACTGGGATTGCAGGCATGGGCCACTATGCCTGGGCTGTGCAAAACTTTTAAATCAGTGCATACTCAATGGTCTTGATGCAATTCTGGCTTGTTGGTAAGAGAATGGGGATTTACTCACAAGCCACGATGTCACTTTTAACTCTGAACAGATCAAGCTATTGGTATTACTCATTTATGTCATCGATAAACTTTATGAATAAAAACTCATTGTGCAAATGTTTAAACATACTACATACATAGCACTGTGCAGTTTCTAAGGAAAGTAATGGAAACCTTTGTCACATCCCTGGCTTCCAGAACTTTATGTTATCTAAGTGCATTTGTCTGCAAAGTTGTTGGGTTAATTGCCCCTTTCTTTCTTCTCTTTTTAAGATATTAATAAATAGTGTCATGACCAAAAGATAATCCTTATGGACAAGATAGATCTAAAAAGCCTTAGCTAATTTATAATCTTGCATAATCCATGATGACAAGATGCAGAAACAAAAATGCCCAGAATAAAAACTTAGCACCATTAGCAGCCATTTCCTTTTAAGTCTTTACAAGTATACTCCCAGTTTCTTGAAAAATTTATTCTAAAATATGTAAGACACACAAAACAGCAGAAGGACTAATACAGGTACATCGAACACCTGTGTGCCTACCGCCCAGTTTAAAAATAAACTGGAATGATGTTTCTCTCATACTTACAGAATAAAGTTTTAATCTTTAGCATGGAATTCAAAAGACTTCTGCCATTCCAGTTCAGAGCCACCCTTCTGGTCTCCTTGCTCCTCAGCCGCGACACTGCCCATGTTCCCAACAGGCCTCCAGGGTTACTGCTTCCATTCGTTCTTATTCTCATGAACATTTTCCTTCATCTCATCTGCCAGAATCCTACCTAATAATACTCCTGCTCTGCAGTTTACAGTTCTTTAAAATTAAAAAAGGTTGTGTACCCTTTAGTGTCCTGAAAAAAGAAAAAACAAATTTAAAACCTTAAAAAGGTACCATATTTTCATAGTATTTGCGTTATGTCTCATTACAGTTCCTGTGGACATGTCTGTCTCTTTTACTAGATTGATTGTGGGCTCTTTGAAGGAAGATATATCTTATGAACAGTGTTTTATATATTGTTAGCAATCAATGAATGCTTGCTATATTTTTCTCATGAGGATATTGATTATTCTATTTTAATTTATTACCGTTAACCTGTACTATACATAACTGCTTTCTGTACCTGCGCTATTTATGATCTCTGAGGCTCCTGTGAGAAATCTAATTTTTGTTAATCATGGATGGAAATATTCACAACATCATTCGTCAGTTTCTTCACATTGTCTTCCTTTGTATATTACAGATGTTTTAAAATATCAAAGTAATGTTTTTTTGTTTTATCTTTTAGATATTGCTATATGGAGATTTGCCAAAAAATAAAGAAAATATAATATATTTAGCAAATCATCAAAGCACAGGTTTGTATTTCATTTGCATGAAACATAGGTTTTTCTACAGATGGCACATGGGCATTCAAAATACCGTTCTTATATTTAAATGAAGTGGGTTTTTTAAAACAGCAATTTTCTGTGCAGATATTACACCTGTTCTTGTATTTTTGTGATTTTACTTTTTGGAAAGTCAGAAACTTGAAAGCTATGAATTTTCCTAAACTTACCTTCTCCCTCTGTTGGATGTAAGTAAGCTATCTTCTTACTTGCTTGCTTTGTTTTTCCTTTGTGTAGCTCTTTAAAGAGTGTATTCATTCTTTTTGTAAGTGATGTTTCTAGAAGTAGCATTGGTGGGTCGAAGTGTGTATACATTTTACATTTTTGATTGCTAAGCTGCAGAAAAGCTGTATTGGTATGTAAGTACTCGTTTCCTTACTATGCTCGTCATTTCTAGTGTCTGCTCTTCCTTTCCTTCTTCAAATGGGTTTGGTTTAATTCTAGTTGCTACTGTTCCATCAGAGGAATTGCAGAGAACTGGTCTTCAAAACAGTGCAGTATATACTTTAGGTGAAGATACTTCTAAAAACCTTTGTATTTTGAGGTAATTCTAGAGTCCCAAGAATTTGCAAAAAGAGTACATTGTCAGCAATATTTTTCCCAATGGTGACATCTTAATATAACTGTAGCACAGTAGCAGAATCAGGAAATTGTCATTGGGTAAGGTACTTTTTAATTCTCCAAATAATTCAGCCCTCCAAAAAAATCCCACTTCTTATGTTTTCAAACCTGTAGCTACTTTTGATGCGTACTTCCTAAATTGCATTTTTATTACTTTAAAAAATATAATACCTAGAAGCTCAAAGCTGGAAACAGCCTGATCAATATAGTACTCTTAAGCTAAAAACAACCTGATCAATATAGTACTCTTAGGGAAATCACTTATGCCTGTGGCTTTTTTTAAATTTTCTTCCTGTCAGCTGTCTCTTCATGATTTTGTGGTTTTTATTACTGCTTATACCATAGATGAGGTATAGAAAGTAAAAGAAGTTAAAATGCATTTTTCTCAATTTAGTGAATTAATGATTACATTCAGATTTATAGGACAAGGGTTGAAGCTACAAGGGGTTGATAGGAATCTTGATGTATCTGAGTATTTTCCCCAACTTTATTACATGACTGGTTCAGACTATTTTATCTAATTACATTTCACTCTTGGCAAAAATAGCAAAACAGTCAACCAATGGTCAATGCTGCTGAGAACTCTGGCCTGTGCAGACATATTGGCTGTTTTACTTCTAATACCATTCTGCTTTTCCTGTCCTGCTGCTGATGGATGTTTCTTCCAGGTTTTAAATATCAAACAAAAGGGATCTGTGGGCCCAGTACAGGGAATGGCTCTTGATAGATTTGATTTTCCTGCATTTCCTTTATTTTGATCCAGTGTTAATTTCATGTAGAGTTGTCTGTTTAACAGGATTCTCTTAAAATTCCTTCTTCAGTTTACCTGCCAGCTTTTCTTTGTCCAGGTTTCAGTATGAACTCCACTCGATTAATAGAGCTCTCTAGTAGTGACTTGTGGAGTGGGTTCTCTGAACATTTCTGGAAGTGTTGCTGATAGTGATAATATTGATCACTAGTACTGTTAATTTGTGTGCTTACTACATGTTGGCTTTTATATGTATTCCTTCAGATTAAGGACTTCTAGAAAACATCCATGAAAAAACAGATTAAAAAAAACAATTCTGCATGTATTTGGGACTAGAAGGTACTATGGGAAGGATAATCTTCATACTCAGACCATACTGACCTGAATTTCATTTATCAGTTTAGAGAACCACTTCCCCTTCCCTTCACCCTACCTCCGAGTGCCTGTGACTTTGTATCACCGCTCTGGCACCACATCCTCATCCCAGCAGGATTTGGGAAGGCTGCTTTTTGAAAGCCTTTTAAAATTCTGTAAGTTGAGAAAATACTAGGGGAATGATTTTAAATTTCTTTAGAATTACAGGCTTTAGTCAGTATATGACAGAGCCTTTTCCTAGAAAAATGTGCATATAAAAATTTGCATGTAGTTTTAGGGTTTCAGAGACCCCTAAAGCCTATCCATAGACGTGGTTCATTGTCTGATTGTGTTTAGGTACCCTTCTAAAACCCTTTTGAGATGTTAGGAATCACAACAGAGTATCTCTGAAAATGTAATTAGCGGAAAGAATATTTCAAAGACTGTTGTTCTGCTTAGACTTTCTAGTTTGTCTTCTGCCAGGCTTGCCGGAATAAATGAGTTTCCTGGCCTGATACTCAAAAGAATTGACATTTAAATTAGTCTCTCTCTTCCCTTGTTTTCGCTTGACACATCCTTGTCTCTACATTCTGTCTCTGTCTCTGTTAGCTTATTTCTCTCTCGAGTCAGCAGGATATAGTGGCTGTTATTTCTTCCCCTTATCCTTCAACTATCTACTTTTGACAACACTTTGCCTTTTTTTTTTTGAGATGGAGTTTCACTCTTGTTGCCCAGGCTGGGTGTAATGGTGCAATCTCAGCTCACTGCAACCTTTGCCTCCCGGGTTCAAGCCATTTTCCTGCCTCAGCCTCCCGAGTAGCTGGGATTACAGACATGCACCACCACGCCTGGCTAATTTTGTATTTTCAGTAGAGATGGGGTTTCACCATGTTGGTCAGGCTGGTCTTGAACTCCTGACCTCAGGTGATCTGCCTGCCTCGGCCTCCCAAAGTGCAGGGATTACAGGCGTGAGCCACTGTGCCCTGCCTGCTATTTGCCTTTTTAATCTCATGAAATGTTCTCTTTTCTTGGCTGAAGTGTCACTTTTCTTGTTGAACAGCATGCGTGGTGAGTAGAATGTTATAAAAAGGGATGGACTTTGGAGTTAGAGAGACCCAGGTTCCTGTTCGGCATTGCAGAAATGCTGTTCTGCAATAGGCTGTGTGTCAGTGGGCAAATTACTTATCTCTCAGAGCCTTATTGGTAAGGTGTGAGTGATAGCTCCTTTCAGGCACCTTACAGAGGCTGTCTCCTAATCCTGGTAGCGTACCTGGCTCATAGATGGCATTTAAAAGTGGTTGTGATGACAGTCATAGCTCACCATTAGCATAGCGCTGGATCCATGGCAGGGAAGCGCTGCACATGCAGTATCTCTTGGACTACACAGGGCCCTCATGAATTAGGAACTGCTGTTTCATGAGGATAGGGATGAGGAAATTAGACTTGCTGCCCCTCACTGCCTTCCACTCCTCTCCTCCAAGTTAATGGGAACTATGACTCTGCTTTGGCTTGATTGCCATGGAAGATTCTCACACAGCCAAATTTATTGCTATCTTAGTTAAATTATGCCAGAACACAAAATATGAAGTTATTGTCAAAGTAATATAATCTCAGCTGTAACTGAGATAGTCAGAAACTGTCTGTAATCTGATGTCCTATCTGAAAGGTAGCTGAGAATAAACAAGAAATAAAGAGAATTCAGTAGCAAATATTGGTGACACAAAGCTTTTATATTTTGACTAGTTAAGCTAGTTCTTAAATGTTTCCACTAAAATATTCAAGTTTAAGGGCATAGCCCAGGGCAGCTTATTATGAACATGATGTATTTTGGAAATCTTACACTTTCTCTTAAAAGTTCTTGGGAGGGGCATGTGAGGCCATAATATAACCATAAAACCATTTGTTTTAAAATAAAACCCATTTTTAAAATTCTTCCAAATAAAAAAATTATTGCAGGAAAAAATGCTAAACCTGGTTTTTAACTTTGTACGCCAACTATATTTCCAAGATGTGCTGTAGCCTGGTAACCATACAGAACCATACAGAATTAGTTCTCAGAATTTATTGTCTGCTTACTTTTGCATTTGGTACAGGTATAACAGGGTCGATTATATGGTTTCTAAGACATGACTAGAAAGAAATATGTTTATCAGTTATTATTTCTTCCATCTAAATTAGAAGGGGCTAGGGAGAGGGCTTCAACAGGAATTTATATACTTTAGAGAAAAGTGATCATTGATAGCCCAATAGTATAGATATCTCAACCCAATAACACAGGTTGTGTCTGTCTCTGGGATCATACACTGTAGGGGAGAATCTTTGCAAGCAACATTCTACTTATAGGGAGCCATAACAAAAGTTTCATATGTATAATAATTATAAGTCTTAAGTCATCAAGAAAAAGTTAACTTGTGAATGATAATCCCTGATTAAAAAGAGAGATGTATAATAATGGATAAGAGATTTTTCTTGGTTAATTTTTAGTATTAAAATGGCTAAATCTTTTTTGGGATATTCTGACTAGTATGGTGCATTGTCTAATAGATTTCCCATAGCTGAGAGCTAATCATCTTGTAATCTGTGGAAAACTGTCCTCTTTGGCTAAAACTTTATTGTAATTCCTCTAAATCCTCAGCTTTTATTTTCTACAGACTTTTTTTTTTTTTTAACATTTCCTTCCTCTGACTCACTCCTTTTGTTCTCATTTTCATGGCCTGAGAACATGGGTGATGATAGAATTATTCTTTTCACAGATTAACAGTTTTCTTTTCGAGTATCGTTGAGCTCATGTGTGTATTAACTAGAGAAGTCTCCCTTACATTTCATTTTTATGTTTTCTTTCTCATCAGGAGATAGTTTGTAGCCATTTACTTTCAAATCCAAGTTTCTGCGGTTCTTAAGACCTGTATCATTTGTCTCCTGAATTTCACTTCATTTCCTCTTTAAACCATGTCCTCTGTTTCCCATCTTCTGCACCCACTTTGCCACTTCCTGTTTGTTTAATTGGCAAGGGCCACTCTCTGTGTTGGAAATTTTTTCTTTTTGAAAGCTCAACTAACAACTTCTAGGAAGTTTTTTATTGCTACTGTTATCAATTCATACCATCTTACCCTTGTTTTTGCAACCCTTTGTTAATAACATATTTATTTAACTATAGTTATTAGCAGTCTGAGATCATTTTACTTGGTTACATAAGGAGCACATATATCTACCCAGCATCATTGTAAGGCATGTGAGACCTTTGTTTGATTGCTGTCCTAACCTAGTACCGAGTCCTAAAAACTCATTAGTAGAAGATGAAGTGTCCTTGCCTTTTGCTGAACATATATATACACACTGAATATTTAGTGGCAATTCATAGTTGCATTTGGCCATTTTTTGTTTATAATTTCCCCTTTCTCATTAAAAAAACTTTGTTTTCTAGACTTTAGGATTTAGAGAAGCTCATTTTGTTCCATACACATGCTGCTGTTGGATTATTTAGGTATTTTGTGACTGTATTTTATCTTTGAAATAAAAAGCCTTTCAAGAAATGCAAAAAAAAAAAGCTCAAAAAACAGAAAATGTATATTTTTTAAATATCTCAGATAGATTTAAAGAAATTTTAAACATCCTAATCATAGGACTTTTTTTTTTTTTTTTTTTTTTTTTTTTTTGGAGACGGAGTCTCGCTGTCGCCCAGGCTGGAGTGCAGTGGCGCAATCTCGGTTCACTGCAGGCTCCGCCCCCTGGGGTTCACGCCATTCTCCTGCCTCAGCCTCCCGAGTAGCTGGGACTACAGGCGCCCGCCACCTCGCCCGGCTAATTTTTTGTATTTTTAGTAGAGACGGGGTTTCACCGTGTTAGCCAGGATGGTCTCGATCTCCTGACCTCGTGATCCGCCCGCCTCGGCCTCCCAAAGTGCTGGGATTACAGGCGTGAGCCACCGCGCCCGGCCATCATAGTACTTTTGAAGCCCATTCATAGTACAACCTGTGAAGAGCCTCATGTACGCGCTAACTGGGTCCTGTCTCTGCAGTTGACTGGATTGTTGCTGACATCTTGGCCATCAGGCAGAATGCGCTAGGACATGTGCGCTACGTGCTGAAAGAAGGGTTAAAATGGCTGCCATTGTATGGGTGTTACTTTGCTCAGGTAACTTGTTTCCATGCTTTTCTCTCTATATATGTAGTTTATAAATTTTTTTTTTTTTTTTTGGAGACAGTCTCACTTTATTGCTCAGGCTGAGTGCAGTGGTGTGAACACAGCTCACTGCAGCCTTGACCTCTGGGGCTCAAGTGAACCTCCTGCCTCTGCCTCCCAAGTAGTTGGGACCGTAGGTGCCCACCATCATGCCCGGCTAAATTTTCTATTTTTTGTAGAGATGGGGGTCTCGCTGTGTTGCCCAGGCTGGTCTTGGACTCAAGCAATCTGCCTGTCTCAGCCTACCAAAATGCTGGATTATAGGTGTGAACTGCCATACCCAACCCTATAAAAATGTTATATTTTAAAATTTAACAATATACTTCATGTGAATGTATGGTTTTTAAAATGGGTTTAATAGTTTATTCTCAGTTGAAGTAATTTTGTTTGGCATTTTTAGTGGTGTGTATTTATATACGTCTGATTATCCATATGCGGTTTTCCTTCAGCATCTGTGGGGATTGGTTTTAGAACCACCACAGATACCAAAATCTAAGGTGTTCAAGACCCTCATATAGAATGGGATAGTATTTGCATATAACCTGTGCACTACTTTAAATCATCTCTAGATTACTTATAATATCTAATACATTATAAATGCCATGTAAATGGTTGTTATACTTTATTTTTTATTTGTATTATTTTAATTGTTATATTATTTTTAATTTTTATTTGTTCACATATTTTTGATCTGTGATTTGTTGAATCTGCAGATGTGGAACTCATGGATGTGAAGGGCCAGCTGCAGTAAAATGAAAGAGCAAAAATGCAAATGTACAAAGTTCAAACAAATAGGAAATTTAAAGGCATAGAATTTGATAGGCAATTACATTAAACTGTTGATAACAGTAATTAGTGATCTGTATGATATTAAAAAAAAAAAGCAAACTGTATATATAAAACTTACTTTCTCCAGTTCTGGAGGCTAGACATCCAAGATCAAGGTGTTGACAGGGTTAGTTTCTCCCAAGGCCTCTCTCCCAGGCTTGCAGACAGCATCCTTCTTCCTGTGTCCTCAGGTGGTTTTTTTCCCTGTGCCCAAGCACCGCTGGCACTGCTTCCTCTTCTTAGAAGGACTAGTTACACTGGATGACTAATCCTTCTACAGAGACTGCTAAGGTCCCACTCTGAGGCCCTTTTTTAACCTTAATTACCACCTCTAAGTCCCTCTCTCTGAATACAGTCACAGTGGGAACTATTAGGGCTTTAGTAGACTGATTTGGGGGAACACACTTCTGTCCGTAACAGTGCCACATAAATATCTTTAGCAGGATTGATTTTTTAAAATCCCTAAAGATCGTGAGACATGTTAAGGACGCTTTTTAGTGACTCTGTAATAAGTGGGTGGAAGAATTGGGAGTTAAATCCATCTGATGGATCAGGTTTTTTATTTTTAAAAATGTGTATTTAAGAAAGAAAGCATTTTCATTTTAACTGCCAACAAAACTAAACTTCATGTGTTTTCCAATACAGTGTCACATGCAGTTTTTTTGAATTATGTTGAGACAAGGCAATTTTCAGCTAAATGTTCTTTAGAAGCTAATGTTTGAAGATATTAAATATAGATTAAATTCTGAAATGTAGTTTTCATTCTGTACTTTTTGCAAGAGAAGTTGCCTTTTTGATGACTCTGGCCAATTGTTATTTTAAAAGTAAATGCTCTTTCTCCCGATTTGATTGTGGCAGCATGGAGGAATCTATGTAAAGCGCAGTGCCAAATTTAACGAGAAAGAGATGCGAAACAAGTTGCAGAGCTACGTGGACGCAGGAACTCCAGTAAGAGCCTACCCGTTTTTATTTTTCTTACCAGCTCTCAGTTTCTAAATTTAAGAATTAAATTAAAATCTAAGAATTGTTTTGACAATGTATTTTCCCATGTGTAATTACTAATTCAGGGTTATGCTGAGGTAACAGAAACCCTCTATGTACAGGTAGGCAGGTTTTTCAGCCATCAGAAAGATTGCTGTAAACAACTAGGTCCTTTGCTGGTCAGTGGACCTTAAAGAGGAATAAAAAGAGCATTTGGTGTCGTTCAGAGTCTATAAATAGAACTAACTGCATTTTAACCTGACATTTAAGCTAGTTTACAAGCTCATCTTACTTCTTGTCTTCTTTAGTATCAGATTTGGTTTTAGAAGCAGCAACTGTTTTCTGTTAGTGCAAATTTTGAATGTCTTACATGTACAGAAAAACCAAAAAAGGATGAATCTCTACAAATGTTAAATCATTCAGTGTAAATAATATTTTATAAAACTTTATTCCACAAAAGTGGGGAGAGTTCAATCTGCTTTGTATAGAATGCTGATTGCTGCCAAAGGCTTTTCCCCTGGTTCCCTCCGGAGACAAAGCACCATGATCACCGGGGCGACTTGGGCTTTCTCTTTCAGTACATGACATGTGCTCAGAAGCTTAGCTCGTGTGCACAGGCTTTCCCTTTCCTTTCTGGCTCCCTCCCTCTGTCTTCCCTCCTCTCCTCCTGCCCTCCCCTCACCAGGGGTCCTGGGCAGCAGCTGGAGCTCATGGTGAAGGAAGAATTCTTCACGGTCAGCTGGCGAAGTGCCTGGTGTGAGCATTGTTTATTCACATGCCTCTTCTAGGTGTTTTTACATTAGAACATTGCATCTGTTTTGGGCATGTGTTGGGTGACAGAAGCAGAATGGAATGAGATGAACAGTGACCCTTTATCCTGTTATAGCTAACCCTTGAGAACCAAGCTTGGTGTCTTCAAAGGGTCTGTTTAGTCTGAAACAGTGTGGTGAATTTGGGCAGAATTGTGGTCATTGCATGTAGGTCTCCAAAAGACAGAATAAGTTGGTAATATGGTTTATCGACTTTTTACAAAAAAAATTTAAAAATCATGAATTTATACCTTAAAATGTCCATCCCACTTCTCTCCCAGCTGTCCAGTCACCCCAGCAATGGATGACTGCTGTGGAGTTCCTTCTGTGTCCTGCTGTGGGCATTGTATATATGAAGCAAATGAAGATAGCTGCCTTTTGGGTGATGTTGGCATCCTATGCACAGTGGCCCCTTGCTTTTTTGCCCCCATGAATATAGCTGCCAGTGGCGCTAGGGCTGAAAAAATCAGCTCTTTACACTTGTCATGTGTCTTGTTTATGTGGCTGCCTTCGTGAGTTTCTTCTTGTTTTTGGTTTGCAGCAGTTTAAGTATCATATATCTGAGTGTCATTTAAAAATTTTTACCTGGATTGGTCCTCTGAGCTTGGATCTATGATTTGGTGTCTGTTATTAATTTTGGAAATTTCTTTGCTCTTATTTCCTTAAATATTATTCCTACCCCAGTCTTTCTTCTCCAGTTATGTTTGTGTTGGTTCATTTCTCGCTGTTCTTTAGTTCTTAGATGCATTATTCGTTTTTTGTTGGTTTTTTTTTTAATTTTTTTTTTTACGCCCCCTCCCTTTTTTCTTTTTGTGTTACATTTTGGATAATTTCTGTTGACCCACCTTTGAGTTCATGGATTCTTCCTTTGGCTGTGTTGAGTCTACTGGTGAGCCAGTTTAAGGCACTCTTCATCTCTGCTACTGCGTGTTTCATTCCTCACATTTCCCTTTGACCCTGTTTCATAGTTTCCATCTCTGTGCTAGTGTATCTATCTGATCATAAAGCTTAGTCACGTTTTCCAGTTGAACCTTTATCATTTTATTATACTTGCAGTTCTCTTAAATTCCCTGCTTGATAATTCCAACATCTGGGCCATATCTGAGTCTGCAAATTTTGATTACTTTATCTCTTCAGATTGTGCTTTATCTTGCCTTTGTCATACTTCCTAAGATTTTGCCTAACGCTGGGCCTTTTTTGTAAGACAGGAGAAATGGAGGCAAGTTGTCTTGATACCTGGAAATGGATAGACTTGTCTTTCTGCTTGGCCTTTAGTGTTGAGGAGTGGAGTCAGTCCACTGAGGAGGTGCACTGCATTTGGGTTTTGCTCATGTGCTTTTTCTCACAGCTTCAGGTTTCTGTAGAACTCATTACTTTGTTTGTAGGTTGGGGATGTCCTCCCGCTAGAGCTTTTCCTCAGTGTCTATTTCACACTCAGCGTTTTCACATAGCACCTTGGAGTGGCTCTCTTCTTTATGCCTTTCCCCACTATACTTCTTGGATACTTGTTACTGAACTCTCGCTAGTTTGGTGGTAGAAGGAGAGGGAAGGGAAGTGTCTTTTCATTCTTAGGGAGAATCTCAGGGGTGGAGCCTTCTCTGATCCTGCCTTGCTTCTGGCTGTAAGTCTGTGCCCAGTATGTATTCCTGCCTTTACTAAGAGTTTTTCCCTGTTCTCTTCACCCAGCCTCATCGAGTATTCATCCGTGCCCCATGGGTAGCAGGGTTTTGTTGCCCCTGTTCATCAGTTTCAGGCTGCTGTTCCATAGGAAAGGTAGAAAGAAGGATGTGGGCTGGGCCCTGAGCCCTTCCCACAGGGCTGCTTTTCCCTCCCACAAGCCTACATCCAGTCTTCCCTGACCGCAGTGTGTTTTCCTTTTTCTTTGTCTTGTGAGTACACAGGAGGTCTGTGGGTCGAGCCTGTGAAATGTGCTGCATTCTCCTTGTGTCTGTAGCCCAGGGGTTCGTCTGTTCCACTGGCTCATACTTGGCTTTCTGCAAAATTGTTAAAATTTTTAGCTAAATTCTTTTTACTGGTATCTGTTACATTGGCCCCCAACTAAACAACCACTTGCATCTTGTTTCTCCTTTGAGTTTTCCATGTTTCCTTAGACTTTTGGGTTAGTTGGTTGCCTTGCAACCTTGCAGCTCTCTGAAGGGTCTAAGAAAAGTCATGAATCTACAGCTTGTCAGTGTTGTTGTTGTTGTAGGGTTGGCAGTAGTATTCCTTCAGCATTCTACATACTTAATGGAAGCCGCCTCCCATTTTTGGTTAATAAATTTCAAAACTTGGAACAATGTTAGATTTACAAAAACGTCAGAAAGAACAGAGTGTTCCTGTTTATTCTTTATATAGCCTTTTTTTTTTTTTTTTTTTTTTTGAGTTGGAGTCTCGGTCTGTCACCCAGGCTGGAGTGCAGTGGCACGATCTTGGCTCACTGCAACCTCTGCCTCACGGGTTCAAGCAATCTCCTGCCTCAGCCTCCTGAGTAGCTGGGATTACAGGCGTGCACCGCCATGCCCGGCTAATTTTTGTATTTTTAGTAGAGACAGGGTTTCACCATGTTGGCCAGGCTGGTCTCGAACTCCTGACCTCTTGATCCGCCCGCCTCGGCCCCCCACAGTGCTGGGATTATAGGTGTGAGCCACCACGCCCAGCCTTCTTCATCTAGCTTTAACATCTAATGTTGACATCTTACATAACATGGTATATATTTGTCAAAACTAAGAAATAAACATTGGTACCACACTATTAATTGTACTACAGATTTTTATTCAGACTTTACCAGGTTTTCCACTAATGTCCTTTTTCTGTTCTAAAATACAATCCAGAATAGATACAAATCCATTCAACTTCAGTGTTTTAAATTATTGTTTTTCATTATATGAAGTGCTGTGTGGTTTTTGTCAAATCTGTTATTTTGGTTTTAATCTTCAAGCTTGTCTTTGTTTCTTTAAGTGATAAAGGCATAATTTAAAAGGTGTGTTGGGTTATTTCAGTGCCTAAAGTCTTGTCTGAGTCACTTGTTTTCTGCTGTTCTTGCTTATGGTACTTTCTTTCCTTGTTTGCTTTGTTATCTTCCTTTGCTGCTGGCTGTGTTTGGTTAAGTTATTTGTGGAAATCAGTTGAAGCCTCAGGTGGGAGTGTCTTTCTCCGGAGAACATTTCTACCTGTTTTAGCTGGGCCCCTTAAGGCTCCTCTAGCGTGGGCCCCACCCAAACGAGATTCTGAGTTGAAGGTGAACTGAGCCATTCAGGCAGTGCAGCCAGGGTTGCAGATGCACGTGAGACCTGCTCACCTCTCATTTACTTTCACCCTGAGAGTAGAGCCTTTGGTGTTTCGTTCACTTGTCTGATTCTCTCTTCACAGTTCTATTAGAAGGTCCATGGGTTTTGGTTTCTGTGCCCTTCATCTTATGAGTCTTGTAAATCAAAGTTCTGTTTTATGCTTACTTCTGCTTTACTGTGTTTGCTTAATTTCAGTCTTAACATCTTGCCAACTCTTGGGTACTTTTAAAATAATGTTATATCCAGCTTTTTAAGTTGTTTTCAGTAGGAAGGTTGATTCAAATAACCTAGTCTGGTTATGGGCTACGAGAATAGCCTCCCTGTTTTTTGTGGGCAAAATTCCAGCCTTTTATGTTCCTAGCGCAGTGTGGATAACAGACTGGCAGGTTCAAGAGGCCGTGCTGAGCAGCTTTCACTGTAAGGTCACTGTCCCAGGTCGGGTTTCTAAGAATCTGGATGGTTGTTTCATTTCTTAATATGTACGCCCTGTGAGAGCGGATACATCTTGCTCAGGTTCTTATGATTCTTTTGTTTCTGAAGGTGAATTAAGTAAGTGACATGGTAGAATATGTTAAGTCAACTTTCGTGTGGCTTACTAGTTCTCATGAATCTATTCCATGATTGTATCAGTTCTTATTCGGTATTAGTATTTAAGAAATGCAGAATTTTGTTTCAAAAAATATATTTGTATTATAAGTTGTGAAGAAATACATCTCCATAATTATTGCTGGGACAATACAGTATTTTCTTAAGGAACTTATTGGTTGTGGATGCAAATGAAGCATATTTGTGATAAAAATAACTAATAGAAGTCATTTTGTTAGACTATGAGCTAGTAAAACTTATGGCACAAACATGGAGACTTAACACTTTTTCTTCCAGCTTTCACTTAAGTTCCTTTTCAGATAGGAGGCAGCCTGGTGGATAAGAGTATTGGTTTTGAAATTAGATTCAGGTTTAAATCCCAGATCTTCTGTTTAATCTTTATTTTATTTCAGGTAGATTTTCTGGATAACTTGCTATAGCTTATACATCAGTACTTGCCACTTCAATTTTATGTTATGGAGAGACGGCTTCTTTCCTTAAACCTCACGAACCAACCTCTGCTAGCTTCTAAGTTTTTTCCTGCCACTTCTTTACCTCTCTCAGCCTTCAGAGAATTAAAGGGAGTTAGGGCCTTGCTCTGGATTAGGATTTGCTTTAAGGGAGTGTTGTGGCTGGTTTGATGTTTTATCTAGAGCACTCAAACTTTCTCCATATCAGCAATAAGGCTGTTTTGCTTTCTAATCATTCATGTGTTCAGTGAAGTAGCACTTTTAATTCTCTTTAAGAACTTTTCCTTTGCATCCGCAACTTGGCTGTTTAGTGGAAAGGACCTAGCTTTTGACCTACCTTGGCTTTCAACATACCTTCCTCACTAAGCCATTTCTAGCTATTGATGTAAAGTGAGAGACATGCAACTCTTCCTTTCACTGGAACGCTTAGCAGCCATTGTAGGGTTATTAATTGGCCTAATTTCAATATTGTTGTGTCTCAGGGAATAGGGAAACCCAAGGGGCGGTAGAGAGAAAGAGAGACAGGAGAACAGGCCATCATTGGAGCAGTCAGAACACACACGACATTTATCAATTAAATTTGTCATCTTATATGGGTGCAATTCATGGCACCCCCAAACAATTACAATAGTAACATCAGAGATCACAGATCACAATAACAGATATAATAATATGAAATATTGTGAGATTACCGAAATATGACACAGAGACGTGAGGTGAGCACATACTGTTGGAAAAATGGCACCAATAGACTTGCTCGATGCAGGGTTGTCATAAACCTTCAATGGGAAAAAAATGCAATTTCCGTGAAGCTCAGTAAAGCGAAGCATGATAAAATGAGATGAGCCTGTCACTCCTAAGAATGTTCCTGTACAAGTTTTTTGCATCTGTTACTTACCTTTTCCTATTTGTGAATAGTATCTTTTTTGAGTACGTGTGTTTTTTTATTTTTATACATTTATATGTATCTTTTGAAGAACATACTTTTAAGCTTAATTTATTGATTTTTTTTCTCTCATAATTTCCACTTTTTGTATCCTATTTAAGAAGTCCTTGCCAAACTTAAGGTTGCTAAGATTTTCTCCTTTGTTTTCTTCTGGAAATTTTAGAGTTTTGCTTTTACATTTAGTTCTAGGATTTATTTATAATTAATGTTTTCATATGGTGTAAGATCGAAGTTCATATTTTTTTAATATAGGTAACCATCACTATAGAAAAGATTATTTCCCCCCAATGTTTGAAATAAGTAGACTGAATATAGATGGGTCTGTTATCCCTAGATCAATGGAGCATTTGTTCTGTTATATTGATCTATATATATATATCCTTATGCCAATACCATACTGTCTTAATAATGCTTGCTTTGCAGTAAGTTTTTAAATAGTGTAGTTGTCTTCTAAATTTGTTCTTTCTTTTCAAAGTTGTTTTGGCTATTTTAGGTTTTTTGCATTTCTGTGTGAATTATAGAATTAGCTCGACAATTTCTACCCAAAGTTTGTGGGCTTTTCATTTTGATTGTATTGAAGATATAGATGAATTTGGGAAGAATTGATATAACAGGATTGAATCTTTGGATTCATGAACGTAGCCTGCATTTGTTTACTTAGGTCTTCTTTATTTATCTCAGTGTGTTTTGTAGTTTAATGTACAGATTTGCACATCTTTTGCCAGATATATCCCTAAGAATTTCAGTTTTTGATACTATTGTAGATGACATTTAAAAAAATTTCAAGTTTTTGTTTGTTGACCTAGGCATATATTTGACTTTTTAATATACTAACCTTGCTAAACTTATTTATCATCTAGTAACTTACAAAATATATTCCTTAGGATTTCCTACATAAACAATCATGTCATTGTTATAGAAATAACAGTTTTACTTTGTCCTTTTTAATCTTGATGGCTTTTATTTCTTTTTCTTGCTAAATTTTCTGGCTAGACCTCCTAGTACAGCCTTGACTAGAACTGGTGTGAGGGAAATCCTTTCCATATTCCTCATCTTTAGGGAAAAGCACTCATTCTTTTATCCATTCTTTAGTTCCTAGCCCCATTGCCCTTCCTAAATTTTTTCTCATCATTTTCCTTCATCACACCTTGTTCTTTTTCTTTGCAATCATATCATGATATGTAACGACATGTTTTTATTTATCTGTTTAATGTATTTCTTTTCCTCACTTGTCCATGAAGGGAAGGACCATATGTGTTGTTATCCTTTGTGCAGTTCCTGGAACATAATAAGTATATAAGAAATAGTTTCTGAATTAGCTGTGAATGAATTCATGCCTTCCTGCTGTCTGTCAATGTTCTTTTAAATTAAACATCTAAGACAGCAAATAATACCACATGAGTTATTAACCTGAGAAATAATCGTTTTATTTATAAATGACTGAGTTGAAAGCTGATAGCCCACAGTAATTGCTTTCATGGCTTTGAATATAAACCTTACTGTTACAAAACACATTTTCATGAAAATGAATGTGTGGTGTTTGGAACTAGCTTTAATGTTTGTCTTCCTGTTTTTCCTTCTAGTTGCTATAATATAATAAGGAATTTTGTATGTTTTTCCTAATTGTACCCACTTTTCTACATTTTCTTAACAGATCTGGTGAATCTTCATTATTAAATATAATTATACATATAAATTATTGTTTAATAATAATATTAATTATTAAAAATAATATAAATTATTAAATATAAAGATACATATAATATTATCTGTTAATTTCTAAGTTAGGTGTGGGTTCTGAAGACTATTATATGAATGAACAAAAAGCTTGCATATTTGCGTGGAAGCTGAAAGTACGAAATTTTTAGATACCATTATACCAGTATCTAAAGAAAAAATTCAGTACCACATAGGTTTTTAAGTAGGAGCTGTATGATCATAGGTCATCCAGATGAAGGAAGGCTTCTGTACCAGACGTACAGAGGTAGACAGTGTTGTCTGAGTACTGTCTGAGATCTGGCAAGAATGAATCCAATAAACGTAGTTTTCTCCCATGAGCTCCTGTCTTGTTTCCTGTATTCTGTTTGTATTTGAAAAGATTTGGTGTGCATAACTTATTTTTGTCTTTTGGCTGTCAATCAAAGTTATTAGTGTAGTTTTTGTAACTCAGTTCTCAAGCTAGGAGTTTTTGCTGTATAATTTTAATGTTTCTGTTTTTACTTTCCTAAGCAGATAAGCGTAAAAACTTAGACTAATTGATTACTTATTAAACGTCCAGCTTGATATTCTTCTTTATATTATTTTAGTTTCAGTTTATATAACAAATGAGGTTTCTTATAAATAAAATTTAAAATGCACTAAAGGAGCTGTGTGAAATAGGAATTCTGTGTGAAGCTTTTGAATGTGAACATTTAGAACGTTTCACATGGTGGGAATTTACTATATGATTTTCATCAAATGAGGTACTTTTTAGTGTTGGTACTTAACGATACTGATTTCTAAAATTTGTATTTCTAAAAATGACGTATTACAGGATCTGAAAGGGCAAAAACTCATTGAGGCTTTGTATGAGTCAGCGTTTCATGGCCTATTTTTAATTAGTGAATTATTAGCATATAATTAGAAATGTTTTTAGATTCTTCATGGCTGACCTACCAATGAATGTAGCACTGCATTTAAAATATAGTTCACGTTATGTTCATATTTAATTGTTGCATTTTGTTTGCCCCTCTTGAAACGAAGGTCACATGTAAATAAATATACATTTTCTCCTACTGTAGGAAATACTCTGTTAGCATTAGTAGGTTTAGCTTTTTTAGGTTAACAATAACAAAAACAAAGCTCACACAAAATAAACCAAATTTGCTCTATGTCCCACAGATGTATCTTGTGATTTTTCCAGAAGGTACAAGGTATAATCCAGAGCAAACAAAAGTCCTTTCAGCTAGTCAGGCATTTGCTGCCCAACGTGGTAAGTAAAAATTTGAGTGTTTGAACAAATAATTTTCAAAGATAATAACATTTTTAGTTTTTCTTCCTGGAAAAGATACTTTTGTTTTACAGTTGAAGGAATGAATGTATTCATTCCTTGAATTAGTGTACATATTATCTCTTAGGAAATGAAGTTTCTTCTCCTTAATTCACTTTCATGCTATTATTACATATATCTGAGAAATTAAGTTGAAGTGCTTGTTACGATACATATTCTTGTGCCATGGATTTATTTAAAATCTATCTAAGTACATGATTATGTAGATGGAAGCTTTTTCTACAGTGTATGGGTTATATGTAATGGAGCTTCTGTTTTGTAAGATGACAGACCTAAGTTGGAGTCCAAACTCGTACTTTTATTAGCTGTATGGTTGCAACTTGGAAGTTGTGTAATGTTGCTGAGCTTGCTTCTTCATCTCTTAAAAGAACATATGCCTTATAAGTAGATCTAAATCTGTGTGAGGATTAGATTAGAAAATATGTCAAGTTTCTATTGGAGAAGTTACACAAAGTTGGTCCACAGTGCTTGGAAGCTGTTAATGTCTTCAACAATGGTAATGTTCTTAATATCCATATTTTAGAAAATTGAATAATTGGTACACCAATAAGCTATGCAATTTAACCAAATTGGGAAGTATACAGAAAACAGTGGCTATGCTATGTTCTTAGAGGTGTCTTTGAAGCTTGACTGTGATTTAGTGTGTGATCTCCATATGTTGATAGTCACTCACTGAGCAAATACCTTGTTGGTGACATTACAGCAGGGCCTATGACAGTGCTGTCTAATGGAACTTTCTGCAATAATGGTAAAGTTCTTCATCTGTTCTGTCCAGTGTGCTGGCTCCTACCAATGTGGTTTTTGAGCATTCAACATGTGACTAGTGCATGAAACTAATTTTTAATTTTATTTAATTTTAGTTTAATTAAAAATAAGGGGGAGTTTTTACAAGGTGCTTACAAGAGCAGATATGTCATAGGTATATGACATCATTTGTAACAGTACTTTTAAAAAATGCCAGTTTGTTTTTAAACACATGTCCTATTAAGTAAGGAGTGTTTCAGAATAGGAGGGTTCAGTTGGTCTCCCCATCTGCCAGCTCTCTTTTGACTTTCATTGCTTCCTCTGTCTAATAGACATGACGTTCTGTCATTTCAGTTGCTCTTTTGCAATGCCATTGTCTCTTTTGCCCTTTTCACATTTATTAAACAGAACAAAACAAAAACCACTCTCGAATCTGTAGTCTACCTTTGTTGTAAGCACTTTTTCCAGTACTCACTCTGCCCTCAATTTGTTTTGGTCTGATTTGAAATTCTCTCCCTAGACTTCTGTGGGGCTGTTCTCCATTATCCTCCCAACTCTCTGGCGATTACTTCCTAGCCTCCTTTCCAGCCTCTTTCTGCTTCATTTCTCCCTGCTACATGTGTTATTTCCAGTGTCAGGTTTTGGTGTTTGATTAATTTCACTTTTTGTTTCTCATGGTGGCCTTCCTCTAAATCCATGGCTTTAGCCATCGTTTCCTTGACTGCTGATGACTCGCAAAAGCTTCCTCCCCTCCATGTCTCTCTGCCTAACTCTGGACCCATTTGTACAATTGTCCATTAGAGAGCTTCGCTTGACTGGCCCAAAAGGATGTCTCAAACTCAGCATATTGAAGATAGAATTTATCCTTCCATGCATACACTCATATTTCTTGTCTTGGTAACTCCATCATTCAGTTTTTTTGCCTAAGTTTTATTCACAAAAAGAACAAATTGATAGCAGTTGCATACCTCTTATAGGAAACTTAGACATGGAGGAAGAAGCTGTTCAGATGGGGTCCTGCAGAAGTGCAGGCACTGTGGTAATATTTAAACTTTTCTCAGCTGTTCGAAGGGTTTTGTTTTAACTAATTTTCCTTAGACTTGTTTTAGGTATTTGGCTTTCTAATGGTTATAAGGGATGTGGAATTAAATGTATCTTAATCTGCCACCTGGACCCATTAAAGTAAGCCCCTATGGTGGTTTTTTTTTTTTAATTGCCATGGTTAAAACCATAGTTGCTAGCGAAGGTGACATACTTAAGCTTTTTGAACTCTCTTAAAAGAAAACAGAAATTTAATGATGTGTCTATAATGGCAAACCAGATACCTAGAATTTCCATGTTATTCATAGGGTGAATAACACTGGCGATTGTAGAGATTTGAGAGTTCTTTCAAAACAGGAGAACAAAGGGAATAAGCTACAAAGCAATTTTTTTCTTTGTAGACTTAACTGAATAAAAATTATTTTTATGTCTCAAACATCATATGAACAAATTTAGTTGGCAAATGGCAAGCTAATAATATTTTATAATATAGGATATTAATATACTTAATATTACAAAAGTGCTTCATAATTAGAAAAGACATAAACTAGAAAAATGGGAAAAGGGCATGAATAAGAAATTCAAGAGATACAAATGACCCACACACTTGAACAAATGTTTATTCTTTCTCATAATCAAAGAAGTAGAAATTAAATGAATACTTTGAAGCCAACTTCTGAGAAAGCATAGCAAACAAGAAAGCTAGTGCTCAGCTTTGTGTGGTAACGGCACTCTCGCTCTTAAGAAGGTGTGTTTGCTCCCTGTGGCTGCTCTCAGGCAGGGCCACAAACTTGGTGGCTTAAAACACCACAGATTTCTTCTCTTACATTTGAGAAGTCTGAAATGGGTCTTACTCAGCTGAAATCAAGGTGTTGGCAGGGCTGCAGTCCTTTGTGGAGGCTTGGGGGGATCTTGTTCTCCTGTACGGGGTCCTGTGCTTGGTTCGGGGTCCTGTGCTTGGTCTGGGATCCTGTGCTTGGTTCGAGGTCCTGTGCTGGGTCCAGTGCTCTGCTTTTACCACCTTGAAGTTCATCTGGAAATGGCACTGGCTCGCCCACACCATATAGCTGACTCTGGTTCTCCCTCCTCCTCACTCGCTCTAAACCTGTGTTTTTGGCTGATTTCTAATCTCTCTTTCCTTGGCCCTTCTGCAGCTTGCAGGGCCTTCTGCAGCTCTTGTCTGCCCCAGCCCCGGGGTCTGCCCATCCCAGTGCTGGGCTGTTCTGTTCCTGCCCTGCCTTTCCTCAGCCCTTGGCAACCCTGTTTGTTTTCTCCCTTCCTTAGCAGTGGAGAACATCGTAAGATCAATGCTGACTGCCTTCTGCAGCCAAGCCAGGCCATTTCATTTCAGCCGAGCCAAGTCTGTGTGGAGCAGTTCTTTTATTTTTCTCCTTTTGACTACCTCATGGTTTTCACGGATTTTTGTTCTCTTCACATTCAAGGATTTTTTGCTTTCAGAAAGTTATATTTCTCTGGAAAGAGTGCACCCAATATCCCTTTTGATTTCAAAATCTTAATGTGGAGTCTCTTGACTTGGATTTCTTTGGAAGAAACTGCTGAAGCTGCCATGTCTAAGAAGAAAACTTTGGAGAAAAATTTTCTTCTTAGACATGGCAACGTCAACAGTTTCTAAGCTCTTGATTCCGTCTACCCTGTCTCCATCGTTGCCTCAGTCATCTGCCTTACTTCTCTGCAGGGGTTTCTCCCAGCTTGCAAATGTACTCCAATTCTGAAATAACTAAGTCTATAGCTGTGCAAAGAGAAGTCTGGGCCCCTTGCTTTCTTGTGTTTGACTCCATCCACTCTCCAGAAATGAATCCCACTTCTCACTTAACCACTGACCTCCAAAGCATCGTATCATTTGTGTCAGTTGTCATATTTGTTAACTTTCACATAACTTTTGACATTATTTATACCTTTATAACCAGGAAATAATTTTAACTTTATTGTAGAAATAAACAATGGAGTATAATTTTTCTTGTTGAAGATAAATATCACCTCCTCTTCCTTTAAACATCTCTTCCCTTTGTTTTTGTATTACATTGGTTTCCCCCCTTTTTTTATTTCCTGGGTTGTCGTATTCCCTGTTATTATTTTTACCTTTTTTTTTTTAATGTGGATGTTTCCGGAGTCTGTATTTCTTGCCTTTTCATCTTCTGCCCTTTATTATTCTCAGCCACTGCCATTACTTCAGTTATCCATTCCCATGGTTTCCACATGCTTAGCTTCGGTTGATTCTTGCCATTTTACAGACCATATTTCCAACTACTTCTAGAATGTTTTGTTCCTTCAGCCTCAGTATGCCCAATTTGAACTCATGTTCTCTCTCCCCCTTCTTTCTTCCTTCTTTCTTTCGCTCTCTCTCCCTTCCTTCTTTTCTTTCCCTCCCTCCCTTTCTTCCTTCCCTCACTCGTTCTCTCTTGCTTGCTTGCTTTCTCTCCTCTCTCTCTTTTCTTTCTGCATTCTTCTCCCTCCCTCTCTTCCTTCTCTCCCCCACTCCCCAACTTCCAGGCTAAAGCAGTCCTCCTGAGTAGTTAGGACTACAGACATACACGTGCCACCGCGCCCGGCTCCGTGTTCTCTTTGTTTCCCTGCCTCCTGCTCTTCCACTTATCTTTGCATGGCAGGTGGGTGCACGCAGGCATGCTCTGCATGTCTTCCTCTTGGCCATTCCCCTTCTAGTTATGGTGTGGCTTTATCTACGCGTTCTGGAGCAGAAGCCTAGTCACAAAGCTATTTTTTTAAAACATTCATGATAATTCATTTCCTTTTATGTTTTAAAAATACTAGCTTTCTGTCTTTATTTCCTTACTAACTTACTTGGATGCCAGTAATTAGTTGTTTTAGTGAACACCACAGAGTGATATTTTGAAACTTTGGACTTCATAAAGTTGGATGAGCTCCAGTAGCAAAGAAGGAAGTGTTAACTAGTTTAACTGACAAATAAATGCTTCCCAGCTTGGTGTGCGATTGAGATTTTTGTTGCAAGTTTGTGAATCAATTTAACTGCCCCTGCCCTGGGGACTAAAGTCAGATACGTGCTTGTGGGAATCTTTGTCTTTCCCACACCACCCTGCATTTTAAAACCTCTTGTGTGGGACAGTCCCACCATGTAATAGCTGTTCTTCCTTACTCAGCTACTTTCCCTCCAGAGAGGCCAGTAGAAAATCTAGACTAGTTTTTTATAGTCTATTTTCATGTCACTTATTGAGAGCTACTGTTTTCTGTTAAATTGTCAGTAAATATTTTAATCAAGGAAAAGGGAGGTAATAGGAAGGAGAGAAGAACAAATCCTTAACCCTAGTAGGAACCTAATGAATGGGATTTGTTCTGGATAATTGCAGTAGTCCCCCAGCTAAAGAACCTTTTAAAAATATGTCAGATATACCCAAGAGGATTGAAATCGTATGTTCATACAAAAGCTTGTTCACCTGCAGCCTTCATATGCAATTCCTATGAATGTTCATAGCAGCATTATTCATAATAGCCAAAGTATGGATGCAACCCAAATGTCCATGAAGCAATTAATAGGTAAACAAAATGTGATCTGTTCACACAGTGGAATACTAACTATTCAGCCATAAAAAGGAATGAAGCACTGAGTCCTGCAGCCACACAGATGAACCTCAGATCCATGCTGAGCGAAAGAAGCCAGAAACAGGAGGCCATGTGCTGTGTGACTGTATTTCTAGGAAATCTTGAGTCACCATGGGCAAGATGCTATCACCTTTGTTCAGTGGCCAGAAGCGAGGGCACTAATATTTACCCTTGCCGGGGTCTACTAGATTGAAGCGTTTCCGCTAGGCCATAAACTTCCAACACGGTGACTTGTACATGTAGATATTTGATCAATATATAGCAAATGAATATTGATTTAAACAGAAAAAGGCAAGTGAGAGTGCTTTCTAAACTTAGAGCCCTAAATATATGAGGTTGTGGAATTAATAGATTCTGTTGTGTGTGTTTGAGGGAATTTAAAAATAATTTAGATGTTAAACAGTATATTGTGGAGGTGTTTTGTAACTAATTAATGACGGCACTGAATTGACTTCTAGGCCTTGCAGTATTAAAACATGTGCTAACACCACGAATAAAGGCAACTCACGTTGCTTTTGATTGCATGAAGAATTATTTAGATGCAATTTATGATGTTACGGTGGTTTATGAAGGGAAAGACGATGGAGGGCAGCGAAGAGAGTCACCGACCATGACGGGTAAGTGTGTTCACGCACCTGAAATGCCTGTACACGGTATATACAGTGCACATGTTTATGTAGAATTCAGTTTTACAAAGTAGGTTAAGTGTACTTTTTTCCTTCATTACATTTACCCGGTATATTTTTCAAGATGTTATTAAGATGTAACAGTGGAGATTTCATTAGTCCTGCAAAGTGTGGTATTTCTTGGCTGTCGTGTGAGTCCTGTGGACTCACCAATTATCATTAATCCAGCCTCTTTCTACTCAAAGTTCACACTTAAAAGGAAAGCTCTGTAAAAGGGAGGAAGACGTGAAGAAGGAGCACGCCCGGCAGTACTGAGTGCACGTTATTAGTCAGTGCTGCCCTTTTGCTGTATTTTTCGTAAAATATTTATTAAATTTGGGTGTCATTGTGACAAGAAGAAATGCAGTTAAGTGTGACCTTTTTTTTTCCCCAAACATGTTAGGTTTTAAGAACCTTTGAGCTATTGTCAGATATAACCAGAAAAAAATAGAATTTTAAGTGAGCAGGATAACTTAGTTAAACTAACCAAACATAGTGTTAGCTGTTAGAGAAATGTAAACATGGAAATAGGCAAACAGGGAAGTGTGTGGAGTTTCTGTTTCCTTTTCAAAATATCTGTTTGAGCTGGGGTTGAGAGAGAACACTAGGCTTCATGGGGTTTTTTTGTTTTTCGTTTTTTGTTTTGAGACAAGAGTTTCGCTCTGTCGCCCAGGCTGGAGTGCAGTGGCGCAATCTTGGCTCACTGCAACCTCCGCCTCCCACGTTCACACGATTCTCCTGCCTCAGCCTCCTGAGTAGCTGGAACTACATGCGTGTGCCACCATGCATGACTAATATTTGTATTTTTAGTAGATATGCGATTTCACCTTGTTGGCCAGGCTGGTCTCAAACTCCTTACCTCAGGTGATCCACGCACCTCGGCCTCCCAAATGAGCTTTGTGTTTTTACCTCATCAGCTGTTTGGGGTTGAGCCACTATGTATGTCAGTGTGCTTGTATCAGTAGGATCTACTGAGGGCAGATGTTCAAAATATGAGCCTCCAGCACGTTTTACATGGAAACCCTCACCTGAAGCATTCGTCTGAAGTTGATGTGCCTTGGAAATTTTATAGAGTAATATTTTTAACTACAACAAAACATTTATAAAAGTAGACATTATTAAAGCATTCAGAAGTGAGCAAGGATAGAAATTATTCTGCCCAACCTTACACGTAGGCCTTCTAGACGTAGTACTGTGCACCGTTACATTATCTAACACTGTCTGTGTGTCATCTTTGGATGTTAGGGATTTTTCCAAAGTTCAGTGAGATTATAGTTGTCAAATGATTAGTCTGTTAAATAATGATAAGATGAGGGTCACTCAGGTTTTAAAAGAAAAGCTCTTTGACTGAAAGAGAGAGCAGCTGTCTACTGCAGAAAGTTAGGGAGGGAGGCTGGAGGAGTGAGGCCCAGGGGCTAGCTAGTATAAAAATTGGTTATGGTCGAAGGAAAAAAAAATGTAACATATTTATATCTGAAAGATGATTGTTCTCATAATTGTATATAACACAGAGTAATTGTAAAGTAGAAAACTAAGGTGTTTTTCATTTTAGATGTAAATGTTTAGAATATGTAATGCATCAGTTTAAAAATTAAAACTGTACGAAATGCACAGTGAAACGTCTTCCTTGCTTTCCACCCTGCTACCTGGCCTTCCCTTCTCCTTCCTAGCGATAACCAGTTTTCTTAATTTGTTGTGCGTTGTATGTGCAAATTTAAGTATATCTTCTTATTCTACCATCCCTCCCTTCTTACAGAAAAGTGGCATATTAATATTTTTCTCTTTTAAACTATCGAAGGAGTTACTTACCTATTTTTGCATTTGAAAACAGACAGTTCATCAAGATTGTCGTTGGTTTATTAAACATAGTTTAAGATTAAACAAGTGTTTATAACCAATGAAAAACAGATAGACTCCCCATAATAACCTTGTTTAAATGCTGCTACTTTTATCATGTCCCCTCCTGTCTAAGAACCCCTTGGTTCAGCAGAGCTCATGGGTAAGGCCAGCCTCTGTTGCCTGCCATCGGAGGAATGCGTTCCAGCCGTGATCTCTGCCTTGCCTTCGCTTCCTCCTGTGCTGTGCCGTGAAGCCTCGGCCGTGGTGAAGCTGGCTGACTGAGTCCTCCTGCACCCCATGCATATTCAGTAGTTGAAGGCTTTGTGTGGCCAATCCTGCTTTCCACAGGAAACCACCCTCTCTTTTGTTGCCCTCATCCAAGGCTACTGTTCTCCCACAGTGACAGGCGGCACCTTTCCCAGCATAGCACTGTGCCTTCTCCTGCCCCTGCTCTTGCAGTACTGCTGTGGCACTGATGGCGTGTGTTACAGTGCTGGCACTTAGCACAGGGCTCTGCCTTTCTCTCTTCCCAGCCGCATCATAAGTGCCTTGAGGAAGCCAAAACCTTCTGTGAGTTGCATTGCCTGGGTTCCAACCTCCCACTGCCCTGCTTATCCTCTGCTACATGTGAGCTGACTGTGGCTTTGGGGTGGTCACTGCCTATGTGTATTCATTACAAATTGTCTCCTTTTGAAAGATTGACCTTTCTGACTTACCCAGATACCATAAAGAAAATAAAATCTTATCACTTCAGTCAAGGATAAAGTATTTCTGAATTAAAGGAAAAATACACCAGAGTAAAATCAAGACTGAAAGACAAACTGGGAAATTATTTACAACCTAGATCATAGAAAAGGGGTCATTTCCTTCTTGCGTAAAGTGCACTTACAAATTGATAAGAAGATGACTGATAACTAGAAAGAAAAATGGGTAAAGAACAACAATAGACATTTCACATTTAACCTCATTCATGATAAGGTAAGTGCAAATGAAAACTACAGGGGATACCTTTTTTTTTTTTAATCCATTAGATTGGCAAACATCCCAAGGTTTGATCATAGGCTCAGTGGGTGAGATTCAAGTATTATCAGGCATTTTTATACTTTGCTGTTAGGAATGCAATGTAGTACAAACCTTTGTAGAAGTTGCTTTGGAAATGTCTCTCAGATGTACAAATGCATTCACATTTTAGATTTAGCATTCCCGCTTTCTGAGACATTATTCAACATGTATACGTGTGCACATAAGATATAATAATAACACGTTTTTCCTTCTAGTGTGTTGCTTTTAACCTGTAGCTTGAAAAAACTCTGCTTTCATTGTTTTTTTTTGTTTTCTGTCACTGGCTCAGCCCTGCTTTCAATTGTTTATATGAATTGATGGGTGTTCTGGTCTGGTTATAATCTACTTTAGTTTAAGAGTCACTTTAAATTATATGACATCTGATATAAGTTGTGTTAGGTAGAAAATTCTGTAACTTGGAATACTGTAAGTACTTTGTGGCCACATTTCATTAGTATTAAATATTATCTCTATATATAGTAGGCTATTTAATATTCATATTTTATGATGCAATTAAGAAATAATTTTTTTCTGAAGTTGGTAGATTGTTGATATGCCATGGCCCAGTGTTTCTCAAAGCATTCTGGGGGATCACTGTTTGTCAGAATTAGCTGCAGTGATTGTTGAACATGCAGGGCCTCTGCTCCACTCCACGTTGCTACCAGGACGCTCTGCAGGTGAGAGCTGGGAAGCTGTAGAAGCTGCAGTGCTAACAAATGCTACAGGAATTCTTGTAGTCACCTTCATGAGGTCTTATGTTGAGGAGAGGCAGCCAGTAGTGTCCCTTGTCCTTCCCGTTTTATGGTGTAAGTTTCATTTTAAGGGAGGTATAAATCAAAGCCCACCTGGGCATTCTCTCATGGTTCACTGCTTCTTGTAATCATGGAAGATGTCATTGCGGCAGAGACGAAACAGTGTAGTTTGATTACTATTGATTTTTTTTTAATTATTTTTCTGAAGTGGCTGTTGTAATGTAATAAATTGTGTGCTTAAGGACAACCTTTGGTATTCTATTTGAGTATTGTGTATGATCCTAGTTAAGTTTTTTCTACCAGTATTTTCATATTACAACATATTTACTTTCCATTTCTATTAATATTTTTATATTTAAAGTATGGAGGCCGGGCACAGTGGCTCACGCGTGTAATCCCAGCATTTTGGGATGCTGAGGCGGGTGGATCACAAGGTCAGGAGTTCTAGACCAGCGTGACCAACACGGTGAAATCCCATCTCTACTAAAAATACAAAAATTAGCCGGGCACAGTGGTAGGCACCTGTAATTCCAGCTACTCAGGAGGCTGAGGTAGGGGAATCACTTGAATCCGGGAGGCAGCAGTTGCAGTGAGCTAAGATCGTGCCACTGGACTCTAGCCTGGCTGACAGAGCAAGAATCCGCCTAAAAAAAAAGGGATCAGGGAAGAGGGGATTACAGATAACCCAAAGAAGAAGGAAAAATCTCCACAAGTTCACCTGTCCAGCGGTAACCCCAATTTGGATATTTTCCTTTAACAATTTGGATATTTTCCTTTAAATCCTCTTTTTTATAATGTCTATATGTTGGAGAGAGTATGTGCCTTTACGTATTTTTTAAAGATGAGATTTCTGTGTGTGTCTATATCTCCTGTTCTTCATATTTTCTTGTGTGTTATAAACAGCTGTACATGTCAGTATATATACTTCCGTAACTTTTTTTTAAAGGCTATATAGTGTTCATTGATGTGATTTAACAGCAGTTATCTCCCCGGCTTCATCTTGTTGGAATGTGGGTCCTGTGTGTTGCCTTCAGAGCAAATGGGGCTTGGTTTTGCAGCAAGTAGACCTGTGACCTGTACGAATAGTTGGAAGACTTTCTCTATTACCCAAGTGTATCAGTATACTTTAGTGCCTACTAGAAATTTATGGGTAGAAAAACAATAATATCTTAGAGTATTTTTTCCTAGATTCCCTAAGGTGCTATAGGGTGATTTTTACTCATGTAACATGAACTATCCTTCAACTAAGATAGTTTTTGCAAATGTGGATATATAAGTACTTTATTAAACCTATAGGAAGTATTTATACCACTTATTTCCTCCCTTCAGTGTTAGAACCTCCTAAATGGCATTTGACATTGAACTGCTTTCCACTTTGTCGCATGCTCCTCTCATTGTCCCTACCTGGGTCCTGAACCTTAGGGACTTGGCTGTTATAGCCCCACCATGGCTACGCTGGGCCTTGGTCGTCTCTGAGACTTAGTTTCTTCATCTTACAAGGAGATAATAACAGCCCCTGCCTGCGTAGAATTGCAGAGATCAAATGAAATAATTAACATACTCAAAAGCATGCCGTAAACACATTCTGAGCACATGTACGTTTTAGGAAAAACAAAAGGACCCATGCACATTTCGGAGTGCTTTTGTCTCAGCAGCACTGCCTCTTCTTCCAAAGCTGACGTCTTAGTAGAGGCCCTGCCACGTCCTGAGCACTGTACTCCACGAAGCATTCTATTTCTGACATTCGAAATGCAGTCTGTTCCATCTTCCTTACAATCTGTATGCCAGCACTTGAAATACCGGGTATCTGCAGTGTTGACCAGGTGATTACTTAATTATGGAAATGTTGAGGTGGAGATCTAGATAATTCAGTGAAGGCAGGAAAATTGGTGTCGGAATCTGTCTTTTTATGTGTCAGAAATAGAAATAAGATAGGGTGAGAAGTAATTTGTGGCTAAAACACTATAATAGCTAACACATAGTGCATACTGTGTGCCAAGCACTCCTGTAGGTGCTTGAAATCTTCTATTATTATTATCCCTACTTTATAGACTTGCACCCTTAGGCACAGAGAGGCGGACAGTTGTCCAAGGTTACCCCAGAGGTGGAGATCCAGGCTACCTGACTCCACCATGTGTGCTCTTCCCTAGGGCACAGTTGTGCTGCTAAAAATACTTTTTAAGCAGTTCTTTGATTATTCAGATGATAGTACTGTAGGAAAATTAAGACAAAAATAATGAAAAATTAAAATCTTTATTTTAGTGTTTTGCACATGTATTATTAAAGCCAGTTTACTCCTGGAAGTGTGTAAGAATACAGGGTATTTTTGATCACCTAAATGCTGCATGTTACTAAGAGCTCGACACTGAAGTCAAGAAGAGCAGTTGCAGAGAGTACTTAGCAAAAACGGGAAGTGTGTGGGGTTGAAGGAGCAAAGACAAGTCTTCCTCGGACGGTGGAGTGTAGAATTCATCATTTCTCAGAACACGTCTTTGAACGCATTTTCAATTTGAGGCCAAAGGTCTCAGCCTCCCACTCGGCATACCTCCCTACCTTAGTCAGCTCTTAAATCTTAGGAATATTTCTTTGTTCTTCAAGGAACTTAAATATGTTAACATTCTTACCTGTCCACAGGGAGCCCCCTACAAAGAAGGGAGTTTCTAGTCTCCGTTCTTTCTTGGAATAAATAATAGCCTCATACCTTGTGCAATCGAGGCTGAAAAAGACTGTCTCCTTTTTTCAAATAAGCAAGTCTTAGAAACTACAGTTGTTTACAGGGCTCATGGCTATTCCACAGTAATAATTTTGGTTCTTTTACCAATTATATAATATGTTAAAATATGGCAAGTATCAGGAAAGCAAGGAGTGGCAATGATTAGAAACCAATGGCCAAGTTAGAGAGGAGGGGCAATTGCTCCCCCAAGTTTGTTGTGGCTGTGTAGCAGTCAGTGACGAGAAGCTGTGTGTCAGGCGACAAGCAAAGTTGAGGATTATCAGGCGCCTGTGAGTGCCCAGCTGTGTGCCAGGTCAGGAGGTGCCATCGTGAGCCAGACCAGCTTCCTCTCGGCCCCTGTGGAGCTCGCAGTCTGGTGGGGAGGCAGCAGTCACCATGGTGACAGGTGACACACTAGGATGGGGCTGGTGGTGGTAGGCATTTGCGGGTCCCTTCAGAGAGGTGAGTATGGACTTAGAGGAGGCTCCAGCTTCCTATTCCTGGGCTGTCTATAGCACTAAAAGTTGTCACATGAAAAATAACATTTGGTACTATTGATTTAACTTAATGACTTATGTAATTGTAGTTGACTTAGAAATTATAACATGCTCTTCTACTTCAGCTTGAAACCCCCAACCACCAGTTTATAATCCTTTTTTTTTAACTTTTGTTTATTTTTCCTAAGGAATCTGTACTTTTTCTTCATTTTACAACTTTTTTTGTCCTGTTACCTTATTTTCATTTTTACTTTATATGACCATGAGTTCTAAAATAGTAAAAAAAAAGAATTATTTTTGTTCTTTGTTAGAATTTCTCTGCAAAGAATGTCCAAAAATTCATATTCACATTGATCGTATCGACAAAAAAGATGTCCCAGAAGAACAAGAACATATGAGAAGATGGCTGCATGAACGTTTCGAAATCAAAGATAAGTGAGTAACAACAGTTCCAGCACTTCCGGAACTTCGGTTCAACTAGATTTCAGTATAGTCAACAATTTGAAACCAATGTAAATGGTTATATTGTCTCAAGAATACATTTTATAAATTCAAATCAAATTTTATGCATGTCTGATCGTGTTTTAAACTTTACTTGTACAAATCAGTCTAAAAGAACTTGTTACAGTGGGCCCATCTACTTGCATTGATAGTATTTCTTGGACAATACTACGTGATAACATAGCAAATTAAATTAAAAACAACAACAAACACACAAAAAAACTTTCCAGTGTCAGATGCCCGGACCTACCTGTCAGGTCACATAAAGTGGTGTTACTGTGTGAGGTCTGGCTGTTGGGCCAGTGTGCGCAGAAAAGCAAGGGAGGGGTAGAGGACTATGCGGACGTGCAGGTGGACATGATGCTGTTATATTTGTTGGAAATAGAAGGGGGCAGTTGACAGCGTTATATCCAAAGTGTCTTCTGTGGTTAATTATATTCAGAAATTTTAGCCAATTGTTTTATTCTCTAAATATGTACTTTCTGCTCAAGAAACTATCATTGTTCTTCTTTTCCTTGTTTTACAGTACAGTGTTTTTAATTAACCCTCCTGGGTTAACTTTACCAGGTGAAAATGATTAAAAGTGTAATAGGTTAACAATGAAACTTTAAGCTTCTATTTTTCATTGACTCTTAACTGTACATGATGTAATGTATTCAGCGAGCCATTCAGGACCACTTTGGCCCATGGAAGAAATTTAAAAGTAAGATCTACATGTATTGACATGAAAATATGTTCTCAGAAAAAAGACTAATGTATTTAATGTCCTACTTATTTTATAAGTATTTAGAATACCTCTGGACATTTTAAAACAATGATTATTGCTAGGGTGTGTGATTTATAAAGCAATAGAAGCGCTTTCCCTTTCTGTTTGTGTTTTAGATTATTATATCGGGTATGTTCTGCTATCATAACTTTACAAATCTTATGTAATATGGGAAAATGAGTTAACTATGCTGTTTTCCTTCTTTTACCTGCCTTTCTAATTCTGTGGGAATAAAGGCGTTTTTGAGACAGCCCAGGTGCAGTGAGCAGTCCATATCCATGGATTCCACATTCATGGATTCCACCAAGCACAGACCAAAAATACTCAGAAAAAAAGGGGGCTGGCTGTGGTGGCTCATGCATGTAATCCCAGCACTTTGGGAGGCTAAGGCAGGCAAATTGCTTGAGCCCAGAAGTTCAAGACAGCCTGGGCAACATGGCAAAACCCTGTCTCTACAGAAAATACAAAAATTAGCCAGGCGTGCACCTGTAGTCCCAGCTACTCAGGAGGCCGAGGTGCGAGGATCACCTGAGCCTGGAAGGTTGAGACTGCAGTGAGCTATCATTGTGCCAACTCCAGCCTGGTAACAGAGTGCCTTTTTTCAAAAAAAAAAAAAAAAAAGGATTTGGGAGGATATGCATATGTTATATTCAAATACATGCCATTTTATTCATATATCAGGGACTTGAGCATCCTTTGATCTTGGTCTCTGCCGGGTATCCTGGGACCAGCCCCCTGTCGATACAGAGGGACCGCTGTCTAAGAACCGCTGGTCCTATCTTTGACTTCTGGCGGAATAGGAGCTCCATGTAAAAAGGAGGAGAAGCTGCAGCGGGTTATTAGCCATTTGTGAGTCAGGTCACTGTAAAACTTTATCAAAAGTTTAAAAGACAAAAAGCATCCTCATAAAATGCCTTAAAACCACCTGTTGAAATATTACATATACAATTCATGTATACTAATCATAGAGCATATTAAAGATATTTTAGAAGACTAGAAACTTCTATTAAACCAAGTTTCTGGATGTTTCCGTATTCATCCTTATTTTCCAGGGACCTGCATAACTTTTCCAGCGTGTAATAGCTACCTGATTGATATTTTTTGAATTGAAATACTGAAGTGACTAAAATCTAAACTTTTTCCATTCTGGCCATAGGATGCTTATAGAATTTTATGAGTCACCAGATCCAGAAAGAAGAAAAAGATTTCCTGGGAAAAGTGTTAATTCCAAATTAAGTATCAAGAAGACTTTACCATCAATGTTGATCTTAAGTGGTTTGACTGCAGGCATGCTTATGACCGATGCTGGAAGGAAGCTGTATGTGAACACCTGGATATATGGAACCCTACTTGGCTGCCTGTGGGTTACTATTAAAGCATAGACAAGTAGCTGTCTCCAGACAGTGGGATGTGCTACATTGTCTATTTTTGGCGGCTGCACATGACATCAAATTGTTTCCTGAATTTATTAAGGAGTGTAAATAAAGCCTTGTTGATTGAAGATTGGATAATAGAATTTGTGACGAAAGCTGATATGCAATGGTCTTGGGCAAACATACCTGGTTGTACAACTTTAGCATCGGGGCTGCTGGAAGGGTAAAAGCTAAATGGAGTTTCTCCTGCTCTGTCCATTTCCTATGAACTAATGACAACTTGAGAAGGCTGGGAGGATTGTGTATTTTGCAAGTCAGATGGCTGCATTTTTGAGCATTAATTTGCAGCGTATTTCACTTTTTCTGTTATTTTCAATTTATTACAACTTGACAGCTCCAAGCTCTTATTACTAAAGTATTTAGTATCTTGCAGCTAGTTAATATTTCATCTTTTGCTTATTTCTACAAGTCAGTGAAATAAATTGTATTTAGGAAGTGTCAGGATGTTCAAAGGAAAGGGTAAAAAGTGTTCATGGGGAAAAAGCTCTGTTTAGCACATGATTTTATTGTATTGCGTTATTAGCTGATTTTACTCATTTTATATTTGCAAAATAAATTTCTAATATTTATTGAAATTGCTTAATTTGCACACCCTGTACACACAGAAAATGGTATAAAATATGAGAACGAAGTTTAAAATTGTGACTCTGATTCATTATAGCAGAACTTTAAATTTCCCAGCTTTTTGAAGATTTAAGCTACACTATTAGTACTTCCCTTTGTCTGTGCCATAAGTGCTTGAAAACGTTAAGGTTTTCTGTTTTGTTTTGTTTTTTTAATATCAAAAGAGTCGGTGTGAACCTTGGTTGGACCCCAAGTTCACAAGATTTTTAAGGTGATGAGAGCCTGCAGACATTCTGCCTAGATTTACTAGCGTGTGCCTTTTGCCTGCTTCTCTTTGATTTCACAGAATATTCATTCAGAAGTCGCGTTTCTGTAGTGTGGTGGATTCCCACTGGGCTCTGGTCCTTCCCTTGGATCCCGTCAGTGGTGCTGCTCAGCGGCTTGCACGCAGACTTGCTAGGAAGAAATGCAGAGCCAGCCTGTGCTGCCCACTTTCAGAGTTGAACTCTTTAAGCCCTTGTGAGTGGGCTTCACCAGCTACTGCAGAGGCATTTTGCATTTGTCTGTGTCAAGAAGTTCACCTTCTCAAGCCAGTGAAATACAGACTTAATTTGTCATGACTGAACGAATTTGTTTATTTCCCATTAGGTTTAGTGGAGCTACACATTAATATGTATCGCCTTAGAGCAAGAGCTGTGTTCCAGGAACCAGATCACGATTTTTAGCCATGGAACAATATATCCCATGGGAGAAGACCTTTCAGTGTGAACTGTTCTATTTTTGTGTTATAATTTAAACTTCGATTTCCTCATAGTCCTTTAAGTTGACATTTCTGCTTACTGCTACTGGATTTTTGCTGCAGAAATATATCAGTGGCCCACATTAAACATACCAGTTGGATCATGATAAGCAAAATGAAAGAAATAATGATTAAGGGAAAATTAAGTGACTGTGTTACACTGCTTCTCCCATGCCAGAGAATAAACTCTTTCAAGCATCATCTTTGAAGAGTCGTGTGGTGTGAATTGGTTTGTGTACATTAGAATGTATGCACACATCCATGGACACTCAGGATATAGTTGGCCTAATAATCGGGGCATGGGTAAAACTTATGAAAATTTCCTCATGCTGAATTGTAATTTTCTCTTACCTGTAAAGTAAAATTTAGATCAATTCCATGTCTTTGTTAAGTACAGGGATTTAATATATTTTGAATATAATGGGTATGTTCTAAATTTGAACTTTGAGAGGCAATACTGTTGGAATTATGTGGATTCTAACTCATTTTAACAAGGTAGCCTGACCTGCATAAGATCACTTGAATGTTAGGTTTCATAGAACTATACTAATCTTCTCACAAAAGGTCTATAAAATACAGTCGTTGAAAAAAATTTTGTATCAAAATGTTTGGAAAATTAGAAGCTTCTCCTTAACCTGTATTGATACTGACTTGAATTATTTTCTAAAATTAAGAGCCGTATACCTACCTGTAAGTCTTTTCACATATCATTTAAACTTTTGTTTGTATTATTACTGATTTACAGCTTAGTTATTAATTTTTCTTTATAAGAATGCCGTCGATGTGCATGCTTTTATGTTTTTCAGAAAAGGGTGTGTTTGGATGAAAGTAAAAAAAAAAATAAAATCTTTCACTGTCTCTAATGGCTGTGCTGTTTAACATTTTTTGACCCTAAAATTCACCAACAGTCTCCCAGTACATAAAATAGGCTTAATGACTGGCCCTGCATTCTTCACAATATTTTTCCCTAAGCTTTGAGCAAAGTTTTAAAAAAATACACTAAAATAATCAAAACTGTTAAGCAGTATATTAGTTTGGTTATATAAATTCATCTGCAATTTATAAGATGCATGGCCGATGTTAATTTGCTTGGCAATTCTGTAATCATTAAGTGATCTCAGTGAAACATGTCAAATGCCTTAAATTAACTAAGTTGGTGAATAAAAGTGCCGATCTGGCTAACTCTTACACCATACATACTGATAGTTTTTCATATGTTTCATTTCCATGTGATTTTTAAAATTTAGAGTGGCAACAATTTTGCTTAATATGGGTTACATAAGCTTTATTTTTTCCTTTGTTCATAATTATATTCTTTGAATAGGTCTGTGTCAATCAAGTGATCTAACTAGACTGATCATAGATAGAAGGAAATAAGGCCAAGTTCAAGACCAGCCTGGGCAACATATCGAGAACCTGTCTACAAAAAAATTAAAAAAAATTAGCCAGGCATGGTGGCGTACACTGAGTAGTTTGTCCCAGCTACTCGGGAGGGTGAGGTGGGAGGATCGCTTCAGCCCAGGAGGTTGAGATTGCAGTGAGCCATGGACATACCACTGCACTACAGCCTAGGTAACAGCACGAGACCCCAACTCTTAGAAAATGAAAAGGAAATATAGAAATATAAAATTTGCTTATTATAGACACACAGTAACTCCCAGATATGTACCACAAAAAATGTGAAAAGAGAGAGAAATGTCTACCAAAGCAGTATTTTGTGTGTATAATTGCAAGCGCATAGTAAAATAATTTTAACCTTAATTTGTTTTTAGTAGTGTTTAGATTGAAGATTGAGTGAAATATTTTCTTGGCAGATATTCCGTATCTGGTGGAAAGCTACAATGCAATGTCGTTGTAGTTTTGCATGGCTTGCTTTATAAACAAGATTTTTTCTCCCTCCTTTTGGGCCAGTTTTCATTACGAGTAACTCACACTTTTTGATTAAAGAACTTGAAATTACGTTATCACTTAGTATAATTGACATTATATAGAGACTATGTAACATGCAATCATTAGAATCAAAATTAGTACTTTGGTCAAAATATTTACAACATTCACATACTTGTCAAATATTCATGTAATTAACTGAATTTAAAACCTTCAACTATTATGAAGTGCTCGTCTGTACAATCGCTAATTTACTCAGTTTAGAGTAGCTACAACTCTTCGATACTATCATCAATATTTGACATCTTTTCCAATTTGTGTATGAAAAGTAAATCTATTCCTGTAGCAACTGGGGAGTCATATATGAGGTCAAAGACATATACCTTGTTATTATAATATGTATACTATAATAATAGCTGGTTATCCTGAGCAGGGGAAAAGGTTATTTTTAGGAAAACCACTTCAAATAGAAAGCTGAAGTACTTCTAATATACTGAGGGAAGTATAATATGTGGAACAAACTCTCAACAAAATGTTTATTGATGTTGATGAAACAGATCAGTTTTTCCATCCGGATTATTATTGGTTCATGATTTTATATGTGAATATGTAAGATATGTTCTGCAATTTTATAAATGTTCATGTCTTTTTTTAAAAAAGGTGCTATTGAAATTCTGTGTCTCCAGCAGGCAAGAATACTTGACTAACTCTTTTTGTCTCTTTATGGTATTTTCAGAATAAAGTCTGACTTGTGTTTTTGAGATTATTGGTGCCTCATTAATTCAGCAATAAAGGAAAATATGCATCTCAAAAATTGGTGATAAAAAGTTATTTCTTGTATATGTGATAAAGTTTACATGTTGTGTATATATGTTGTATTGCCAAATACGGCTATTAAATACTACGTCATATTTTAAAGGTTCAGTTTGTAGTGATAGTAAACAAGCAGTGCACTAAGCCTCTTGCGGGCATCATCTCATCTCACTGTCATCACAAACCCCATGCCACAGCGTAGCTTGACCACTAAAAGTAATGCATCTGCAAGCATACTGCCAGGTTTTGGATAGTTTGTACCAACAGTTACCTTATCAAGGTAAATCCCAGACTCTAAAAGAGTTGGTGCTGTGTCACTACATGCATAACTTTAAATAAATTTCCTGCCGGGCGCGGTGGCTCACGCCTGTAATCCCAGCAGTTTGGGAGGCCGAGGCAAGTGGATCACTTGAGGTCAGGAGTTTGAGACCAGCCTGGCCAACGTGGTGAAACCCTGTCTCTACTAAAAATACAAAAATTAGCCAGGCGTGTGGTGGCAGGCACCTGTAATCCCAGCTACTTGGGAGGATGAGGCAGGAGAATCATTTGAATCCTGCAGGCGGAGGTTGCAGTGAGCCAAGATGGCGTCATTGCACTCCAGCCTGGGCGACAAGAGCGAGACTCCGTATTAAAAAAAAAAAAAAAAAAAAAATTCCTCTCCTGTTTGAGCTTTCCCTTACCTGTAAAGAGGGGAGAATATGTATTTACTTCAAAGAGTTCAGGGAAATGACTCTCACTAGTTTGAGATTCTAGGTATAAAAATACATTCTTATATAATTTTAACACCAATGTGAGAGATTATTATTCTTGCTAAACCAATTCAGTTTTATTTGCTGTCTAAAATGTGTGAATAAGTAATTGTCCATTATTTTCTGAAGTGTTTTGGAACTCAACACATGATTGTGAGGAGGATTTGTTGCTAAACATCTTTCTGGTTATTCAAGCTCGTGTATACTGTGCTCTGTTGAGACATGCAGAGTTACTTTCTGTCTGGGTCACAGGTCAGTTCTTGATAGTTTTCGGACAATTAACCAGTTTTCATTTGCCCATGACCACCTTTATTCTTTTTCCTCAACTGCACCCATCTTTTATAAGGTCTTTCAGTTTATTGCAGAGAAGATGGTGGAGAAAAGCCGGAATTCCCACCCACCGCTGCCATCCCCATGTTTTATCATTGGCTAGAGTGGAAAATAGCAGTAACTACTGTGAGAGATCATTTGTTTATATAATGGAAACAAAGATGAGGAAAGAACCTGGCTTAGATCAGAGAACTGATGTATTTAGATTCTTTTTTTTTTTTTTTTTAAGACGGAGTGTTGCTCTGTTGCCCAGACTGGAGTACAGTGGCTCAATCTCGGCTCACTGCAGCCTCCATTTCCCTGGTTCAAGCAATTATCCTGCCTCAGCCTCCCAAGTAGTTGGGATTACAGGCGTGTTCCACCACACCTGGCTAATTTTTTGTATTTTTAGTAGAGACGGGGTTTCGCCATGTTGGCCAGGCTGGTCTCGAAATCCTGACCTCAGATGATCCACCCGCCTTGGCCTCCCAAAGTGCTGGGATTACAGGCGCGAGCCACCGCGCCTGGCCCAATGTATTTGGATTCTTAAAGAACACTTTCAAATTAAATATCAGTTGAAGAGAACTAGAACTAAAGAATTTCTGTGTCAAACTGTTTAGCAAATGTAAGTAGAAGCTGGGAGATGTGTCCTGGAATGAATGAATACATCAGTAAAATACCATACGTATGTTATGATGTTATTGTTTCCTTGCCTTGGTTGATTTGGTTTTACTGTGAAATAATTTTCAATATAGAATTGTGATCGTTGGAATTTGGTCATCTAGTAGAAAATGAGAAAGAAGTTAATAGCTATCTTCCTTAAAGATTTCTGAGGTTGGGATTAAGGTAGTGTTCCCAAGGTGTTCTAAAACGGCAGCGAGAGCTGTGCACTCACTTCACAAATTTGAATTCCTGCTCTGTGTTAGGCGCTGTGCTAGGGGCTTAGCTTAGCACAGTTATTTCCAGAGGTTCCTGTGTATGGTGTGAAGAAAGCTTCACAAAGACTGTAGTGAAGCCAAAGATATAGTAGGGAATGAAAGCAAGGCATCACCACTTCCTGTGAGGACACGTTACTGCACAGGCACCCGAGCTGTGTCATCTCTACCATGTGCCTTGTTCAGGTTTTGGCAGAGCCCCTAAGCATATGCCCAGGAAGGGATCTATGTGGAAGTTGGCTCTTTCTGATGCATTCGGTGTTAGCTGGTTCTCGATGGTCGGTGATTCTTAGCTGAATCCAGAAGGGTGAAAACAGTTGCTGCTCCGGTGTAGTTGAGCTGGAGCATGGCGGCACATCAGGGCCACGTCACTGATGACACCATCAGTAACACACTGTGTTTCTCTTAAAACAGGGGCTTTCTGTTGTCCAGATGATCAAAACACAAGGTTCTTCATAACTCATTCTGTGTATCAGTGTTTCTTGTTTGGGAAGGAGATTGGGGAGGAGTGGCTGGGAGTAGATGGAGAGCCGGGCTTACGGGCATGGATTCTAGAGCCAGGACACTTCGGTTTGAGTCCCTGCCCTGCCCTGCCACTGGTCAGCAAGGGACTGTGGTCAGTTTTTTATTTTTTATTTTTATTTTTTCAGACAGAGTTTCGATCTGTTGCCCTTGCTGGAGTGCAGTGGCGTGATCTCGACTCACTGCAAACTCCACCTCCTGGGTTCAAGCCATTCTCTTGCCTCAGCCTCCCAAGTAGCTGGGATTATAGGCGTGCGGCACCACGCCTGGCTAATTTTTGTATTTTTTAGTCGAGATGGGGTTTTGCCATATTGGCCAGTCTTGTCTCAAACTCCTGGCCTCAAGTGATCCACCTGCCTCAGCCTCCCAAAGTGTTGGGATTACAGGCATGAGCCACCGTGCCGGGCCTTGTAGTCAGTTTCTTAATCTCTGTGCCTCAATGTCCTGAAATACAGAATGAAAATAACAGTGATGGAACCTACCTCACAGGCTTGTGAGAATTAAGCGAAATCATCTATGTGAAGCACTTGGATTAGTGCCTGTCACATTCTGAGTGCGCAAATGTTAGCAACTTTTGTTACACACACACACACACACACACACACATACACACACACACACACACGTCCATAAGGGCATTCTGCCTTATACTAGAGCTAATAACTTTGTTACATTTTAGGTTTTTGGTATGTTGCTCTAATAGGGCATGTAACAAATGCAAAATAGACATTTTCAAGTAAAATGAAGTATACAAAAAAAACCCATAAACGATGTACCCCCTCTTCTTGTGTACTAACATCTTTATCCTTTTTGTTTCCATATCTCCTCCCCTCTTTCTGTTTCTAGAAGTTGACATAAATGAAAGATAATGAGATTAGAAATAAATCCAATATAAAGTATGCCTCCATGTGTCTAAGTACCTGGTAATTTCTGGCTCTGTTCTCTCCAACATGGTTTTTATTCCTGCACCCACTCTCACTGGCTCGTGGATAGATTTTGGTTCCTGGTGTATTTTATGACTTGACTGGCAGCTCCAGTCTGACATAAAACTGGCAATAGAACTTAAACTGAGCTTGGCCTCAGAGTGGTACAGTGAACAACGACATTGTTCTGAGGGTCAGGAGATCTAGAGTTGCGGTCGGGTCCCAAGTATGTAGCAGTGGGTCTCTTCTTTCTGGACTGTAGCGTCCCCTGGGACGTGGCTGCTAAAGACCTTCCCATCCTACAGTTTCATTCTGCATGCTGTTCCCCGGTGTTGTGCCAGCCACCTGGGCCCAATGCCTGGGGGTATCTTCAACCACCCCTACCACCTGTCTCTCTAAGCAAGTCTACTTGGTGGTTTCTTCATCCACCTCCATCTGCTTCCCCTCTATCTTCACCCGCTCAACACCCTCCCCACCCCCAACGTCCATTACCACTGAGCTCAAGGCAATGCAGCCAACAGCTTCCCCAGTTGCTCTGTTAGGACCTGTGAGCCACAAACCCACCCTCCACATCAGCACTTCCTAGTAGGGCAGCCGGAGCCCCATGTGGCTATAGAGTCCTTGAAATCAGAGAAGTTAGTGTACAATGCCAGACTTGGAAAAATAAGTACAAAAAATAAAATAGTTCATTAATCTTCATGTTGATTACATATTTGAGTGATATTTTGGACATATTGTCCTCAATAAACTATATTAAAATTAATTTGACCTTTTTTTAATGTGGCTACTAGAAGGTTTAATATTCGCTATATGGCATTATATCTCCACGGGGCAGACCTGATGTACAAGATGACTTAAAGGCGAGGAACTTTCACCCCAACCTTTGTGTCTCAAAACTGCCGTGATTCCTGGCACTGATTAGGCAATCAGCAACAGTTTGTTTAACTGATTCAGTAGGCATAATTTGAGATAACATTTTAGGGTTACCTCAATCATAGTTATATCATTAAGTATCACCTGAAGATTATTTTATTTTATTTCATTTTATTTATTTTATTTATTTTATTTTATTTTATATTTTTGAGGCGGAGTCTCTCTCTGTCGCCCAGGCTGGAGTGCAGTGGCGCGATCTCGGCTCACCGCAAGCTCCGCCACCCGGGTTCACGCCATTCTCCTGCCTCAGCCTCCAGAGGAGCTGGGACTACAGGCGCCCGCCACCACGCCCGGCTAATTTTTTCGTATTTTTAGTAGAGACGGGGTTTCCCTATGTTGGCCAGGATGGTCTCCATCTCCTGACCTCGTGATCCGCCCGCCTCGGCCTCCCAAAGTGCTGGGATTACATGCGTGAGTCACCGCCCCCGGCCCACCTGAAGATTTTCTAAAGCAATTGTGTTTGAATTTTATAGTCCGAAGTCAATAGATTATTTTAAAAAGTAAATGGCATAATCAATAAACATTTAATAAATGATATGGAAGTTACGATTTCAAAGAATATTCCAGGAATTCTTGGAGTTCAAGAAAAAGCACAATCAAAAAATAAGATCTGAAGCAAATATGAGAATATTGAAATGTGTTCATTCTGAATTGGCCTTATACTGAATACTATGTTATACTATTCTCTGGGTTTTTTGGTTTTGTTTTGGTATATTTACATTTTTTTCCGAATTAAAAAATTTTGTCAACTAGGCATATCAGTTATTTTGTCTAAAAATATTCTGAGCGGATTCCATACCGTATTATGGTTACTAATTAAATATGTCACCACTCTTCTTTGATCACTAATTCAAGTATGGGTGGAATCTGTCTAAAGCTTGTAATCTTCAAGGAATTGTAAAAATCCTCCTGTTTCTTACTGGTGTATTTCAATGAATGTAATCAATTAATGGTACTGTGATTCCAAATAGTAATTACTGAGAATATCTGTTTGCTCTTGCATCTGCTTATAATGAAGAGCTAAATTTTTGTTGCTTCTGTCTACTCCTTTCATTCTTCCCAAAGGAAATTACTTGGGATGAACTGTGTTGAAAGACAGCGCGTTTATAGTGGCCTCACAAGTCACCTAAAGAAAGAAGCCAGAGCGATCGATGGCATTTTCTCATCTTCCTAGCCCACATCTTTAGATTAAGGTGCTATAAAATCCGAAGGAAGGGATTGAAACGGCCTTTGCAAAATTATGACTGAGACAGTGAAATAGATCGGACTTAACTGACTTCATCTTGCTTCTAACCTCTAAGCTGTCCTTGTTCATTCCTGAGCCCAGGCTGAATTAACTTTGGTAGAAACTTAGTTTATAGTTTAAACAAAGATGGTAACAGCCCTTTCCCAAAGCAGACCTCCTTCTTGCCTGGGGACTAGATTGCCTTTGTAGGACTAACTTAGCCACAAGATTAGAAATTATGGTTTAGGAGTCACGCAGCTGGACCCCTACAAGAGTCTGACCCTCCCTAAACTGCTCCTAAGATCAATGCTTGAGATATTTTGCAGACCTTGAACTTGATGGGTCAGCTGGCCCCACCCAGATCAACAAACTGGCTCATCTGATCTTGTGACCCCCACTGAGGAACTGACTCAGCGCAAGAACACAGCTCGACTCCCTAGGATTTCATCTCTGACCAATCAGCACTCCTGTATCACTGGCTCCCCGCGACTCACCAAGTTATTCTTAAAAACTCTGCTCCCCAAATGGTCAGGGAGACTGATTTGAGTAACGATAAAACTCCGGTCTCCGGCAAAACAAACAAACAAACAAACAAAACCCTAAAGTGTGCCAACAGCAAAAGAACAAGCTGAGCTACTTTAGCAATGTCGCAGTTGGTAATTCCAAGATGTGCACAGGAAAAAAAAAATAATTCTCCCTGTGTTGTTAAAAGAATGCTCTTGAAATTAGCTGGGCATGGTGGTGTGTACTTATAGCTACTCCTGAGGCTGAGGCGGGAGGATCACTGGAGCCTAGGAGTTCGACGTTGCTGTGAGCTATGATTGCTCCACTGCACTTCAGCCTGTGCAACAGGTGAGACCCCGTCTAAAAAAAAAAATAATGCTCTTGTAATCTAGGAAATAGTTTTGGCCCTTTAGGTTAGGAATAATAGTCACGTGTAAGATAAATGTCTAAATAGTTCAGTGTAGTGATACAACTGGGAACAGACTTGGAGGAAGCCTCAGAGAGGGAGTTGAGCACAGTGGGCTTCACCATACAGAGGAGGAAACCACAATGACTATAGCAAGAGGAAATATCATGACTTCATAAATATAAATATCTAACACTGGAGGTGTAGAGGTGGGAAGCGGTAGAGACAGAAGGGTGACCATCATGTGACTTTATTATAAGGAGTATTTTATTTATGTATAAAAGAAATACAGTTGGGCCAGGCACGGTGGCTCACGCCTGTAATCCCAGCAGTTTGGGAGGCCAGGGCGGGCAGATCACCTGAGGTCAGGAGTTCAAAACCAGCCTGACCAACATCATGAAACCCAGTTTGTACTAAAAATACAAAATTAGCTGGGCATGGTGGCGCATGCCTGTAATCCCAGATACTTGGGAGGCTGAGGCAGGAGAATCACTTGAACCCAGGAGGTGGAGTTTGCAGTGAGCCGAAATCGTGCCATTGCACTCCAGCCTGGGCAACAAGAGTGAAATTCCATCTCAAAAAAAAAAAGAAAGAAGGAAGGAAGGAAGGGAGGAAGGAAGGGAGGGAGGGAGGAAGAGAGAGAGAAAGAAAGAAGAAAGAGAGAGAGAGAAAAAAAGAAAGGAAGGAAGGAAGGAAGGAAAGAAAGAAAGAAAGAGAGAGAAAGAAAGAGAGAAAGAAAGAAAAAGAAAGAAAGAAAGAAAGAAAGAAAGAAAGAAAGAAAGAAAGAAAGAAAAAGAAAGAAAGAAAGAAGGAAAGAAAGAAAGAAAGAAAGTTGACCTTTGTGCAATGCTAGGGTTAGGAGGCCCAATCTCCCATGCAGTTGAAAATCCTCATTAAACTTTTGACTCCCCAAAAACTTAACTACTAATAGCCTACCGTTTTCCAGAAGCCAATGACATAAATAGTTGCTTAAGACATATTTTGCATGTTACATGTATTACACACTGTATTCTCACAGTAAAGGTAGAAAAAGGAAAACGTTATTAAGAAAATCATAGGGAAGAGACAATATATTTACTATTAAGTGGAAATGGATCATCATTAACGGTCTTCCTCCTCATCACCTTTGTGCTGAGTTGGCTGAGGAGGAAAGGGAAGAGGGAGGGGTTGGTTTTGCTCTCTCCAGGAGTGGCAGAGGAGGAAGAAAATCTATGTCTTAGTGGACCTTCACAGTTCAAACCCGTGTTGTTCAATGGTCAGCTGTATATATAGAATAAATCTTATTTCATATATTTGAAGTATATCTCATATATGTGTTTGTGCATGCATGTGTGTGTGTGTGTATATATATATATATATATGACTTTCAGTTGATAATAATTTTTCAGACAATGCTGAATTGCCTCTCTGCCCATCTCCAGTGTTAAACCCAGGATCTAGGTGGTCATCTTGGAAGTATCCCTCGTGTTTTATTGGTGGCTGACTTCCGACTCTAGGTACTCAGTGACACAATGACATCTTTTTTAAAAAATTCTTCTGGGCACATAGTAGATGTATATATTTACAGGGTACATGAGATGTTTGGATACAGGCAGGTAATGTGAAACAATCATGTCATGGAGAATGGGTATCCACCTCCATAAGTGTTTGTATCCTTTGAGTTACAAACAATCCAATTTTAAATTTTAAATAAAAAATTTAAATTTAAAGTTATTATTGAGTATAATCACCCTATTATGCTATCAAATAGTAGATCTTATTCATTCATTCTATTTTTTAATACCCATTAACCTTCCCCACCTGCCATTCAACCCCCATCTACCCTTCCTAGACTCTGGTAACCATCCTTCTTCTATCTCCAGGGGTTCAATTGTTTTAATTTAATTTTTAAATCCCACAAATAAGTGAGAACATATGATGTTTGTCTTTCTGTGCCTGGCTTATTGCACTTAACATAATGATATCCAGTTTCATCCACGTTGTTGCAAGTGACTGGATCTCATTTTTCATGGCTGAATAGTACTCCACCATGTATACGTACCACATTTTCTTTAACCTTTCATCTGCAATATTTAGGTTGCTTCCAAATCTTAGCTATTGTGAACAGTGCTGCAGCAAACATAGGAGTGCAGGTATTTCTTCGATAGACTGATTTCCTTTCTTTTGGGTATATACCCAGCACACAATGACATCTTTAACCAAACTCTTGTGGCCTCAGAGTTAATTTGGAGGCAGCTGAGTTTGAGATAAATGGCATATCCTTTGTGTTCCATAATTTCCATACATGCCCAATTACAATCTTTCTGAACACTTTCTAGAAATCATATTAAAGCATTACATGCATCTCATGCCATGTCCATCTGTCTCTCCTGGACTGGGACAGTGATAGGTCTTCATATAATCTTGTTTAATAAGTGTTAGGTTGGTGCAAAAGTAATTATGGGTTTTGTCATTACTTCCAATGGCAACAACTCCAATTACTTTTGCACCAACCTAATATTTTACAGTTGACAAAATTCTCAGAGCATCAGCCATACCCACATTCAAATAAAAGCTGCATTAAAAACAGATTAGCAATCATTTGGTGAGTATTCACTATTCAATAGATAATGTGCAAGGTTCTCTGCCTTGCTCTACCCAGATGCTACTTTAATTCTCACAAAAGCCCTTTGAAGTAGATAGGGGTCCCCCAATGCCCTACCATGAATGCTTATTACCTTTTAAAAATCTCATCATTAGCCAGGCACGGTGGCTCACGCCTGGAATCCTAGCACTTTGGGATGCCGAGGTGGGCAGATCACCTGAGGTCAGGAGTTCAAGACCAGCCTGACTAACATGGTGAAACCCTGTCTCTACTAAAAATACAAAAATTAGCCCGGTGTGGGGGTGCACACCTGTAATCCCAGCTACCCGGGAGGCTGAGGCAGCAGAATCAGTGGAACTCGGGAGGCGGAGATTGCAGTGAGCAGAGACCACCACGCCACTGCACTGCAGCCTGGGCGACAGAGCAAGATGCCATCTCAAAAATAATAATATTGAATAATAAATAATAACAATCTCATCATCCAAAAGCAGAACTGGGTCCTAGGAGACACCTGACTGTTGCTTTGGTGCCACATAAGAGAAATGAAGTGTGTCTGTGGGGGCTGGGAGCAGAGAGCCTTCTCTTCCGGTGCTGGGAGCCATGGTTTCCCCAGTTCTCCCCCTGTGGCCTCCCATGGGGTGGGGGACGGGATGGGGTTGAGGGTTGAAAGGAGTAGAGATCCTTAACAGCGAGGTAGAGTGGATGGATGGGTGCTGGGTCCTCCCCACGTCACTTAGGAAAGACACATGGTGCTTTTTTCACTGGTTTCAAAAACTGAAGGCAGCTGTGCCCCATGGGCTGAAGAACTTAAATCTGAGAACTCGATGTCACTGGCGGCAGCTCCCCCAACTTGAGTGAACCTGTTTTCTCACCCAAGAAACATTTGAAGATGGGGAAAACCTGCTTTGCAGAGGTTGTTGTGGGGATTAAGTCAAACAGTGTGACACCCTGGGCAAAGACCAGCACACAATCTTGTGAGAATTTACGTAGGGTATGGTAGTGGTTAGGAGAAATCAGCAACAGAGAAATCAGTAATCCTTTACTTGCTGCAGGTGACTGTGCAGATTAAATGAAGTGTTGTACAAGGACAGAGCACAACTGCCCAGCACATAACGGGTGCTCCATAGACGCCCTCTCCCATCTTCATAACACAATTTTTTTTTTTTTGAAACAGAATCTAGCTCCATCACCCAGGCTGGAGTGCAGTGTCACGGTCTTGGCTCACTGCAACCTCTGCATCCCAGGTTTAAGCAACTCTCCTGCCTCAGCCTCCCAAGTAGTTGGGATTAGAGGCTCCCGCCACCACACACAGCTACTTTTTGTATTTTTAGTAGAGACTGGGTTTCGTCATGTTGGCCAGGTTGGTCTCGAACTCCTGACCTCATGCGATCCACCCACCTCAGCCTCCCAAAGTGCTGGAATTACAGGTGTGAGCCACCGCACCCGGCCCGTAACACAAATCTTAAAGTCTTTTTAGGGGCTATAAACTCGAACCACTTCCTAGGGAGGTGGATGTTCTTGCTTTTGCTAGAAAAGCCAATGGCTGATGTGGGAGGAGTTAAAAAGAAATTGAGAAAATGACTTCTGTCCAGGTTTGGGGGAAAGGTCTATTTTACAGACCTGCACTCTATTCTGCTTCCATGGTCTCATGGGCCGGTAGGGGAGGACTGGGGTGCTAGGAGCAGGCACCTTTGCCTCTGGCAGTTATACCCCTGGGAATGGAGAGGGAGAGACTGAGAAATCAGCCCAGCACCGCCCTTTCCGGCCTCACACATCCAAGCCCTCACACATGGGGCACGAGGCTCTGTGCCTGGCCAAGCCTCAGTTGTTAGGCCCAGTTAGTGCTGAGGATCCAGAGGCTCAGGGAAGCCCAGGGAGTGGCGCAGGTCACCCCACAGGGAAGCGACAGAAGCGACTCTCATTTGTCTGACAGCAAAGCCCAGATGTCCACCCTTTACATATATGTAATATGGGACAGGTTCTGGCTCTGTGGCCTAGGCTGGAGTGCAATGGTGCGATCACAGCTCACTGCAGCCTTAACTTCCTGGACTCAAGCGATCCTCACACTTTAGCCTCCTGAGTAGTTAGGATGACAGGTGCACCCCCCATGCCTGGCTGATTTTTGCATTTTTTGTAGAGACGGTGTTTCACCATGTTGACCAGGCTGGTCTTGAACTCCTGGCCTAAAGCAGGCCGACCATCTTGGCCTCCCAAAGTGCTGGGATTTCAGGTGTGAGCTGCTGCGCCTGGCTGTTCACCTTTATATTATTATTGCCCCACATGCTTGAGGCCACACTAAGCAGAAAGCCAGCTCTAAAGACTGAAATGACAAGGGTAGCCTAGAGTCACAGGGGTAAAAGAAGCTCCTGGTATTTTATTTTGAAACCATAGAAGATGAGAAAAGGCCTAGCTAACGGACAAGATCAGACACCCGAGGTTTCTCATTAAGCGTGACCTGAAAGCCTGTCTGGACAGCCGCAGATGAGGAGCAGCGCCTGCGTTCATCCACGCTGGGTGAAAGGTAAGAATTCAGGGTTACATGCGTGAAGGGGAAAGCAAGCGGGAAGCCCTTAGCATTCAAGCCCCTGAGCCCTGGTGTTGTCCACCCCTGGGGGCTGCCTGGTGGCAGGACGGCACTTCACGAGGGGAGATGGACCCCAGTGGGAACCACACTCAATCCCTCTACGCCCAGGCCGCTGTCAGACACTGGAGTCCTCCGCACAGTCCTGCAGCCGGAAGCACACGCTGCCAGTATCCCCTCCCTCCCACTCCCAGCCTACAGACAAGCGCATCTCTGCTGCATTCATCGCCGCACACGCCCTAAAAATGTCCTCACGTGAGTCTGTGCCAGCCTGCGCGCAAACCGTGAGCCCACCGCGCTGTGTGCACGCTCAGCTTCCCCCAGGCTGCGTCCCTCCCCCGTGGGGTCGCATTCCCTACTGGGAACCACTGCCTTCAAGCTGGAGCTCGGTCCCAGCTAGAAACACCCCCACTCCTTCTAATGGGGCAGTAAAAAAGCAAAACCAGCTCTGTGGAACGGTCTCTTTCAGATGTGCTTCCAGTCCCCTGTAAAACGTGTCAGCCCCATTTAGGTGAGGTCATGTTCTCTGGGGGCAAGCTCATAAACTCACGGCCGATGCAGCATCCCGGGGATCTCTGCGGGGGCCTGGACAGCCTGTCCCCACCTCCTGGAGGCCAGTGAGAGTCCGGGCAGCCCACTCCCTGGTCTCACAGGACCTGAGTCATGGAGCAGAGAGAACCTGCAGAGAGACTTTCCCATATGGAGGCTGAGGCTAGAGAGCATGAGAGCGTGGCCCTGGGCTCACCTGGTTAGAGGCAGCATGGGGGTCCTCTGCAGGTCCCCAAGGCCTCAACCAGGCCTGGGGGCGGTGGGAGCCGCTCATTGATGATGAGGAACCCATCTTCAGTGCCTGATGCTGTAGCAGCTGAGTCACAGATAAGCAGGCACTGGCAGCTGGCACATGCCCAGACCAACCCGACCCAGCCCAGCCCGGGCAGCGGCAGTGAGAGCTGCCAACCCCCACAGCTGCCCCTGTCTCTCACCTGCAAGCCCTGCCTGCCCCTGCCACTAGCGTGGAGCCTGTCTTCTGGGGAGGCCGGGGCAGTCCTGGTGCTTGTCATCTCTTGCAGCAGCTGCCTGGGCTGGGCTGAGTTGGGCTGGGCTGGCCTGTCTTCCTGCCATGGCTGGATATTTATATTAAACTTGAGGAAGGGAGAAAGGGGATTTACAAGGCACACTCAATTCTTTCTAACCCTGAGCTCCTGGCCTTGTCTATGTTCTTGTGGAGGGGCGATCTTGGCCAAAATCACTGTCCTTCGAAGGTCAGCATGTGCTTGGTGTCTTCCTGAATAAAGGGAAGGACATGCTGATGCCTCTTCCCCAGGCTGAAGATCTTTGGATGGTTAAGAAACTCCTGACCACCCTCTTGAAAGCCGACATGCTGGCTGCCATCAGCAGCACCCCTTGGGCCTGACCTCCAAGCCACAATTAATCCTGCAAGCTATGACCCAGAGTAGTGATGTCCTCACATTTCCAGATTAGCGCCCCCACCCATATCCCTAGCACCGACTCTGCCCCATGCCACCTGAGCCATGATTCCAGCCCTCAGCACACAGGTGCACACGCTGCCTGGACAATGGCCAGAGAACTGCCACAGGTCACACTGTGTCTCATGGCTTCTCACTTCCGTAGAGAAACCGGAAGACAGGTCTCAAACCAGACCTGAGGCAGCAGCAATAGCCACAGCAATGAGTGGTCATAGCTCAAATGCCTACTGCACCCCAGCCTGCCACCTGCCTTATTTAACCCTCGCAATTGTATAGAGTTGGCGTCACTATTCCCACTGCACAGAAAAAGAAACAAAATCCCAGAACAGATAGAAGATGCCCAAGGTCACAGACCTAACCATTAGAAGTGCTGCCATGTGAGCATAGGTGTAATTGTCTACGGAGCTCTAGAAAACAGATGAACTAGCAGGAAGGGTCACTGCAGGCCGGGACAACACCCAGGGAAAGGCCTCACTATGGCTGGGAAGAGCGCGGTGTGTGCGTCTAGCAGGAGTCCAGGTGTGGGGCAGGAGAGGCCGCTTGGGGAAAGGGAGCGACCACACACTGGGTCCTGCCTCATGTGCACCTGGCCATGTGTCGGCACTTGGTGTCGTTATCCTGCCCGCTCCTTACGAGAACCCTGTGAAACAGAAACTCCTCCTGATTTTACAGCTGAGGCCAAGGAAGCTCACACATCACAGATTAAATAATCGATTCAAAGTTACTGAAAGAATAGGAGAGTCCAAATCTATTTGCTTAATCCCCAGACCAGGGCTTTCTGCACGTGCCTCAGAGCCTTTGGTGCAGCTCCAAAGGGAGGCATCGAGAAACACCACCGGCTGGAAATGTGGCTCTGCTCCCGATCTTTGTCTGCGTTGGCGAGACACCCGCCGCTCTGGGCCGGAATCTCTCATCTACGAAAAAGTGGGTAGATGGAGACCACCCTCACGGTCCCTTCCAGCTATAGAAACAGTAACTTCCAGTCCTTAACTCGATGCTGTGTGGGTGTGTGGCTGAAACTGCTCACAGAGCAAGCTGGACAAGCGGACCTGGATTGAAACCCGCCCCTCCCTGGAGAAACAGGGGTGGCCTCCCTCCCCCATGGCAGGGACCTGCTGGGCAGGACTGAAGCCTGGCTCCTGACAAAGATTCTATTCTTCTCGATGCTTTCTCATTGTTCTTTGTGTTTACAAAGTGTCTTCCTTCAAGGGAACAGTGACTTGGACAAGCAGTGCCGAACTCTGAAGGCGCAGGGCTGTGATGGCTGCAGCCTCTTGCAGTGTTTCTCGGTGTCTTTCCTTGGGTTCCAAAGCCCTTACCAGGCAGGCTTCTGGACAGTGAGTGGGAGTTGGCTCTGTTGTTATTTGCCACAGGTGACATCAGGGTAAAGGATGGATTTGGGGTGAGCCGTGAGTAGGCTATTATCCACTGCACTTGAGGTGTGAACCTCCTGGTCCCCCTCAGCAGGTCCTGGCTTGTTCATGGAATGGAGGAGTCTGGGAAGGCGCTGAGAGGCATCCGCTAGGGAACCTGTTCCACCTGGGTGCTCAGACCCTGGCAGGAGCCCTTGCTGAAGTCCAGAGAGCCCCTGGCTGTCCCCTCTCATGACACTCAAAATCTGCCGGAGCCTGCAGCCCAGCCCTGCCCAGCACCCTCTTATGGCACTCAAAATCTGCCCGAGCCTGCAGCCCAGCCTTGCCTGGCAGAGCCCAATCCACAGATCTTCCTGCCCTCAACCTGCCAGTTAACAAGTTAGCCCTGTTTTCCAGGGCCTGAAGCTGTTTAGCAGAAGTAAAAAGGCCTTTAGGCTGACCAAGTAAACATGTGCAAAACACATCCCTGTGCCAGGTGGTTCTGGGGTCATGGAGATTGTTACGGGCTGGATTCGGTCCTCCTAAAATTCTTCTGTTGAAGTCCTAACCCCTAATACTCAGAAGGAGATATGACTTGAAAGAGGTAATTAAAGTAAAACGAGGTCATTACATGGCCCTAATCCAATCTGACTGGGTCCTTACACATGGAGGAGATTTAGGACGAGGATACACCTCGGGGAAAATCCTGTAAGGACACAGGGAGAACACACGTCTAGGGGACAAGGAGAGAGGCTTCAGGACAAACCAGCCCTGCCAATACCTTCTACTCTCCAGAACTGTGGGAAAATCAATTTCTATTGTTTGAGTCATGCACTCTGTGGTATTTGTTATCGCAGCCCAAGCAAACTAATAAAGAGATTGATACAAAATCACCCCTAAGCTCTGAGAATCACTGTGTAGCAGGAGATGCCAACACATAAGACGTGATGTGTTCCGTCGGGAAAGTCACACACCTCTCCTCTGACCACTCCACTCCCCACTCTGGATGCGGGTGGGGCCTTTGGCTTTTGGTGAGGCCCCTCTGGTGTCTCTGCCCACAGAGCTCCCTCCACACCTGTATTCAGGCCCCAGCTCAGGAAGCTTCCCAGGAGAGTCAAGTACACACAAAGCCTGTGCCAGACAGAAGTAAATTAAGACAACCTGGATGCTTTAAATCTCCCCTCCCTCCTACAGTTACTGTGATCTATACGCCTCTAACGTCTGACATTCTCAAAGCAACTCGGTGCGTGTCCATCTGTCTAGAGAGCTCTTAAAAGGCATAAGAGCAGAACGATCACCAGCGATTCCGCAGGCACGTTCTCACACGGACGTTAGTAACAGCTGAATTAAATGCTTTTTGAATGAGTGATGTATTGGATGCATTTGTTATTATTTTACTCTATGAACTATAAAGAAAGATTGATGACACCTAAACTCTTGGGCAGGATCCCCTTTTCCTTGCTCTGTAATGCACTTCCCCTGGCAAACTCCTACTCACTTCTCAAAACCCAACCCGAGGGTTTGTCTTTCTGAAGGCTACGCTGTCTCCACAAGCTGAGCTGATCAGCCCATCCTTAGAACAATCACTTGTTAAACCCAATGACAAGGGTGTGATGGGCTATGTGTGTCCCACCCCTAATTCACACATTGAAGCCCTCACCCCTAATGTGATGGGATTTGGAGGCGGGTCCTTTGGGAGGTGATTAGGTTTAGATGAGGTTGTGAAGGTGGTGTACGAAGCCATTCTTCACTGTTCTAAAGAAATACCTGAGATTGGGTAATTTATAAAGAAACGAGGTTGGCTTGGCTCATTGTCCTGCAGGCTGAGCAAACATAGCGCTTGCCTGTGCTCAGTTTCTGGGGAGGTCTCAAGGAGCTTTTACTCATGGTGGAAGGTGAAGTGAGAACAGGCACGTCACATGGTGAAAGCAGAAGCAAGAGAGAAGGAGGAGGTGCCACACACTTTTCACAACCGGATCTCGCAAGTACCTGCTCACTATGCAAGGTCAGCACCAAATCATGAGGGATCTGTCCCTATGGCCCCCACACCTCCCACCAGGCCCCACCTCCAACACTGGGCATCACAATTCAACATGAGACTTAGAGGGGGCAACATACAAACTGTATCAGGTGGAGCCGCATGACGGGACTAGTGCCCTCAGGAAGAGGAAGAGATTCCAGAACTTTCTCTCTGTGTCACTTGAGGACACGGCCGGAAGGCAGCCCTGCCTGGACCTTGAAGCTGGACTTCCAGCCTCCAGAACTGTGAGACATAAACGTCTGCCGTTGAAGGGGCTCAGCTTGTGGTGTGGGATTGTGGTAGCCCTAGTGAGGCACTGGCCTGTTAGATGGAAACTTCTGGAGCTAAGGGGCTTTCACCTTTGCACCCAGCACCTGGTCAGAGCTTGGACATCCTCTCCTAAAGATTTCCCTAAGCTTGGGTTAAATTAATGAGCTGCCCAGATGCCACAGACCATGTCTGAGAGCCTGAAGCAGCTGAGGAGGTTGTGTTATTTAAGTTGGGGCTTGATTGTTTCAGTTCATTTTACTCTAGAGGCAGGAAAAACAATAACGGGTAAGGCCTCTCACCCCGATGTTTTAGGGAGTGAGGCAAAGCAACCACCCCTGACTTGACAAGAAGACCATTCTCAAAGGTGATCAAAATAGACTCAGGGAAGCAGGCCTGTGGTTCCTTGACGCTCCTCCCAGGCCTTCCTGTTTGTCCCAGCCACCAGCATCCTGCAGGTACCGAGAGGGTGGATGTGGACTCACTGCTCGCAGGCCGCCAGCCTGCTAGCCCAGTGTCCCAAGTCAAAAGTCACAGCGACATGCCGGAAAGACAGTTTCCACAGGACGAGTGGAAAAGGGGGCGTCTCTTCTGCCCATCGAAGGGTGCATCCACCTGTGGTATTAAAGGATTTACAACTGGCCTCAGAAACGCTGCCGGAGCTGCTCCTTGGGGTCTGTCCGATGGGAAGAGGCCCCTCCTGTGGCTCCCCAGGTGGTAAACAGCTCCAGCTTCCTAAGGGGGTGTGGAGCAGCCCAAAGGCCACACTGATTAAAAAAAAAAAAAAAAAACAGCCCCATTTCCGATCCAGAGCTCTTGGGTAGAAAGTGACTCCATGTGCCAGTCTGGGCACCAGAGTGAGACCTCACCTCTACTAAAAGTAAAATAAAAATGAGCTGGGTGTGGGGGCTCACCCCTGTAGTCTCAGCTACGAGGCTGAGGCGGGAGAATCGCTTGAGCCCTGGAGGTAGAGACTGCAGTGAGCTGAGATGGCACCACTGCGCTCCACCCTCAGGGACAGAGAGAGAACCTGTTTCCCTCTTACCAAAAAAAGAAAAAAAGTGACTCAATATGGAGAGAGGGCATGAGGGCATCAGGGAGCTGGTGGGCAGCCCTTGGCACTCTAGTGGGTCCAGTGCATGAGCTGCTGCTTCTTGTTCTAAGGCTTCTCATTGGGGGTGCCAGGATTCATGCACACTTTTTGCGTTTTGTTGGGGGCTGGGGGAACACTTGTGATGATTCTCACGGAAACAGGCCAGCTTCTGTGACCCACTAATTATTTGGGCACCCAGCTTTTTCCTAGACTGCCTTCCAAATTTAGTACACTTATATTTGGCCCTTTTTCCTAGTTCCTTTTGAAATGTTCCGGGTTTGACTTCCCTTCTAGTTTCTCTCCTTTAAACTGCCTCCCGGCTAAAGTGGGACACAGGCCCCTTCCAATGGGTGAAGCTCTTGCAGACCACAGTTGGGATCTGGCACCATCTAGTGGCGAGCAAGGAGCTGCCAGCTTAGCTTTTGAATAGCCAGGTACCAATCCAAGTTGTTAAGCAGTGAGCTCGAATACAAAGCTCAGGCATACGTGGGGGCTAAGGGATGTGCACACGGGACATAGCGTGCGGACTGCACACACTGAAGACTCGGAAGGGTGGGAGGGTGTGGGGGAAGCGGATGATGAGAAATTCCTGAATACGTGCAAAGTACATTTTTTAGGTGATGGATACACTAAAAGCCCAGACTTCACCACTATCGAAGATATCCCTGTAACAAAATAGCATTGTGCCCCTGAAATTTATACAAATAAAAAATTAATACAAAGATCAGAAAACAAAAGCAGCAACAACTACAGACACCGCACGCATGTGCGTCCTGCTCACGGGAACGGGTCCGTGGTTTTGTCCTGTACAGGTTCTCGGGAGGACAGTGTCACTGCCCAGCAGCCAGGCCCCATCAGGCTGGAGGTCTTCAGTTCTATCTCTGGCCCTGCTTTAGAAGACGAGCTGTGAGCAGGGTGTCCTGGTTTCACTCAGGGGTGATTGGTGCCATCCTCCACCTTCCCGGTTTCTGCTCCTGCCTACTGCCTGCTGTGAGAACAGAACTCAATTTTCCCATCGGCATGGAGAGCAACTCCCCAGCGCATGAGAGCCGCTCTCGGTCCGAGGTGCCTCAGCTGCGGGCGTCTCCCTGCCAGCAGGGCAGAGGATAGGGCTAGACTGTCCCCATCTCTCAGGTCCATCCTCTGAGGCTGAGTCAGTGCCCCTGCCGAGAGCCCAGAAGCTTCATTACTGTATCTGGCAGGTGGTTCGGAGACAGGTGGTGGCTGCACGTAGGGAGGAGCCCGTTGGGGAGGAAAAATGGCCCCGACTGGTAAATGTGGGTGTTTGGAGTATTGTTTGTTATCATCGATCTCACTCTCTGCCAGGGCACACACTTTGTGTCAGTGAGTCATTGTGTCAATATAAAAGATTACCCATGGTTGGGTAATTTATAAAGAAAAGAGGCTTCGTTGGCTCACAGATCTGCAGGCTCTACAGGAAGTGTGGCGCCAGCATCCGCCTGGCTTCTGGTGAGGCCTCAGGAAGCCTCCAATCATGGCGGAAGGCAAGCGGAGCTGGCGCTTCACATGGTGAGAGAGGGAGTAAGTGCGGGAGGGGTCCCTTTTAAACAGCCAGATGTCGCCTGAACTCAGAGTGACAACTCACTCACTATCACAAAGACGGCATCAAGCCACCCATGAGTGATCTGCCCCGACGACCGAAACACCTCTCCCCAAGCCTCACCTCCAACATTGGGGATCACATTTCAACATGAGGCTTGGAGGGGACACACATCTGTACCATGTCACACTTCCCCAATCTCACAGCCCAGGAATTTGGGTCAGTCCTTCCCATCGATCTATGACTGTCTTTTGCATGACTGGGGGCTTTCTGAGGAGAAAGGGATGTCCCCCCAACAAATGGCTTAGATGGAGCCGACACATGGTGGGGGAATCGGTTTTTGCTCCTCGCAAAAACAGGTATTTCTGCTTTCTCTTTGGGCACCCAAGGAAAGATATTTGCTGCAAACACAAACCAAAAAGACGGTGTCCAAGAGCTGCAGAGAAGGGGCATCACAGCACCCCAAGCCTTTGAGTCCTGTGGTGTTTGGGGATTTCAGAAGCCACAGACATGGAGAAAATGTCCCACATGACTCTCTTTCCAGTCATTCCTTTGCTTTCACAGGATGAGAAATAATGCTCCTGAATGCACATGGCAAGGTCTGAAGAAGGTCTTGGGAAGAAATGTGCTGTGGAATGTTATTAAAACGTGGTTTGAGCCCACGTCTCTATGGATATGCATAGTCCCACATATGAACATGATGCTTAGATCATTATTCTTGGGCTTACTATTAATAGTAAAGTGTGTCCATTTCCAGGTTGATCGAAGCTGGCAGAGGATAGAAGAGCTCTGTGGCCGAGTGAGCTGTTTCTGGAGCCAGATGAGTCTTTGGCAGAGCCTGAGGTCCCCTGCTACTACTGGGTGAGTCTCTCTGAGCCTTGGTTTTCTTATTTGCAAAATGTGAGACGGTAACAGTCCTTTTCCTGTGGCTTGTTGGAAAAATCAAGTGAAAGAGTGTATCATGTCTGGCACATCGTGTGCTAAATAAAGTTTGCAATTATTATCTGAAGACAATAGAACTCACTCAAAGAAGTCCCAGGAAATCAATGTAGATTTTTTTTTAACTTTAAGACCTGGATACATGTGCAGAATGTGCAGGTTTGTTACATAGGTATACATGTGCCATGGCGGTTTGCTGCACCCATCAACCCATCATCTAGGTTTTAAGCCCTGCATGCATTAGGTATTTGTCCCAGTGCTCTCTCTCTCGTTGTCCTCCAACCCTCAAGAGGCCCCAGTGTGTGATGAATCAAAACCACAGTGAGATATCATCTCATGTCAGTCAGAATAGCGATTATTAAAGTCAGGAAACAATAGATGCTGGCGAGGCTGTGGAGAAATAGGAACACTTTTACACTGTTGGTGGGAGTGTAAATTGGTTCAACCATTGTGGAAGTCAATGTGGTGATTCCTCAAGGATCTAGAACCAGAAATACCATTTGACCAGCAATGTCATTATTGGGTATATGCCCAATGTAAATTTTTAACAGGGAGGTTTTTTCGTCGAAAACTATCAACTTTAGGCTAAAAGCAAGAATTGTTTTATTTTTCTTTTTTTGGCTCAGTTTTTCATTAGAAAAGAAACCTCCCCAAATGTAAGGAAGCAAATGAATGAAAGGAAAATTACAACTGTGGGGAGTCATTACATTGGAAGGCCTCTCTTGGGACAGCGTGAAATAGAATTGCTCCATTGCTGCAGCCACGAAACCATTAGAGAATGCCCCTCCCGGGACCGGACAAACTGATGCAGGCTAATTTTCCATGGGTGATGTCTGCATAGCTGCGGGGATGGGTCCTATTGGCCTCTGAGGCCTGTGTTTAAGTGACTGCTGTCTTTCCACTTGGAAAATCCCATTTGAATATGGGAATCACGGCCATGGAATCCTTCACATCTCGTGATGGTCAGGCGCACTTCCTATTTCATTGCCCTGAAGTCCCAGCGGCAAAAGGCATTGACCTGTTGAAAACATGAAGGTCAGTCTGATATAACCAGAGCTTTTCTGAACCCCAGCCACTGGAAAACCTTGCTGGTACGATACCCATCCATTACCATTACTGGTACTACGGCTCCAGGAATGAACAGAATTTAGCCTTTGCATGGGCAACATGGCTCAAAGAGCCCTGGATTCAGGGTCAGAAAACCTGGTTTTAAATCCTGTTTTACAGACTGTGTGATCTGCAGAAAGTTCTTCTTTCTCACCTCCATGCATTTTTATATAAAATGGGGTAATAAAAATATCTAGGGGGTTACAAGTAAGGAAAAAAGGTATATGAAGTTTTGTTGTACAATGCTTATGTATATATGGATGCATAATGTATATATACATACATATATACACATTAAGCATTGTACAACTGATATAAAATATATTATGTCTGTCTCCAGAGGACAACGTAGGTCACTAGCAAGATGGGAGAACGTGATTCGGCCAGTCCAGCTAGCATTCATTTTCTCAAACAGATTTTAAAAACTGCTATTGCCTTCTGAGGCTTTAACTTCTTCATTCTAACAGAGTCTATTATTGTTAGGATGAAATAATTCTTCAATTATTGAACAATGACAAACCATTGCCTCCCACTAATCTACCTTTGTGGAGTTTCATCCATGCAACGAACAATTATTTACCAAACTCTTTTGTTTTTTTTTTTTTTTTTTTTTTTTGAGACGGAGTCTGGCTCTGTCACCCAGGCTGGAGTGCAGTGGCTCGATCTCAGCTCACTGCAAGCTCTGCCTCCTGAGTTCACGCCGTTCTCCTGCCTCAGCCTCCCAAGTAGCTGGGACTACAGGTGCCCGCCACCACACCCGGCTAATTTTTTGTAGTTTTAGTAGCGGTGGGGTTTCACTGTGTTAGCCAGGATGGTCTCGATCTCCTGACCTCGTGATCCGCCCGCCCAGGCCTCCTAAACTGCTGGGATTACAGGCGTGACCACAACTCCCGGCCTTACCAAACTCTTTCTTATGTGTTCCATGCCATGCTAGTTTATTATAAATCAGACACAGCCCCTGCTCTTGAGGGGCTTACTTGTTTAAGTCACTGAGCACACAGGCAAATCTCTTATGATGAATTGCCGTGAGCGCCAGGAGCAAAACAGAACACAGAATGGAGAAGACGCACTGAACTCCCGCCTCAGCCCTTTCTCCTGGTGGGCTTGTCCCCCTCCCCACTCAGCCACTCATGCTAGTGGTTAAAGCCTGATCTTATTACTGTAATAAATGCAATCGTTCCAAATCCCAATGTCCAATATCCCACTGTCAAGCTTCTTTCTCTCCAGCTCACTCCTGCTACCACCCTGCTTTCAACAATCCTTCAACATTTGGGGACCTGCAGTGGGTTGGCCTCAGCTCCTTTTCACTCTTCCTCACCCTTTGACTTCCTCCCTTCTGACTCGGCTTAAATCCCATAGCAGCCACTCAGGTTGCTGCTTCGAATTCCTCTCCAGTGCCCTGTAGCGCAGCAGTCAGGTCCCCACGTAAATGCACCCTCCACTCAGCACCTGCTTAACCCCACAAGGCTGGGGCACATTGCACAGCCATGGTGACCAGTTCCCCATAAGGTCTCGATCATTAAACCCCGGAGGCCCCTGAGCCAGCCCAGAAACCATGTTAGATGCTCCTGGTCCAGTCACTGCCCCCTCTCCCAGGACGTGCTCCTCAAACTGGTCTAGCACCTCCTCCACCATCATCCCACTCAGCTGACACCCTCGAATTTTGCTTCATTGAAAAAAGAAAACTGTAATTACTAGTCAGGGTTCTCCAGAAAAACAGATTTATTATGGGAATTGGTTCATATGGAGGCCCACGATTTGCGAGCTGAAAACACAGGAAAGCTGGTGGTATCATTTAGTCCAAGTCTGAAGGTCAGAGAAACAGGAGCTCCAGTGTTCAAGGAATGGAGCAGGTTGATGTCCCAGCTCAAGAAGAGAGAGGACTCCCCCTTCCTTTGATTTTTGTTCTATCCCTGCCCTCAGTGGATTGGATGCTCGTCCACATTGGTGAGAGTGGATGTTCTTTCCTGAGTCTCTAAATCTGAATGCCCATCTCCACTGCAAACGCCCACACAGACACACCCAGAAAGAAAGTTCTACCAGCTATCTGGACTCCCATAGCCCAGTCAAGTTGACCCAGAAAATGAACCATCCCATGGGAGCAATCCAAGAGGAACTTCCACACCACCATCCACTCCTTTGTTCCTCTTCCTGCATGTGTCTCACTGTGTTGGAGACAGAGTCTTGCTCTGTTGCCCAGGCTGGAGTGCAGTGGCACGATCTCAGCTCACTGCAACCTCTGCCTCCCGGGTTCAAGAAATTCTCGTGCCTCAGCCTCCCGAGTAGCTAGGATTACAGGCACCTGCTACCATGCCTGGCTGATTTTTGTATTTTTAGTAGAGACAGGGTTTCACCATGTTGGCCAGGCTGGTCTCAAACTCCTGACCTCAAGTGATCCAACCGCCTCGGCTTCCCAAAGTGCTGGGATTACAGGCGTGAGCCACCGTTCCCCGCCTACCTTCCTATGTTTAGAGGGACAGGGGGATAGAGGTTCCCCAGATTGGTCTCAAACTCCTGGGCTCATGTGATCCTCCCACCTTGGCTTCTCCACGTGCTGGGATTACACGTAAGAGCCAGTGCACCTGTTCTATCCAACTTCTTTCCTGCATCTGTGGATGACCTTTTTGTGCTGGCCACACCAAGCCCTCCCTGTGTGTGCTATCCCCTCTCATCTGCATAGGGGCACTGTGGAGCACTTTGCTCTTCCGCACCAATGCAGTACAGAAACCCTGCCTGAGCCCAGAGGAACCAGGAGAATGGACATCCATAGAATTACTAAGCAGCTCCTCATAGTTTTAAAATTTATCTCCTTAATTGAATTTTTGTGTTAAAATGAAGCCAATGAATAAACTTGGCAAATCTTTTGAAGACTTTTAGCAAATCAGTATGATAATTTAAGTGTTATTTTCAATGTTTTATACACCGTATTTAAATATATCATCTTTGAATTATGTCAAATTTGTTTACATATTTGAATAAATGTGTCTATATGATAGTACTAATCAGGTGGGCTAGGTATGTTATGGTGGCAAACAAAAAACTCCCCCAAAAAACACAAAATCTCAGGAATTAGGAAAAAAAAAGGGTTAGCGGGTGTGGTGGTGCATGTCTCTAGTTTCCAACTTCTCTGGAGGCTGAGGTGGGAGGATCACCTGAGCCTGGGAGGTCAAGGCTGCAGTGAGTCATGACTGTGCCACTGCACTCCAGCCTGGGCAACAGAGCAAGACTCTGTCTCAGAAAATGAACAAAAAAGGCTTTTTGATCTTTGTTTTTGTTGGTTTGCTACAGCTACCAGGCCAGAGGGGCTGGCAAGGTATCCCTAAGGATTATTACAACCTTTAGGGACCCACATTTAAGGAAGCCCATTGCAACATGTACTCCCAAGGTGGCTGTCCCAGGAAAAGGAAAGGTAGCAAAGACTCTCAAAACTGCCCCCAGAGGCAATGTGCAGCCTTGGCTTTCACATGCCATTGGTCAAAGCAAGTCCCATGGCCAGGCCTAACTTCAAAGGGGACAGAAAGTACAATAATTCCATGTAATATTTGTGAAAGGCCCTAATGGCATCATAATGAGAATGGATCCCATTACTAGCACTTTTATAAAACGTGTATCAACATTTTATGTTTTAGGGTGCAGATGCTCAAATCTTTGTTTTACATCCTGATTCTCCAATTTGCCAAATACTATCACCTTACTCTACCGTCTTTGTTAGGAACATTGCTAACACCATCTGCATAATTGGCACCCTTTCCTGGTATGGGAGAAGCACAGTTGACAGCCAGTGTTTTGGTGGCAAGAGGTGATTTGTGTGTGCATTTGGGTTCGGCAAGTGCTTCGTCCTAGGTGGGGAGGATTCCTGAGCACAGTCAAAAGATCAGCAAAGCGTGGCCGGGGAAATGCGGGGGACTTTGGAGAGGAGAGTGAGTGCAGGGTCTGTAGTGGGTAAAGGAACCCTTGAAAAGGTGTCTGGGAGATGAGGCACCCCAGAAGCAGCCTTAGGAGATGCTTGGGTGGGGTGGGGGAGTAGATAGGAGCACCAGGCTGGACAGAGCCCATTCCACGCCTGCTTCTGCCAACTGCCAGTCTGGGATGCTGGGTGAATCCCTCAGTTTTCTTTTTTTCTTTTTTATTTTTTTTGAGATGGAGTCTCGCACTGTCTCCCAGGCTGGAGTGCAGTGGTGTGATCTTGGCTCACTGCAAGCTCCGCCTCCCAGGTTCACGCCATTCTCCTGCCTCAGCCTCCCGAGTAGCTGGGACTACAGGCGCCCGCCACTACGCCGGGCTAATTTTTTGTATTTTTAGTAGAGACGAGGTTTCACTGTGTTAGCCAGATGGTCTTGATCTCCTGACCTCGTGATCCACCCACCTCAGCCTCCCAAAGTGCTGGGATTACAGGCATGAGCCACCGTCCCCGGCTGAATCCCTCAGTTTTCTAAAGTGCAGTTTTGTTATCTGTAAAATGGAAATAATAAGAGCAATGCAAGGATTAGATTGAGCTGATGCGCGTGATACCCTTAGCACAGCACCTGGCTCAATCAATGACAGCCACGATTGGATCAGATTCTGCTTGCTTACAGTCAGCCGTATAATTAACCCTCCTCCCTCCACTTGCCACCCTCCACCAAAAACCCAGAGCTAATATTAAGAAGCTTTGATAGTTCTAATCTGCTCTTCCCTTCCTCCAAGGGGATAAATAAGCTCTCCACTGGCTTTAAGCCAACAGCCACCCACACCTTGACCGCATGAAGTTTCTCCTTGTCTGCCTCCCCAAGCACGAAACAGGCACCATTTGATGTGTTTTCACTGTTCCAATTTTCCATTTTCCAGGCCAAGACGAATTGACAGAACTTCCAAAACACTTTGCAAAGACAGCGAGTGCACAAAGCTGCAGCTCACAGCCTTGTCCCGTGGCCGGGAGACAGGATGCATGCTGAGCTGCTGGGAGGAGGGACAGGAGGAAAAGTGCCTGCAGCTGCAGGAGCACCCACTTGAGATGCCTCCTGTGTTCAATCAAGTTCAGAGTAATTGCTTCCTCACTCCTCCTGGCAAAACTGTTCAACTTGGCACAGTGACAGCTCCTTGTAGAGTTTTTCCAGCTGATGTCATTCTTCCTAAGGTCTGCTAGGGTCCCAGCTAACACGACTGTGTTGCACTGGCATCCAGACCTCCACCAGGAGCAATTCAAAGGCCTATTTTTGTGAATATGTGGCAAAGATCCCAGGCTCCATGGAGGCCTTTTGCACTGGGGACATGGTGGAAAATTAAGCCCCAGAGGTAACTACCTACCTGAACGGCATGAGACCAGCTGATTAGATGACAGAATGGGCAGATCCGTGGAAGGGATTGAGTGAGCACTAACATCGAGCATTCTTATAAACTAAGTGAGACTGCAAGAGTCAGGGGCCACTGTGCACAATTGTGTGAGCTGTGTTTTGCAGCAGGTGTCTGGGGAGCTCAAATCCACCCACAAAGGGAAGCCTTTCTGACTTGTACAAAGGGCCATAAGTGGTGGCTCGAACCTGAGGCTCTACCATGCAGTGAGTGTGGAGATGTGGAGATGGGTACACAGGAATGGACAATCTAGAGAGGGGAAGAGACTAACATCCAGCAGCACGTTAACTGTGAAAGCAAACTAAATATGGCCTGAGAAGGACTCCATACTTCTATATTTGAGTCCTCGCGGATGGACTGTAACCTAGCTTAATAGGCGGACAAAATTGCAAACATAACCTGGTAGTATGCACCTCCAACAATAGCTAAGTCTTGGCCAACCCCAGTGGCCATACTCAACCAACCATACACTGCTGAGTGTTCAAATTAGGCATACGCCAAGCAGTAACCAATCCAGCTGTTTTATACTTCACTTCTAATTTCTGTACATCATTCCCCCCCCCCCACCTTTTTTTGTCTATAAATCTTCTCCACCTGGCTGTGCTGGAGTCTCTGTGAACCTGCTGTGATTCTGGGGGCTGCCCAATTCTCAAATCGATCATTGCTCAATTAAACTTTAAATTTAATTCAGCTGAAGTTTCTCTTGCATCAACTGCTATAGTATTTCAGTTTAGTTTCTTTCTCTTTTCTTGAAACTAATATGTACTTAGAGTCTAGTATGGCAAATGCCACGGTGGGCATTTTACTTATATAATCTGAAAACTGCTTATGAGCTCCCTGCAAGACAGATGCTAGCATCCGGCCCACTGTATGGAGGGGGAGACGGAGCCACGGATCCCTGACCAGAGGTAGGTGCTCAAGCAGCAGGCCTGCTCGACTTGAAATCACGGGTTTTCCTTCACATTGACTGCTCTGTCCTTCTTGAAGGACTGCTCAATGATGCATTTTATTTTCCACCTGCATTCATAGATATTATGTAAATTTTCAAAATAGTATCTTTCTGTGAAATGGCAAAAGCATGATGAAAAAGTACCTTGAAAGTGGCTAAGTCTTACAAATATGGCATTTTAAATAACATCATTAGACACTATTGCACAAAGTGCTATAGTTATCTCTCATTACGATGCAGTGAACAGGTCCTAAAGTTGCTTTTTCCCTTTTCTGCACAAGGACCAACTTGGAGATATTTGGGAAAGAAAAGAAAGAAAAAGATTTCTCTGACTAGCTTCTCCCGACACAGGCTAGCCACGTGTTATGCCATTAGTACCTGTGCTACATCCAGACAGAAGTCACTCTTGTGAAAAGAGGATTCGGTTTTTTAAAAAATGTGCTACTGATTCGGTGAGCAGAAGAATCTTGACGCTAATTGTCAAGTAGATTCTACTGTATCCAGTGTCTGGCACAAAACCCAACAGGGGTGCTTTAACTCAAGAATTCCTTTAGAAGGAGGCTAAAGAATTTGATGAGGGGCCAGGTGCAGTGGCTCACACCTGTAATCTCAGCACTTTGGGAGGACGAGGCGGAGGGTGGTGGCGGCGGGTGGGGGACGGGGATCACCTGATATCGGGAGTTCGAGACCAGCTTGGTCAACATGGTGAAACGCTTTCTCTACTAAAAATACAAAAATTAGGCAGGTGTGGTGCCATGAACCTGTAATCCCAGCTACTCAGGAGGCTGAGGCAGGAGAACTGCATGAACCTGGGAGGTGGAGATTGCAGTGAGCCAAGATCACACCACTGCACTCCAGCCTGGGTAGCAGAGTGAGACTCCATCTCAAAAAAAAAAAAAAAAGAATTTGAAGAGGATTAGTGAATCTGTCCTCTAAAAAGAAAAGTAGATATTGTTTAAAGGAAATTATGAAAATATTTACATGTGGCAAACTAATAATTGGATAGTAAATCATTTAAAAATCTCTTGCCTCTACTGTTTCTCCTACTATTCAAGGAGCAAGGAGTCTTTCTGTAGTCTCTGATTTCGCAGTTATTGCAGAAATGGCCAGGTGCGGTGGCTCACACGTGTAATTCCACCTGCTTGGGAGGCTGAGGTGGGAGAATCACTTGACCCAAGAGTTCAAGACCAGCTTAAGCAAGATAGTTAGATCCCAAGTTTCATAAAAAAAGAAAATAAAAATTATTGCCAAAATGCTACAAGATATTGCTTGAGCTTGGCTTTGAATATCAACAGCAAAGCCTAGAAAATGAACCACAGAGAACTGGCACCACGCCTTGGATTGCAGAGAAGAAGCGATGATATCGATGGCCTCACTGATACAGTGATGGGCTGGAGTGCGCTGGCTGAGGGAGGGGTCATTGGGTGATGATATCAACGCCGTCATCGGTACAGTGATGGGCTGGAGTGCGCTGGCTGAGGGAGGGGTCAGCGGGTGATGATATCAACGCCGTCATCGGTACAGTGATGGGCTGGAGTGCGCTGGCTGAGGGAGGGGGTCAGTGGGCGGAGGGCAGCATCTTGAGGGCTGGGGAGAAGATTAGCCAGAGTAGGAGAGTCAGAGAGACAGGAGAGGATGGGGGAGCTTGGACAGTGGAGGCCAGCTGTGCCAAGAGTGTGGTGAGCCTGGGCAGGGGCATTTGATGGCATCGTAAGAGGAACTATCTGGTCAGTGGTCCTGCGATGAAAAAGCTGTCTAGGGGCTGAGAGAGCTCTGAACATGACAAAGGAGATCAGTGTCCCGATCCTGAGCCCTGCCTAACTCCTGCAATTTTGGGCAGGTCGTGTCCCCTCCAGCTCCGTCAACCTTAAAAGCGGTGGGGGGGGGGGTTGGATTGGATGCCTCTGGGGTTTCTTCTAGATCATACCTATTCTGTGTCAACTGGAGGTCACTGGCTGTTTGGGGAGAGCCCTGAGGATGAAGGCCAAGGCAAGGGGTGGAGCTGGAATTGGTGAAGATGCAGGAAAGGGAGAGAAAGGTGGCTTTGGCTTGAGGAGGGTCCCAAGAGCCATTTCTTCCTGGTGGACCCTCAGAGATGTTTGGAGTCTTGGGGGAAGCATCTAGAAAGTGAGGTGGGGTAAACCACGGAGGAAGGGAGGGAGGACGCAGGGAGAGTCAAAGGTGCTCGGGCAGGGAGATGGGTGTTTGTGGGAGCAGGAGACAGTAGATGGGGAAGTGAATGAGAAATGTGGGGCGTTAACGGAGCTCCACTCGGATGGGTTCCATCTTCCCAGCTAAGCAGGAGTTTCAGGGAAAGCACAGAGGACACTGTGTGGGGCAAATGCCATGGGGGAACATGAGGAATTAAGGGCCAATGCATCAAGCATTTCCAGAAAAGCATAAAGAGCCCCACTCAGAATGAAGAGGGTGCATTTACACTGAAATTCATGTCCTGCCTTGCTGATTTTTCTCCTGGATCCTAGAAAATGGTTATTATTGAAGCATGAGGTTAAACTTGCCATCATGTCTCTGATTTATGAGTCACAATGTGGCCTGTTGTGATCTGGATGGGGTAGGGAGAGGCTCTGTTCCCATCAGCAATGGGTTGTGTCTCCTTGCTGTGGGGTGGGCCCGTCCAGCACACGGCCTATTTTACCTGTTTTGGGGACCTGCAATTCGCTTCAAATACCAAGAATCCATCCTCGTTTTACTGGATAGAATTGTCCAGGTTCCTGGTGCGTTGAACAAAGAATCGAACAAAATGCACAGAGCAATAAAAGAACAGATTAATGAAAGCATAGATTTATTGAAGACATTTCAGGGTGGGAGCGCACTCGAGCAAGTGCCTCAAGAGCCTCCTTAATTAGGGGTTTCTGTTGAGCTAAAGAAACTCAGCAACACCAGTCCGTGCCCTTTAGAGGCCTCCAATTGGCTACACCCCATGAAGGATTGGCCTGCGACCAATCAGAGGCTGAAGTGGCTTGTTATTATGTGAGTGAGGATGTAGCCTATAAACTGCACCTGCTGCTCTCCTGCTTCTATGAACTGGCTGCACCTGCTGAGCCCCGTTCCCTTAATTCCCTATTCTTCTGTCACACACTCCAGGAGTGCTCCTTACTTTGGGCTCATTATGACTAAAGAGGAGGAGCTGAGGCCTTGTTACCACTTCATTGCAGAGACAAAGGCATAAACAGTATTTACTAGGCATGTATTGAGTACATGTGATCTTCCAAGCACTGCTCTAAGTCCTGGGGTGCAACAGTTAGAATGTGTCGCCTCCAAAATTCAGATGTTGCCAATGGGATGGTGTTGAGAGGCGAGGCATTCAGAGGTGATTAGGCCGTGAGGGATGCTCCCTCGTGAGTGGGATTAAGGCCCTTTTAGAAGAGGCTTGGTCCAGCATGAGGACAGGCCCTCCTGTCCTCACCACCTGAGGACACAGTCTTCCTCCCCTCTGGAGGGTGCAGCCTCATTTGAGACCGAACCTGTTAGGGCCTTGATCGCGGACTTCCCAGCCTTAGCAATATATTTCTGTTCTTTATAAATTACCCAGTCTGTGGTATCCTGTTAGCACAACATAAAACAAACTCAGACTTGGGAATACAGTGGGGGGCAGGGTGGGTGAGGACCCTGGTCTCCAGGAGCTCACATTTTAGCAGATTTAACACCCGCTGCTATACGTGCTCAAATGCTAGTTCCTTTTGGAGCAGGAACACAGCTGAAAAGATGGGTTGATTTTCAGCGTGGAGGGCTCCGTCATCTACCTGGACTCTGGCCAGCTTTTCTGCTCCTCACTCCGAGATGAAGCTGTTTTCCATTTTGATTAGGCTCAGAGATTCCAGGCCCGATGCCTTTGATCTGTGTGCTCCTACATTCTGCTTGATCTTCTGAGGTGGGAGGGCAGAGTCTGAAGGCTCCATCCCCATTTGGAATATCCCGGTCATCTGAGGCCATGGCTGCTGGTCCTGAGTCATTATTTTTCCCTGAGGGAAGGAGACAGTTGTTCAGCTGCTCAACCCCTTTGCTCTGGCTTTGCCGTACCCTTTTCAGATGTTTCAGGAAAATAAAAAGATGCACCCTGGGAGGCGTTCCGCAGAGTAACCGCCAAAGACGGTAACTGTTAATAGCAGGAGACAGGGGCCGAGCGCGGTGGCTCATGCCTGTAATCCCAGCACTTTGGGAGGCCAAGGCAGGCAGATCACCTGAGGTCAGAAGTTCGAGACCAGCCTGGCCAACAGCATGGTGAAACCCCATCTCTACTTAAAAAAAAAAAAAAAAAAATTAGCCGGATGCGGTGGCACATGCCTATAGTCCCAGCTACTCAGGAGGCTGAGGCTGGGGAATCACTTGAATCTGGGAGGCGGAGGTTGCAGTGAGCTGAGATCACGCCACTGCACTCCAGCCTGGGTGACAGGGCAAAACTCCGTCTGAAAAAAAAAAGGAGACAGTGTGTCTTTGTCCACCCCGGCTGCTGTCACAAAGTGCCACAGACTGGGCGGCCCATAAACCACAGAAATTTCTCCATTCTGGAGGCTGGAAGTCCAAGATCCAGGCACTGGCAGATTCCGTGTCTGTGATGACCTGTCTCCTTAATGACAGATGGGATCTTCTCCCTGTGTCCTCTTCTCACTGTTAGCCCCCTTTATAAGGGCACTAATGCCACTGAGGAGGGCTCCACCCTCATGACTACACCACCTCCCCAGGCCCCACTTCCTGAGAGTAAACACTGGGAGTTAGGATTTCAGCAGATAAATCTGGGAGCACAAATATTCAGTCCTTCACATCGGGAAAGGTGGGGCAGGGCCACCTGGTTTGGAGGTCACCTTCCCAGCTTATAACAGGGGCTTTGGGGACTGGCTGGCAGTCAGCCCACCCAGGGGTGCCTGTTTGGAATCTCAGGTGATGAGTATATTTCCTTCATCTTGCAGGACCACAGCCATCCAGCCAGCTGGGATTTGGAGGCTGGGGGAGGCTTGAGCTAAGTCAGGGTCCTCTGGACTCATGTTTTCCTCTGACAGCACTGAGGGGCCCCCGCTCCTGGGCGGCCCACGCCTTCCTGCCTCTAGCATCAAGGCAGCTGCCCTCTGGAGCTCACCCCAGGGACCGGGGTTCCCAAGGCTGGAAGATACTTTTCGTAGTGTGGTGGCTGGAAATGTCCCAACTTGGGGCTGGAGGAGGCCCGCCAGTCCTGTCTGTCCTTTCCAGCAGCCCCGCAGAGGCTGAACCCCCTGGCAATGTGGCACTGCCACATGCCCCAGCACCCGGGATGTCAGGCGCCACCAAGGCAGGCTGCTGTGGTGCGGCACTGGTGAGTCAGAGCATTTGCTATGGTGCTGTCTGGGCATATTCTAGGAGCCTGCTTTGTATTCAGTGGGTATTTTCCTTGGCCTGTCACCAAAACACTTGCCTTGAGGTGGAGGAAAACCAACGTAACAATTCTCAGGAACAAGAGGGCAGCCGTTGGGGAGAATCTAGAGGCAAAATCCCAGGGCAAAGACCACAGGCTGAGTGAGAGCCCCCTGTCCATTCCCCTGGCCTTGCATCTGTGTCCTGCCCAGAGCCAGACACTCACCCGCATCCCTCAAGTCCTCTGCAGAGCCTCCTCCACCAGGAAGCCTTCCTTGTCCTCCATCTCCTAATCAACACTGTCCCCACAGGATGGGATGTGTGCTTCACGCCAGTGAGTAGGATGTGTTATTTGATTGGATTTTGTGTTTGTTAAGATGGTGCAGCCCACTTTTAAAGCAATTTGCTCCAGAAGTGCTGGGATGAATATTTCCTAAGCTCAGGGCATCATTTTGCTCTTTTAGGGTTTTAAAACAATTCTTTTTTATTTTTTTGAGACTGAGTCTTGCTGTGTCACCAAGGCTGGAGTGCAGTGGTGTGATCTTGGCTCACCGTATCCTCTGCCTCCCAGGTTCAAGTGATCCTCCTGCCTCAGCCTCCTGGGTAGCTGGGATTACAGGCAGGCACCACCATGCCCAGCTAATTTCTGTATTTTTAGTAGAGACAGGGTTTCACCATGTTGGCCAGGCTGGTCTCAAACTCCTGACCTCAGGTGGTCCACCTACCTCAGCCTCCCAATGTGCTGGGATTACAAGCGTGAGATACTGCGCCTGGCCTAATACTTTTTTTTAAAAGCATTTTTAGGGTCATAGCAAAATGGAGAGGAAGGTACAGAGAGTTCCCACAGACTCCCTGCACCCCCTGGAACCTCCCCCACCAGAGTGGTGCATTTGTTACAACTGATGAACATCCGTTGACCTGTCATCATGACCCAAGTCCAGTTTACCTTAGGGCTCAGTCTTGACGTTGTGCACTCTGTGGGTTTGGACAAATGTATAACGACATGGACCCAACATTACAGTATCATGCAGAGTAGTTTCACAGCCCTAAAAGTCCTGTGTTCATCCGTCCCTCCCCACTAAGCCCTGACAACCACTGGTCTTTTTTCTGTCTCCATAGCTTTGCCTTTTCCAGAGTGTCATAGAGTTGGAACCATACAGGAGACAGCCTTTTCGGACTGGCTTATTTCACTTAGTAACCTGCAGTGAGTTTCCTCCATGTCTTCTCATGGCTTGACAGTTCATTTCTTTTCGTACTGAATAATATCCCATTGTCTGGGTCGGGCGCGGTGGCTCACACCTGTAATCCTAGCACTTTGGGACACTGAGGCAGGAGGATCACTTGAGGTCAGGAGTTCGAGACCAGCCTGGCCAACATGGTGAACCCCCATCTCTAATAAAAATATAAAAATTGGCCGGGCGTGGTGGCAGACACCTGTAATCCCAGCTACTTGGGAGGCTGAGGCAGAAGAATTGCTTAAACCTGGGAGGTGCAGGTTGCAGGGAGCCGAGACCATGACATTGCATTCCAGCCTGGGCAACAAGAGTGAAACTCCATCTCAAAAACAAACAAAAACACAAATCCCATTGTCTGGATGTACCACAGTGTATTTATCCATTCACTGACTGAAGGGCACCTGAGTTGTTTCCAAGTTTTGGCAACTATGAGTAAAGCTGCCTCAGACATCTGTGTGCAGGTTTCTGTGTGGACCTAAATTTTCAACTCCTTTGGGTAAATATCAAGTAGCACCAGCTTGATCATATGGTGAGAGTAAGTTTAGTTTAGTGTCTGTGTGTGTTTAACAGATACCACGCGGGTGTGCAGTGGCTCTTCACAGGTACAATCATGGCACACTACAGCCTCAAACTCCTGGGCTCAAGTGATCCTCCTGCCTGAGCCTCCTGTGTGGCTTAGACTACAGGCATGCACCACTCCACCCTAGTTTTGCAAGAAACTGCCAAACTCTCTCCCTAAGCATCTGCACCATTTTATGTGCCTAGCAGCAATGAGTGAGAGTCCTGTTGCTCCACAGCCTCCCCAGCATCTGGTGTGGACAGCGTTCAGGGTTCTGGCCACTCTACTCGGTGTGCAGTGGTATCTCATGGCTTAGTTTGCATTTCCCTGATCACCTAGGACATTGACATCTTTCCATCAGCTTGTTTGCCACCCAGGGCACTTGTTCCCCAGACAATGACAGTGTCCTATGAGGCAGTCACTGGTATCTGAGCACCAGCCTTGTTCTCAGGATCCCTGAAGTTAGAGCATGGGCTTCTTGAGGACAGAAGCTTTTCTTTCCTGTCTGCTCCCACCGCCTGGGTTGATGGCCTTCCCTGAAGACTCTGGACACAGCCTGGTGAGTATGAGCCAAGTCCACTGTGTGATCATGGAGGCTGCGGTTAACTCTCTGAGCCTCAAGCTTCTCATCTGTGAAATGGGGAGAACAAGAGCACCTGCTTCATGGAGCAGTTTTGAGTGGTAAATGCTCATTAGCAGCATAGAGCCTGGCACATGAGAAATAACTTAGAAAAGGTTAGTTAACGGTGACAATGATTATTCAATTTGCTTTTGGAGGGATGACCAAATTCTATTAGTCCAGAGAAGAGCTGACTTTGGGCAGGACAGCCCATACCAGTCTTTGGTACCAAGAAACGTGAAGCCTGGCAACTAGGGTGCCTTCTTGCCTTGTTGTACTACGATTTTTTTTCCAAAGTAGATGGCTAGGAGCTTTTGGATGATGGGTAGAAAAGGTTAAAACCAACCAACTGGCCCATGGTGGCAGCCAAGCAGCCTTAAACCCCAAAGCCAGAATTCAGCTGGAAAAATACACAGTTCCAATGTAAGAATTAAATTTAGAGATGAAGACAAATTACCTAATTTTGGGACTTTACCCAGGAATCCAGCTCAAATAGCGGCAATGGGGTCAGCTGGTTAATAGAAGGCTGGTTCCTGTGTGGCTCTCTCACTTTCTCCATGCTAGCCAAGGCCAGCCTGGCCTGGCGTCTTTCCTCACACCATTAACACAGACAACTAATGAGATGTTGGAACAAGCCCAGAGAAAAAACTTGTTTAGAGCACTTCCTCTCCACTTCACCGGTACAAACATCTATTCTGGGTTTGGGCTATTTTCCAAGTTGGGTTATATGATGATAAACAACAGGTTATTTTGGCGAGTAAAATTTTAGCTGGGTACTTCGCAAAACAATTTTTAAAAAAATTTGAAGAAACTATTAAGTGGAAAAGTTAGAGGCATAAAGAATTGTCGGTGGTTCTAAAAGTGTTTTTCCCTAAGCTTCTTGTTTATTTCTTGATGTTGTGGAAAGACCTTCTTGGCCACGTTTTTCATGAGTTATCTGTGTTTCCCATAGATTTGGGGTCTAGACTCTCAATTATTTATCTTATTTGAAGGATAAAAGTGGAAAGTTCAAGAAATCGATAGTTAGCTGGCTTGAATTTGCTGAGAATTCAGAACAATGTTCACAACTAAAATTTGCAAAGTAAATCAACAGAATACAAAGAAGTAATTTAACCCAGAATGACAAAATGAAAGGATGGTTCCCATGTAACCTCATAAATTTCCTGCTTGATGCATCTCAAGTCTCTGATTTCTAATAAAATTCTCATGAGAACATAGTATTGCTCCATAAAAACTCCTGAACTCTCCCCATGAGAACGGGCTGGTTTATGAGGGTGCATGAGTTCAAGTCTGTGGTTTACTTATTAAAAATTTCTCAGTAAATATATCATGGTCCACTGGAGAGCACCCCTCAATTGTGGGGAGGCCATGTATCATTTCTGCCGTCCCTAAGTATGAAGAAAAACAAGAAGAAGCACGCCAGGAACTCTCTGAACCAGAAAAAAACGGGAACCTTTTATTTTTCTAAAGAAAATTCTAAGACTTTCTGTTTACCTTTGACCCAAAGAGACCTCATGGGAGTTTCACATTTGCTTTGCGAAAATCTGAGCATTCTTGCCAAAAGGGGTGACAGGCAGTCCTGTGAGGGGCTGCGAAAATCTGAGCATTCTTGCCAAAAGGGGTGACAGGCAGTCCTGTGAGGGGCTGCGAAAATCTGAGCATTCTTGCCAAAAGGGGTGACAGGCAGTCCTGTGAGGGGCGAAGGAAGCTTGTTTTGGTTCCTGCCGCTGTTGTGGGTCAAGCCCCTCCCGGGGAGCACACGGCAGAGCAAGGCTGCTCAGTGGGTGCTGGAAGCGCTTTTGAGGAAAGATGTAACTTACACGTAGTCACAAAGGCAGTAAACTCGTGGCTCGCTCACCTTTCCCCACATGCCTGCCAACCGGAAAAATAATGTTCACTCACGTTGTGCTTTTAATCTGGGCCAGTTACTGCTAGAAGCTTTGTGGGTGTCCCCTCACTCGATCCTGCACACAAGCTTATGGCACAGGCCATTGTTATCACCTTCATCTTAGAGAGAGGGAAACTTCACCCAGGAAAGTTAAGTAAGTTGCTGAAGTCACACACCTGGTCAGGGACAGAGCAGGTTGATTGCACCTTCATGCTGCTATACATCACAAGACTAGATCGGAGAGAGATGCCCCGCCAAGGAGGGTGGCCGGGAAACCTGGGAGCCCTTCTCATTTCAACCTACTCAGCCAGGGTCCTCTTCAGACAAACCCACAGGATTGGAGCAAACACGTGCAGAGCACCCGTCACGGGCTACACCTGTGCTGGTGTGTTCACGGGTGGGCCTCGCGGATACTCGCAGCAGCCCGTGGGAAGGGGATACTGGGCTATTGTGCAACTTTCTTCCACTGGGCTCAAGAGCTGGACCTCGTATTTCTAGCACTAGGTACAGGCCTTGATGCATGTAGTTTCACTGGATAAGAACAGGCTTTGGTCTGTGGCTGAGACAGCATAATTAACAATTTTAAAAATAGATTTTAATTTTTTAAAGAAGCTATAGGTTTAGACAAAATAGAGAGGAAGGTACAGAGATCTCCCATCTCTCCCGAGCCTCCCCTGTTATCGCCAGAGTGGTGCATTTGTCTTTTGTGTTTGTTGTTTTTTTGAGATGGACTCTTGCTCTGAGGCCCAGGCTGGAGTGCAGTGGGTGATCTCAGCTCACTGCAACCTCCACCTCTCGGGTTCAAGCGATTCTCCTGCCTCAGTCTCCAGAGTAGCTGGGATTACAGGCGCCTGCTATCACGACCGGCTAATTTTTTTTAATTTTTTAATTTTTTATTTTTTATTTTTAGTAGCGACGGGGTTTTGCCATGTTAGCCAAGCTGGTCTCGGACTCCTGTCCTCAGGTGATCTGCCCAACTCGGCCTCCCAAAGTGTTGGGATTACAGGCGTGAGCCACCGGGCCCGGCCCAGAGTGGTGCATTTGTTACAGTCCGTGAACCTGCACAGACCCATCACCATCACCCGGAGTCTATCGTTTCCATTACAGCTCACTCTGGGGTTGCACGTTCTATGGGTCTGACACATGTACCATGCCATCCATCCCTGGCTACATTGCCAGACAGGGGACTTTCACTGTCCTAAGAATCCTCTGTGCTCCAACTATTCACCCTCCCTCATCCCGAACCCCTGGCAGCCACTGCTCTTTTTCCTGTCTCCATAGCTCTGCCTTTTCTAGAATGTCATAAGTTGGAATATGCAGCCTTTTCAGATTGGCTTCTTTCACTTAGTAACATGCGTTTAAATTTCCTCCTTGTCTTTTCATGGCTTGAAGGCTCATTTCTTTTTAGCACTGAGTAACGTCCCAGTGTCTGAGAGGGGCACCTCACAGAAATGAAAAGCACTTTCTAGATCTATAGAATTTAGAGCTGAACATGGGCAGCCCTGGTGACCCGTTCCAGAACTCACTGTCCCTGAAGAGACACAGAAGGTGACCTTATTTTCCTTAATGACCACAGCACCTGGAGGCTGACGTGTCCGTCCCCACAGTAACCACCCGCCCGTGGATGAACAAGCAGAGAGCCCTGGACGCTTCGTCAATGCTCACTTCACCTTTAAGGGCACCTGCTGTTGCAAATGAAAAGCTGTCGTATTCCTTCTTACTGAAAGTTGGTAACTGCATCTGAACACCTAATTATCTTCATAAACCCCGACACACAGCGCTCTGACCAGGGCAGGCCGGCAACTTGCTGGGAAAATGCAAAATGTCCTGCACTGCTGAGCTTTTCACAAGCCCCTTGGTGGGGTCCTTACCGGCGTTTGTGCGTTTGAAAGCAACTGATTGAAAATCAGGCCTCCAAGCTTGTGCTTGAAAGGACGAGAGCACCAGCCTGGGTCCGCGAGGGAGGGCGCCAGTGCCACCTGGTGGCCGCGCCGGGGAGCCCAGGTTCCAGCCTGGGGGCGGCTCTAAGTTCAGGGTCAGTCCCATCATTCCACAGGGCTGAGAATTAGTGAGCTTGCAGCCCCAGCCGCTCCTGCAGCCAAGCCTGAACGTGAAATACGCTGAACTCCGTCACACGCCTATTTCGCTAGCTCACCGCAGAACGGCTTTATTATGAGAGTCAACAGGATGTCGGTGTGATGATGATGTCCACAAAGAACGGCTTTTTGCAATGTAGAATTACGGCTCAATGTTACCATGAATTAAGTGAGAGAAGGTGGCCGTGGAACATTTATTTCAAGACGAAGTCAAAACTAAGCCAGACTAAGCTTTTCGCTGACAGTCACTGAAAATAAATGACTACAAATCCTGAACGTTTTTGATAACCTTACGAAATTCACCTTAGGCTTTTGTCCACCTAACTCCATTATTCAGATTTGTCACATGACTCCCTACTGCTGGAGCAAAAAATATATGTGTATTGACCTCAAAACTCTTAAGACATTTGAGAATGGAACGTTGGGTCTGATGATCTAACTGGAACTTTATCATTCATTCTGCAAGGGCTGTTACTTAAAACAAACAAACAGGCCACTCACGGTGGCTCACGCCTGTAATCCCAGCACTTTGGAAGGCTGAGGCAGGCAGATCCACTTGAGGTCAGGAGTTCAAGGCCAGCCTGGCCAACGTGGTGAAACCCTGTATCTACTAAAAATACAAAAATTAACTGGGCGTGGTGGCACATGCCTGTAGTCCCAGCTACTCGGGAGGCTGAGGCATGAGAATCACGAACCCGGGAGGCAGAGGTTGCAGTGAGCCGAGATTATGTCACTGCACTCCACCCTGGGTGACAGAGCAAGACTCCATCTACAAAACAAACAAAAAGAACAAATGACAACAACAACAACAAAACTAACAACTAAGATTGATCCCTTTTTCTTCACTGTTCCTAGAAGTTCTAGGGGTAAGAGGGGAAGACAGGGATCTCACATTCCATGGATGACGTTGTTGCCCTTGGGAAGCCTCCAAGGTCACCAGATGAAGGCAAGATCTCCTTAGATGATTTTATGGCTTTGGCATAATTACTGTAAAACTATCAACAAAAGCAAGCTTGACCCTCCTCAGGGTGCAGTGTGCATTTGCCTTTGGGATGAACCAGGTGAGGCAGTATCGGGGAGGGAGGACGGGGTACAGGTGCCGCCCTTCTTCCCTGGTCCCAGTCAACAACAGACCCCTGACTGCAGACGATGACTCCATCCTCTCGGGAGGGACCTGGGGGACTCAGCTTGAGAAACCAGAAAAGCCAAAAGGAGGCTCCTACCACATGGGTGAGACAGCTCACATCCACTGCCTTTGTAGATATGCATGGGAATTCCATGACCTAGCCAGACGAATGATCATATCCCTGTTTTACAGAAAAGGAAACTGAGTCTCAGAAAGATTAGGTCATTTATCTTTGGTCACAGGATTAGCTGGAAAAAGAACCTGGAAGAGAACCCAGGTCTCACATCCCACGTCGCTTTCCACAGTTCTTTGCTTTGCCCTCAAAGGCACAGTGAGCCAAAAAAGTACATGTCTTCAGTACTTGGCCAAACTTCAGGTATAAGAAAAAAAAGAAACAACAACAACAAAGACGAAGAAAGAACAAATCTCCCTTCTTTTCTCTAAATGCTCTATCTTTTAAAGTAACTTAAAGACAAAGCATCCCTTTGAATCTAAGACTTTAGGGTCTGAAAGATATCCTTAATTGGTCTTGGTTGTTTGTCTTTTTGTTTGTTTGTGTTCCCTTATTTCAGTTTAAAGGGCACACTAAGAACAAAATTCCATATGGTTTATTCTGTTCCCAATCTCATCTTCCCCCTCTTTCCCTTCCCCAACCCCAGCCTTGCCAATTTGTAGACAAATCAGAAAAATCCCCAACGGGCTGAAAACCTGTCCATGGTTCACTCCAGCTGGAAAGAATTGCGTTCCACCAAGATTCAGATCCCATTTATAATGGAAACCCTGACAGGCAAAGTTGTAATTACGGTTGTGCCATAATGAATGTATCTGTGTGGTCAAAGTAGTGGATTTTTCCATGGTATTTTTCCATGGAAGATTTCCTCCCTGAGAGATGTTAACTTAAAATCTGGATGGTAGCTTTGACTTTAGAGTAGGATCACTCCTGGCATTGCTATAGCTTGAAGTTAACTATTATATAGACTTTGGTAGTCATGATTAGCAAGCGGGATGTTAGTCAAATTGATATTTTGCAGGACTGATGGCAGTTGGGGGGTTGGGGTTTGGTGGTGTAGGAGCTAACTTAGGTAAGCTTGTATTGCCTTTCAGATTTTTTTAACCAGGAAATACTGTCTTTCTTTTCTGACATGATGTCTAATACGAAAGTAGAAAGGCTGAATATGGCTAACTGGTATTAGGGTGACCAACCATCCCAACTGGCCTGGGACCATCCAGTTTTGGCACTAAAATCTCATAAGCCAGGAAATCCCTCCATCCTGGGGAAGGCAGGACAGTTGGCCATCCCACATCCTATGGAAAATAGAATCAAAGTTAGGAGGACAGCCGAGTATTATGTTGGTGTGAAAGTAATTGTGGTTTTTGCTGTTATAACAGTCCGTGTTAAAGAGAGCAAGCGGACTTGAGTTTTCAAGTAAAATTCTTTCTTGGTGCTTCGAAAATCCTACTTAGTGTCAGCGGCATTAGCTTGAGAGCTGACTCAGGAAAGGGCTCAGAAGGAATGTGAAAATCCCTGCTTGGTATGGCAGAATGTCATATGGAAAACCAGACAAGTCATTGTTCTGCCCAACAATTTCATGGGTTAACCCATCCTCTGGCCATTTGGAGGCATGAAGAGAATGAGACATTTCACGGGTATCAGGCCCTCCCCAGAGGCTACTGCTGAGGGTTTTTCTTCTGCAAGCCCTACCTAATAGGCCCTTGGCTGTTCTTCCAAAACCTCTTCTCTATGCTGAAAAGGAAAGGGCGCAGGAAAGAAGGAATGTGGGGGCTGATTTGTGGAGCTCCAGCTTCCTGTCCAGGCCCCACATCCTGCCTCACTCAAGGGGCCTTGCCTTCTGGATCTTCTCCTTTTATGAAGCTCTCAGATTGCTCTGGTTGCCTTTCCAAGTACTGTGAAAATGGCCGACTTTTAGGAATTGGGGGACTGGGTGAGGTTAAAAGAAAGGAAGGAATACAGAATCAAAACGAAGGCAAGAATAGGGCAATGGCCAAAAACACCAGCTGATGAACTTGACAACTCTGTAGAGTGGCAGGAGAACATCTCTATCAATTTAAAAATGTAAGTCAAATAGATTTCTACAAACAGACCCTTCAGGACATACATATTGAATCTATTTGTGGATTTATAAATCCTGACCTTCAGGGTATGTATAGAATCCACTTCTGGATCTGGGCCTTCGGTGACTGTGTTGTGAGCCATTTCTGCGGCTGTAATTTCTATTGCTATGAGTTCCAGGGGCATAAGATGGAGGAAAAGGGCAGACATGGAGCTACTGACCTTGTGTGACAGAACATTCTCCCATCTCACCCACCGCCATGGAAGGAGTGTGCTTCCTGCCCCATGGGAGCTGGGCTTGTCGAGGCCATGCATGAGGCAGGATGGCAGAGTTTCCACTCGCCCCTCGGGGAACTTCCAACCTCTGCCTCCAGTCTGGCCACTGCCCCGAAGCCTGGGATGTGCGCAGAGGTGACTGGAGCCACAGCCCCATTAGATGACATGCAGACCCCAGTGGAAAATGCGTGCTCGCTGTTTTACGCCCATGAGCTTTTATGCTGTTCAATCTGCTGTTTATGCTGTTAATAGATCCATCTTTAAAAAGTGAACATAATTCAATTAGGAGGTGTAGCTGGTTCTTCTTCAGTCGCGCTGCTCCTATAGGATAACTGCAAAAGGGTCTCAAAATTATATTTTTTTTCTAGGCTTTCTTCTGTTGTCATAGGGAGACAGAAGATGTAAAATTTCCGTTCCTTCTTTTCTGCTTCTTAATAGAAGTGTCTAAAGGAGTTATGTTGCGTGCGCCTGCAAAGGGCACAGAAAGACAATCACCAGCAGTCCAGAATCCAAGTCCTAGATACATAAAATAGTTTTATTTTCATATGCATGAAGAGAGAGGAAACTGTGAGAAGTGGACACACAAATTTTAAAAGGCCACAGTTTGGGGGCCATTTGGTGCAGGGGCCAAGTGCTTGGCGGCGAGTAAGACAAGTCCCCGAGGCATCTCAGCACGGTAGCAGTGCCAGTTGTCTTCAGTTCTCCCCTCCAGACTGACTCTTTGCCCTGCCCCGGGCCATGGGAGCTGGTTTTTATAGACTGCCTGGAGACTCCACGTCTTTGGTTAGGTCTGGCCGATGCTGGTGGCCCTAGCAGAAGGGCAGGGCAGGTATCTTCTCCTGCCAGGTCCCTGGGGGTTGGCTGCAGTCCTTACCAACAGCACCGCCCAGACCCGGGGGACCAAGGGCGGCGAGCACTCTCTCTGGGGGTCGACAGCAGCCCCACGCCCGCCCTCAGGGATGCAGGCGGAGCGCTCTGCCATTCCTCCTGGGTTTCCTAACTCTACCCCACACTTTGTAAACAGCTCCTCTGAGCAGGAAAGAGAGAAGCGGCCATGTTCTGAGATGTCAGAGTTCTCCGCTACAGAGGACAGGGGAGGGAGTGAAAATGTTTCCACAAAGACCGGCCTACAAAATGGGTGTTCAGAAGCTTTGCTTCTGGAGGTAAAATCCTGAGTCATTCAGAAAAGCCTGGAAATCGAATTCCACGGTAAGAGTGCTTGCCATGAGCCATTTATCAAGCAGGGTCTCAAGGGGACAGAGAGTTGAACAAAATTTCCTGCCCTAAGGAGCTTATAATCGGTATGGAAACATTCATTGAAATCGAGCCTAATTTTCCACAGGTCCTGGATAGCAGAGGTTCCCTGCTTTTGGTGGAGACAGCGGTGCAGTGCAGTCTGTGGTGTAGGGCATAAGAGGGGTACCTGCACGGGACAAGAGGGGGGTGACGTGGACTTAAAAAATGAAGAGAGGCGACCTGGTAGCTGCCGCAGCAGACGGAGGATCAGTGCTCTGAGGGGAAATGCCATTGTGAAGCTGTGGGTGACGGCCACCTCCTGAGGAAGAGGCATCAGAGGAGGAGACAGAGACAGGAGAAGACTGCAGCCCAGGAGAACGGCCCACAAGTTCCCTGGTGTTTGCTTGAGGATGGATCTCCGCGGCACCAAGTCAGGGCAGCCACGGCGCACGAGTGGAGGGAGGAGTCCCTGAGGCGAGGAGCGATCTTTCAGGGCGCACAGTTTTATGGCGGGGGAGGCTGGAAAGGACCTAGTGGGGGTGGGGGATGCGGGGTGAGTGGATGGGACAAGAGTGAGTGCGGGGGGATGGAGGGTGAGAGGGTGAGGATGGGGGGTAAGTGGGTGGGAATGGGGGTGAGTGGGTGTGAAGGGTGGGGATGGAGGGTGGTTGGTTGGGAAAGAAGGGCGAGTCTGGTGGAAATGGAGGGTGAATCTGGTGGAAATACGGGGAGAATCTGCGTCCTGCTCACTGTGGACTTGGAGAGTTCTCCCACGAGTATGGCTTTGCCTCCCATACTCCCTGCGTCAGGGAAAGGAGGAGGTCGTACCTCTGTCGGGACAGACGTGGTGACTCAAGCGGGAGCTTCTCACGCACTGGACGTGGCACAGCCTGGGCAGCGCCGGCCCCTGTCCTTCCTGCGGACCTGTGAGGAGCATCCGGCTATCTGCACTGGCTCAGCCTCGCCCCCGGGCAGGTGGGTCACGGTTGTGTGACCTTGGGCTTCTGTGATAGACATGGCTGTTTCCGCTGTCTCCGGACATCAGTGTACGCTGTGGACAAATGCAGCCGGTCTACGTGAGGTCCGCTCTGCACTAAGGACGGGATGGGCTGAAATGCAAACTCGGGTCCAGACATAGCTGGAATATGAGTGACCCGCCGCTGGGACTCAGGAAAAGCTACTGTTTTGGTTGTGATCCAATAGATAATATTTAGGCTACCAAACATCTATAAAACTACCACTAATATGATGAAGAAAAGAGCAGTCCCGGAACTCTGGGACCTGGTCCGATGCTTAAGGCCGGCCCTGGTGTTCTCCTGTTGGCCACAAAGCTTCTCACAGGACACCTCTGTGAGAAGCCTCTGACGTGGCCACTGGAGACCGTGACACAGCAAGACCAAAGGTCACCATGCAACCACAAAACACCAGGCTCCCCCTTTCCCACTAAGTGAGTGATGACTGCTTCTTTACCCATGGCAGCTTTATGCTTGCTCGACTCCCTCCCTACAGATGCAACTGACTGCAATACCGGGTCACAGCATTGCCCCCAAACCTGAGTAGACCCGGCTTCCCTAGACTCACCCAGATTCACCCAGCAAAGCCCAAATCCTGTAACTCCTTTCCAATCTCCTTTCACTGAGCGGCCCCGCAGTCCCCCACGGTGTGCGTGCTTCTTTGCCGAGAAGAGTCATAAACCCAACTGGTTCAGTTACAGGGGGTTCCTGGTGGTCTTTGTCTGAAGGGCATTAGCACAGCTGTCTCCAGATGTCATGGTCGTGCTCTATGGGCCCAGCCATAAAGATCCAGATGGGGGCTAGTGAGGCCCAAAGCACCATCCAGTCCCTTCTCCCCAAGACAGCAGTCAGTATTCAGTCCTGGGAGCTGGTGACAAGGAGAAGGCCCTTCTTCCATCCCCACTGAGGTCCTCTGTGTCCTTCCACAGGCAGAGGCATGAGTTCTCCTGGGGTGAAGCGTCATGGATACTCAAGGCTGGTTATTGTGGATAATTGCAAAACCTGACCCATAGAGGCTCCACGAGAGCAGGGAGCCGACATGCTCGTCTTCAGGTCTCCCGATGCACTGGTTTTCATTCTCTGGTTCTTCCTTTCTTCTCAATAGTGAAAGTGGGCTGGGCACAGTGGCTCATGACTGCAATCCCAGCACATTGGGAGGCTGAGGTGGGTGGATCACCTGAGGTCAGGAGTTCGAGACCAGCCTGGCCAAAATGATGAAACGCCATCTCTACCAAAAAACAAACAAACAAAAACAAAAAACAAAAAAAAAAATGGAAAATGTCCTGGAACAGACTTGAAGTCTCCAGCTGCTGTGGCTGTGGCTCCTTGCTGCCCATGCGCAGCCACTGAAGCTCCAGGTCAGGACCTGGAAAGTCACTTTCAGCTGCATCTTCTAGTCCTCGAGGTTCCTTCTTAGTCATTTCACTAAGGGGCTGTTCTGGCTTTATGCACTTGTCTGCAGGGACAGCCTTGTCCACCTTTGGGTAACTCTGTCTTAAAGAACCTGTCTGGAGCCCTAAGGAGTTTCTTCATGGCTCATAAGAAACTGCAGGAAGAAAATAGAATCTCTCGCTACAGAACAGTGTCAGGTCCCTGAAGATGACAATCATGTCCTTGTTAAGCTGACCTTCTGTGGGTTCCTGCAGCCGTCTCAGAGGGGACTCCATAAAGCTCTCACCTGCTTCTCCCACTGACGCCGTGAGCACCTGTCACATTTCTTCTGTGTAGCTCTGTGATCCTAATGACTAGCATTTGATAGGTGCTCAGCAGGCATTTTTGAATTAAGTGTCCATTTATTAGTCTTCTCTAATAAATATAATGTATATTTTCTGATCCTTTTCATCACCGGGCAATATGCTTTCTGGAGGCATGAAGTGAGGAAGCCATCTGAGAAGCCGATGTTGGTCCACAGGGCCTCGAACAGCAAGTACATGCCTTGATTTCTGCATACTCAGTGCCTGTCATACTCAACTAATATTCCTTAAATGAATGAATGAATGAAGAGTATTTCTAGCTTTCCAGGCTATTCAAGGGCTAGAAAGTTTGAAAAGAATGAGCAAATTCCCCATATCCCACCCTTACTTTTACCCCATAACACAAATGCCGTTGATCCAGGATATGCACTCAAGCTGAAATTCATGCCCACAGCCCCGCTCGTTAGTGAATTCATGCTGTTGAATGCTCTAACGCCTACTTTTGCTGGACACTCTGCTGGACCTTGGAGTTAGCCCAGAAGGAGGACTGCAACCCTTAATTAGCCTTCAGGGAGGCAGGGCTTCAAGTTTAGGAAGAGGTCACCAGAGGGCAAAGGGCAGTGGAGTACAACCTGGGGACAGAGGGTAGGTCTGGGAGAGCTGGAGCTGGGGAGGGCCCAGGAAGGCACCAAGAGGAGATGTTTGAGTGGAGTCTTGGAGGACAAATGGGGAGGGCTGGTGAGGACTCAGGGAAGTGCTCATGCTCTCACCTGGCTGGGCGAGAGACTGCATGGAGGAAGGACTGAGATGCTGGGATAGCACAGTGAATGGAACTATGAATGATTTTGTTCTATTAACAAGCTTTTTTTTTTAGATAGAGTCTTGCTCTGTCGCCCAGGCTGGAGTGCCATGGTACGATCTCAGCTCACTGCAACCTCTGCCTCCCAGTTCAACTGATTCTCGTGCCTCAGCCTCTCGAGCAGCTGGGACTACAGGTGTGTGCCACCACACCAGGATAATTTATGTATTTTTAGTAGTGATGGGGTCTCACTACATTGCCCAGGCTGGTCTCGAACTTCTGGCCTCAAGTGATCTTCCCGCCTCAGCCTCTCAAAGTGCTGGGATTACCGGTGTGAGCCCCTGCATCCGACCCAAAGTCTCGTTATCTTCACCTGTTGTATGGAAAGTTTGTAGCCACTTGTCTGCATCCCCGATTGGCTTATGTGGCTGGCCAGGAGGATGCTGATGGTCTGAGAGCTTATTGCAGAAAGTGTCTGCAGGCGCCCTTAGTATGTGTCAGGCTGAGCTAAGTTATTCTACTATTCCTTTTTAGAGCTCTAATATTGTACCCTAATCCAAAAGTGTTTGGAGAGAATAAAAACTACCCATTCTGGCTGGGCACGGTGGCTCACGCCTGTAATCCCAGCACTTTGGGAGGCCGAGATGGGCAGATCGCTTGAGCTCAGGAGTTGGAGACCAGCCTGAGCCACCTGGCAAGAACCTGTCTCTACAAAAAATACAAAAAAGTAGCCAGGCACGGTGCCCACCTGCCAGTAGTCCCAGCTACTCGAGAGGCTGAGGTGAGAGGATTGCTTAAGCCCTGGAGGTTGAGGCTGCAGTGAGCCATGATCATGCCACTGCACTCCAGCCTGGGTGACAGAGAGGCCCTGTCTCAACAAATAAACAAATGAAATGAAACAAAACAAAACAAAAATACCCATCCCTAAATAGCATCCAGCTCTCTGTGTGCCTTTCTCTTTGATAGTTTATGACTAGACTTCCTTAATCAGCTACAAAGGAAGGCTTAAAGAAATTATGGAAATACCTAGCCACAAAGAACACTTTAGAGTGGAGGAGTCAGAGAGAAGGAGAGTGCGAGAGGAATGGACGTTTCCTCCCTTCTTTTTGGATGGGCTTAAATCATGGATAGTGTCTCACATTGAATGGAAGTGGGAACAAAGCTTGGACATAAAGGAGATGGGGTGGAAAGCAGCAGTGGGAGCTGGAAGGGAACTCTTGGCTGGCCAGCCTGCACAAAGGGGAGCAGCACATTTCACAGAAAAATACATTTATGCAGCTGGCCAGGAGGATGCTGATGGTCTGAGAGTGAATTGCAGAAAATGTGTGCATGTGCCCTTAGCATGGGTGAGGCTGAGCTAAGTGAGTCTACCCTTCCTTTTTAAAAGCTCTAATATTGTCCCCTAACCAAAAGATATGGGAATCTTAGAATGACATTTGCACTTTCAGTTATGTTAGTTATTACAAGCACACAGGCCTTACCTACTCCCAGAAAGCATGCAAATTATCTTACCAAGAGATTTCATAACATAATACAGTTAGAATATATTAAAATGAGATTCATAACCGCTAAATGTGAGGCAAAGCTAATTGTAACAAGAACCTCAAATAAAATAGGAATCTGGGTTTTACCTTTGTGTTTCCTAGAAGCCACAGCAAAAAGATAAAATAAGGGAACCTACAGCTCATAAAAGGTAGCAGACAATTTTGACTGGAATCTCTTTCTCCTCCTCTAAAGTATGTTAGAGTCTCTCCTATGCATGGGTGGGGTCTGTGATGTTTGCATTGGACCTGCAAAATCATCCAGCCCTGTTTCTTCATTTTTCAGGGATGCAGATGGAGATTCAGAGGTGACAGTGATGTGCCCAAGGACACAGGTGTCAGAAGTGGGATTTCCTTTCTCACGGTACCAAATGGCCAGCTTGGTTTGTCAGCCTGTTGTCTTATCCCACCATGACTGTGGTCAGATGAAAAAACTCGGCTCTTGCTTCATCTGTTCCCTGCAGCTGCAGTCCGTTTGGATAGACTCAGACTTAGGGGTGGACGTGAGGCAGGGCTCATGGGCAGTCCTCAGCTGTGGCAATGACACCCACACACCAACAGCTGCATGGTGACTTAGCTCCCTTTTGGGCTCCAGCGGCTCCTCTAGCTCTGAGATACTGAGGGTTCTTCCAGGGAAGCCTGCACTGGGGCAGAAGCCTCTACATGGGCCTGTGCCTAGGATGGGGCTAATGTCGGCCATGGTGTCGGGGAAGGGCGCCAAGCCCACTGGGTGGGGCGATGCAGGCTGGGCAGGGCTGCTCTTTCCCAGCCTCCTTCCAGAGTGGGCCGTTTGCAGAGTAGCTGGGCTGCCTTCTTGTTGTGAGGATGTGGCCACTTCTGCAGTGGCGCTGAAGTACAACGTGGAACTCTGCTGTCCTTCCCCTCCTCTCTGCTGCCCACCTGTCCCCTTCCCCTGTGTCCCAGAAACAGCGTCAGCTCCTTCCTTTGGGGTGCCCTCCCCCTGCGTGGCTGCTGGGTTCTGGGTAGGTGCTTCATCCTGCTGATCGCTGGCAAAAGATACGTAACTTGAGGTTTCCAATGGGTCGGCCTCTGCTTTAGGGACACCTTCAAACGCAGAGCTGTTCTCTAAGGTTGAGGGGTCACGGGATGAGGATGGGAGCTCTTGCTGGGCAGACAAGGCCTTTCTCTGCAGGTAGTCCTGTTGACTCAACCCCCATGCAGGTGGACAATAGGCAGGACTGTTATCTCCAAAGGCGGCATTGATCTTAGACACATTTCCTGTTTTTAGGGCAAGTTTCACCCACAGCCAGTGGTGATGACTGAGGAAAGAGTCCTCCACAGCAACCTGGGTCCCCAGCCCAGCCTCTGGGGGGACCTGCTCAGGGGTAGGGGGCTTCCCTAAAATGGTTGGTTCATAACTTGCCCCTTGGCATGAGCCTGAGCTCTCGGTTCTCTTCCCAGCTAGATCTGTGGCCCGGGGAGAATCTCTTCTCTCTGTTTTATCACCTCCTGCAATGCCACAGGACTTCCTTAGGCAGCCCTGCCAGATGTCTGTGGATTTTGGATGCAGCAGGCTGTAATAAATTACCAGTGAGACACTGCCTGAAAAAGAACAAAAAGACCACAAGGTTATGTTCTTTGAAGTCTGCATCCTCCCTCTGGTGTGCAGTTTCAGGTTCTGGCCCTTTTGCGTAGAGGAAGATAATTTGGGATCCAAAATAGGACTCTTGTTGGAGCCTCAGAACTGGATATTTCGGGGGAATTTAAGTAGGTTCCAGCTTCTGTAAGCTGTAAATGTTTCTAAAGTTAAACATGAATAACAAGGCTTAAATCCGATTGATTCTATGCTTTTGTCTTGAGGGCAGCTCCAGTTCAGTCATCTACGTGTGTGTGTGTGAGTCTGCATTCATGCATGTGTGTGTGCGTGTGTACACACAGGTACAAAATGTTTGGCAGAAATAAGCATTCTACTTTCAAGTAACTGGACCATACACTGCAAATTCGACTGTCAATACAGTGGTTGATGGGTTACAAAGCTGGGGGAAGGGAGGGCATTAAGAAATAACCTCAAAAACAAGTAAGACCTAAACAGAGGTTAATCAGATTCATCAAAAACCCCATATCAAGGAATTTCCATGAACAACAACAACACTTCCTTTGTGCATAAACATCTTAATCACATTGTTGTCAGTTTAATTTATTTTGATCAGAAGTGTTGACTGCTGCAATAATTTCTTTAACAGAGCATTCCAGTAAGCCTCCCACGTTATTTCCAGTTTCCTGTTGTACTGGATAAAGTGCCTGGTTTCAGGGTGCTCATTATAAACAGCACAAAACCTGAAGTAATGCCTGAGAAGGCCAGGAGATTGCAGCATGACAGAGCTAGAAAGACTGCCTGAAGGACATCCCCAGCCCCAAATCCTCTCTTGTGTCTTGGGGGACTGGGAGACCCAGATCAAGCAGCTGGTTAGTGGCCAGGCTCCAACCTTGGAAAGGGAGGTGGACTTTCTCCATGTTCAGTGCCACCTCTGCAGTAGGTCCTGCTCAGCCAGTTTCTGCACTGTTTTGAATTCTCACAATTGCCTGGTGAGGGACATATTGTCACCCTTCTTTTACAAGCAGCCACCCAAGGCCAGGAAAGATGAACAAAGGCCCCTGATCACAGAAGTCCTGGGCACACTTATTCAGTGAACACAATCTTTCCAGAGGCCATGTGGTTTGAGGGTTCTTGGTGGCATCCCCAGGCTGGCACGCAGTTGGTACTCAGTGAATATTGGTCCCAGGATGGAAGGAAAAGGGGAGGAGCCTGGATGCAAGCTTGTGCTCCTTGGACTACAATTTGGGTTCAATCTTCCTGCCTAGGATTCCCAAGGGTCGGCTGGGAGTCAGGGGTTTGGCAGCTCCATCAGAGGCCGGAGGAGGAGCGGCAGACAAGGCTCTGAGCCGGTGGCCACCTGGGTGCTGAGTGCTGCCCGTGGCTATGGGCTCCCTACTCACTGCCCGTGGCTATGGACTCCCTACTCACTGCCCTCCAGCTGTGCCGTGGGCCAGCATACTGGCTGTGAAAATGTCTTCTCACTGGAGTGGAACTGGAAGGAAACCAGGCATCCACTCTCAGGAGTGTGACAGGTTTTCGGAGTGGTGTAGGACATCTTTTCTGAGTCAGTGTTAAAATCCAGAAAGTAGATGAGGGGACATTTTCCCTCCCACCACACTGCCCCCAGGACTCAGCTATACCTCCCGTGAACTGGAAAATCCAGATGAGTTGTTAGACCTCCCGGCCGGCAAGGCCCCTTCATTCCAAGTATCACATGGCCCCTCCCTGAAGGAAGGATTGCTTGAAATATGCCAGGAACACCCAGACCACGATGCAATGTGGTGAGAGTGGTGCTTCTCACCCGGGCAGCGCGATGTCCTCAGTTTCCCATAGGCCATTTATCCACACACACAGCTTAGAAATCAATGCTCTGCGATTCAAATGATTATTTTAAAAAGGATGAACCAGATGCCCGTCCATGGGTCGACGATGAAACAAGCTGTGGTCCGTCCAAACCATGGGATGCGACTCAGCCATCAAAAGCAAGGAGCAACCCGGGAGGCTCTCCGGAGAGCTCTGCCAAGTGAACAAGACCGATCCCCAGGGTGCACACACTGTGTGGTACTTTCACAACGCATTCTCCAAGTGATAGAATAATAGAAACAGAGAACAGAATAATGGTTGCCAGGAGGGAAGGAGGTGGCAGGGGCGAGAGGAAGGGGGCCACATGAAGGGTCCTCGTGGTGATGGAAGGGTTCTCCCTGCACCTCGACGTACTACTTTGAGATCCTGGCTGTGATGTTGTGCCACCGTTTTGCGAGATATTACCACTGGGGGAAAACCTGGTAATGGGTACGGGGAGCTCTGTATTATTTCTTAAAACTACAATTATCTAAAAAGTTTGATTTGAAAAAGAAGGGGTTGTCTCAGCTACCTGAAGCTGGAAGAAGTGAGGACCCGTGACGTCTCATGAAGAAGAACAGAGCTGAAACCCAGGGTGGCCTGTGGCTCTCAAATGCTTGTTACGAAGCCACAGTGTGTGACATTTCTCTGACCCGTGAACAGCCCCTGCATCTCACTAAGTGTTTGTGTCCAGGTCATTCCTTTCCCAGGTCCAGGCCACTCACACAGGCCACATCCAACCCCCGGCTGCTGTGAGCAAGAAAAGAACCCGAGGCCACTTCCAGGCACCTCTTCAGGGTGTGGGTGACAGAGAGCAGGCTCTGGAGGGAGGGCAGGAGTTGTTGCAGAGGACTGGGGAATCTCTGTCCTGGCCCATGTTGCAGAAGCACGAGGCCCCACGTGAGAGGTGCAGGTGCTGGCTTTGACGGTCCCACCGCAGGCCTGAGAGTGACAGTGGTGGAAGCCTGCTGTGCTGGGAGAGGAGGCTGGTGTTCGCACCTTTCAAGTGGGGGGCGGAATCCCTGCGGAACTCATGCCAATCTGGGAAGCGAGGTCATCACCGTGGGTGTGACACAGACCTTGGGGCCATGCATTCATAAAACACGGCTGATGACAGTGCCAGGCCTGTGCTCAGGCCTGCACTGGAGCTGGGCTTGAATCTCAGCTCTATCTGTTACAAACCATTGGATCTTTCGGGGACTCAACCTCCTCTGTGCCTCACCTTCCTCTCCTCCTCTGCTAGGGCACCCACTTCCCGGGGTGCTTGTCTATGGGCTGCAGGGGGTGCCATGTCAGGAAGATGTGAGGAGCTCCCCTAGGTGGGAGGGGAGAGAGAAGTCACGTCCTCAACCCTGCAGGAAGCTCCGGGGAGGACGGGGGCTTTGGGGTAGAGAGGGATAGCCCCAGCTTTGCTTGAGGTTCCGAGCACAGTCAAGCAAGGCAGATGAGGCTGAGCTCAGTATCTCATGCTCTGATGGGCATGGCTCTGCCCCCCACATCGCAGTGAGCCTGGTTCCTTGGTCTCCAGTTAACCACATCTGAACTCAGTTTCCTACCCTTTGAGCCCATTGTAAAAAAAAAAAATACGTTGGGGAGGGGATGCAGAGAAGAAGGTGACATTGGGACTTACCAATCAGAAATCCAGACAGGACCCCAGCTATGGTCTGCAGGCTGGTCCACGATGCCCCCTGGAGAAAGTCGGTGGCCAACAGCAACAGGATGATGTTCTCCAACAGCATGACCTGCGGGACCCAGGACAGAGGCACCACACCTCGTCAGGTGCACACTGCCTAGGGACCCCCGTCCCGTGAGTCTGCAGCGGCTCCCCCTCCCCTCCATCCTGAGTGCCCACTGGAGACTCCAGGCTGCTGAGGACTACCCAGGAGCAGGGCTATGTCCCACTGAGACCTTCTCTGGCAAAGAGAGAGCCACCCTGTTCTCAGGGTGGCTCATTAAAGTGTCTGCAGAATCATAAAGGCCCAGGAAATGTAAGGGCATCCCTCAAATGGCTGTGGGGCTGCCTTTAGAGAGTCATTATGGGCTGAGAGGGGACTTTTATTTTCTACTTTGCATATTTCTCCATCCTCACACTAACTGCAGGCACTCATTAGTGTTAAAATGAAAGATAGCTGCAGAGCTCATGATGCCACTGAATTCCAGGGAGCTAGGGTCACAAACTTTCTAACAACTTTAGGATTTTGTTTCCTTAAAATAATTGCTTTGCGGCCACCAGGTGGCAGCCGGAGACGGGAGCTCGCAGGCTGACAAAGGAGCCTGGCCCCGTGGCTGCAGCTGGTCAAAATGGCAGATGGTCCAGAAGGCTCTTTGTACGCCCATCTGGGTCAGCTTATTAACTTTGCTTTCCAATTTTTAAATATAAAAAGATACGTCTTCATTAAAATAAGTAAACAAATGACATAATTCAAAGACGATATATTTAAATACTGTGTGTTTTATATTTAATATATATTTTAATTTATTTTTATTTAATTAAATAATTATTTAATTTAATTAAAAAATAATTTAATTTTATTTAATTAAAATATAATTAATATATATTTTAATATATTTAATATATATTTATATTAAATACTGTGTATTTTATTTATTTAAAAATAACACTTAAATTATATACTGATTTGCTAAAACTCTTCAAAAGATTTGCCAGGTTATTCATTGGCTTCGTTTTTCACTCTCAAAAATTCAAATAAGGAGAGAAATAAAAAAAATTATGAGGAGCTGCTTCGTAATCCTATGAACGTCCATTCTCCCAGTCCCTCTGTGTGCAATGGGCAGGGTTTCTGCCCTAAATGCCTTGGCCAGCAGCCAGTACAGAAGGCATCTTTCTCTCCCCACTCCTCAGCTGTGTGGTTCTGGTGGTTCAGATTCTTAAGTTTGTCCCAACTCCGTCACCTGCCTCCTGTCTTTCCCGCCATTTCCGTGGTTCTGGCCCCATGCCTCCTGTCTAGGCAACCCCTATCTTCATTCTCTCTCTGAAATCTCTCCTCCACACCAATGTCAGGGTGACCCACTTCACCCAGAGATTGCATCTTGCCATTCCTCCCCGATGCACCTTGAAACAGCCCCACCTTAACTTCAGGATCCAGTCCCTACTTCTCAACAGAGCAGATGGTCCTGTTTGCCACTTAGCGCAAGTTTTCCTTTCTGGGGTCATCTTCCAGCATGCTCTTCCCAAACGACATTCCACTGACAAACAGTCTTTCCTCAACCAAACTCCAGTCAGCCTTCTCTGAGCCTTCTTTTCCATGAGTCTTCAACCCTGGCCAACGAGAACTCCAGACTCAGCACATATGATTCCCCTTACCTCCCCACACCGAGAGACTTGAACAAACACTGACCGAGTTTCCAGCAGCTCAAGGCCTCACCCCTACGATGCTGACCTCAGTCTCCTTTAAGTTCCTGCCTAAGAAAGCGCAGTGCTGCCAGGAGAAGGTACTGTTTGTTCCAGCCAAAACTTGGTGCTGGGTGGATAGGACCCTGGACTTCCTTTCCGAGCAGTTCCTTTAGAAAGCTTGCAGTTGCAAATCATTTCGCTGCGCTCTGAGATATACATCCTCTATTACCCAGAACTGTCTCCTCAAGTACCCAAGAGCCATCTATTCAAATACAAACTCCAAGCCTGGTGGGTGCATTGCCCTAACAGGACTGACTCCTGCCTCCTGTCATAAAGAAATGAGAAATTTGTTTCTGCTCCCAGCAAGTGACAAGCGCCAATGAACAAACACAGATGGCACACTCATATTTACGATCCCACTTTCCTGCTTTTTGTAAATTTCCACTTCCCTGTCTCTGGCCAAGCCCCCGGATATTCCTCCTCCTTCCTCCCTTTTTCTCCCTTTTAAGCCCTGTCACCTCTGCACAACTTGAAGGTGGGTTCAGTTCATGCAGGGCTCTTCCCTATGGCGATACACTCAGTGCAATCTGTTTTCATTGCTTTTAACTAGCGCAGGGCTTTTTTTCCCTCGGACGCTGTGCGCACTCACTTTCCTGTGGATTTCCAGACACTCCAGGGTCTTTCCATTACTTCCGCAGCTTTGCCTGAAACGTTCTAGCGCCGTCCACACCTTTTCTTCAGGTGAACCTTGCTCACCACATAGCACATCGTGCAGGTCCCCTCTGTAAACCCTTCCCTGACTTTCCCAAGCTCTGCCTCTTGTTTCCTGTAGGGTTTTGATAGCGTCACTTCTCTGATCACAGTGGCTGCATGGATTTGCTTATGTCTTTGTGGCACTGAGACATGACCCTCTCACACTGTGGTGTCTAACTCCATTTTCAGCACAGGAGGAAGCTCAATGTGTGCTGATGTGAATAAACCCATAACGGGTGAAAGAAGTGAGACGGGGTCTTATATTACATTCAGAAGTGATCAACAGGCAGGCTTCCGCCTCTGAGCAGGAGGTGAGGACAGTTGAGTAGATCCTGAGCTAGGCCAGTCATAGTGTCACCTGTGGCTGTCTCCAGACATGGATTCCCAGGTTGCAGTCACACCTACTGAGACAGAATCTCTGAGGGGGAGCCTGGGAATCGCCACTTTATAAAAGCTCCCCTGAGTGCCACTGACAACCAGCAGGGCTGAGGCCCAGCTGCACTGGAGGCCCCCAGCCCCCAGCCCCTGCCAGACCGTTCCAGCAGAAACCTCTGAACCACTGCCAGGCGGTGGCCTGTTGGTTAAAGGCCCTACGAAAAAGTATAAAAATTAACCAGGTATGGTGGTATGCACCCGTGATCCCAGTGACTCGGGAGGCTGAGGTGGGAGGATCACTTGAGCCTAGAAAGTCGAGGCTGCAGTGAGCTGTGATCACACTGCTGCATTCCAGCCTGGGCAACAGGGCAAGCTCTGTCTCAGAAAAACAAAAGCAAATACAAAACACCTTATGTTCCTTCTTGAAGGGATGTGGGGGTGGTACACTCTCCAGTGGCCCAGGAATAGGCTCAACATAGCTGAGCGATGCTTGGGTTGGCCCTGGGCTACGCTGCCCAAGTCTGGGGCTTCCAGACAGGAATTGCAGCTTCTTCTGGGGCCCATCCAGGGCCTGGGGTCTGGCAGCCTCTTTCCTGTGTGAGCTGCTGTCTCGAGGGCTGGGGCTGCGTGGGTCCCGGCACCCTCCGCAGAAGGTAATGCTTTCGGATGGCAGCACGGGTCTGTGCCAGCAGGGTGCACATCTCAGGGAGTGGCGCCCCAGTCTGTCCACTGCACTGTGGCCTCAGGCTTCCAAGATCACAGTCTGGGCATTTCTAACCTGCCCAGAGGCACTGGTTTCAGGTGCTGGCCACTCAGCCACATTGGATCAATGGAGTTTAGCTGGGGGTGTTGAGGAACAGTGGGAGAGGCTGCCTCACACTCTGAATGGCCCGTGCCACGGAGCCAGGGCTGCCCAGCACTGCCTGGCACAGGGAGGGGCCCAGACTCAGGTCTGGGCAGTGTGCATGGTGAAGTGCGAGGTGAGCATGTCCACCTGTCATCTCCGCCTTTTCTTCAGTTTCATGGTTGCAGCCCCACCTCAGAATGTGACTGGCAGGCACTCTTGAAATGTCAGGAGTTTAATAGGTTATCCTCGGAGTTATGTGTTATTTCACCTCTTTATGGTGATATTGGCTATCTTTACCCTCCACTTCCTTCCTCTTCCCTACCTTCCTTTCCTTCCTTCCTTCCTTCCCTCCCTCCCTCCCTCCTTCCTTCCTTCCTTCCTCCTTTCCTTCTTTCTCTGCTCTCTTGCCCCCGATGTCTGTTTCATTTATTGTAAATTATTTATTTATCTTTCAGAGCATCTACATCTATCTACCTGTGCCAGGCACCAGGCTCTTGGCTTTCTATCCATCACCTTATCAATCCTAGCAACAACCATTTCAGAGATGCAAAAACTGGGTGTGGGGGCAGGGGGAGCCCCAGTGACTCTCATACAGTTCAGAACCGAAGGATCCTGGTATCAAGCCTTAGCTGGTCGGGCAGCAAGGCCTAAAGCCCATGTTCCCCATCACATGCTGTAGGGATCCAAGCCCCCGGGCTAGGACTGCCCGGCCTGGATGGGTCTGTGCACAGCGAGAGAGATAAGGACACTCGTGCCACTGTGGTAGATCTCACTCCAAATGTAATGGTGTCTGATTTCTGCTTTTCCTATTTAATCGCTCTTGACTCAGTGATCTAGTGACTGTATGAGATGGTTGGGAAGAATGAAGGATTTGCTTTCTTTCCTTCTCTAACAGCCCTCAAACTCCTGGGAGATGACACGGCAACTGACATGTGAGTGTGACAAATGCAAGCAAACAAGGTGGCAGGTGTCAAACTCCTCCTTATTGAGCTCCTGCTTATCTGGGCATTGGCAGGCGGGGTGTCCACCTATGAATAAGCCACTTCAGCAAATTGGATGAGAAAATCAATATTCCACTTTGTTCACTTGGGGATCATGTTGGTTGGGAGGCTGCTCATGCATGACCTGGGCCCTGCCACAAGTGAACCTATCTACAACACGCACGCTGTTATGCTCGGTGTTCAGATGTGGACGCTGAGGTTGGTGAGGCTCAGTAATGTGTCCAACATTGCAAGTCCTGTGAGCTCTGCCTGGCTCTATAGCCTGTGGGGTCACTGTGCTATATGGGTCCTAAAATCAGCAGGTGTCTAGGACGCTTCCCTTTCCTGGACAGGAGCTGCATCCTGCCTTTACCTTCACCCAGGTCTCTACCCTGGAATGCCTGACTCCTCCCACAGAAGTCTCACCTTTTCATATGAATAATGGCCACAATTTATGGGTTATTTTGTGCCAGCTACTTATGTATATTATTTTATTTGGTCTTTACAGGAACCCTGAAGAGTATGTAGATCTTATTTAATCTTCACAGGAACACTGAGAGGGGGGTGACTTATTCCTAGCGTGTGCATGAAAAAGTAGGTTCAGACAGTTTAAATTCTTGGCTGAAGCCAGCTGGTGGTAGCAGTCAGCAGAGCTGGGCTCCAGTGCAAGTTTTTTCTGACTCTAAAACCCATGCCCCACCAATGTGATTGTATTTTCTCTCCTTTGCCCATTATAATCCAGCTCAACCTCCACTGTCCTGCCAAAAGTGTCTGTGGTCATCCTGACGAGAGGTGATGCTGGCAGCTACTCCTATGAGTCCCAGACATTTTTTTCTCTCCTGGCATCTAGCTACGTTCTGTCTGATTTTGGTTATTTGGGTGTCTACTTACTTACCAAATATTATAAGTTCTTCAAATATGAAGAAATCTCTACGGGACTCAAAGCAATCTGAAGAAGTATTAGGCCACTTTTGTGTTTCTGATACTCTCTAGGGCCATGCCTGGATCTTATTTATAAACCCCTAATAAAAATGGAGTTGATTAACAGAGACATTGAGTATATGATATTATACAGTTGAACTGTAATGATATTCAGCAGGTGGGCTGATGTAGAGAAGACATCACCAAATATGCCTCAGTTGTTGCCACATTGAATGCAGGGCCACAGCTGGAGGTTGGGTTACTATTTTCAAAGCCTGTCATCTCTGTTCAAGACTATCATTTCTTTAAGAATTTTTCTTAAACTAAGCTATTCCTTTTCAATAGATAGGTGTGCATTGGTGCACACACACACACACCCCCCACACACACCCACACACACCCCACTTGCTGTATACACTGTAAAAGTTAGGATAAAGAAAAGTGCCACTTGCCATGTAGAACGTGACCATCCTATTTCTAGAAGGGCTGTCCCAGAAGCTGAGGTAGCAGAGGATGTACACGGCCCCCACGAGCAGGTTGAACAGCCTCCAGTGGCAGGTGCTGTCGATGATGTCACTCTGCTGGGCGACAAGCCAGAATGTCATCACCAGCCAGTGGGCACCTGCAGAGAAGCCGGGTGCAGACGTCAGGGTCCATGCAAGGAGATGGGGGGACAGGCAAGGACACAGAGACCAGGGGCTGGAAGGCTCTCCGACCACATTTGACTCAGCATCCAAGAAGAGATATCAAAACCCAGAAGAGATTTGAGGGGGACAGAATACCAACACAGTTTATCTTTGCATGTATTATCCCATTTTATCCTTATAAAGGGTATCTGACCTAATTTGAATATGACAGAAGAAAGAGTAGCTTCAATAACACTTGCCAAATATTGTATACCTATGACCTTTTTATTCCAGAAAGTGTTTAAAGGGGCAGTTATAAAACTGACTGCCAATTATTTTAAAATTGTTACAAGAGCAAAAAACCTCCACATGCAAAGGAAAGAACTCTATGTGGTGCAGCTTTAATTTTTATGCCCATATTTTAAGACGAATAAATCATTTTGGATTTCAAGCTGATTTTTTTTTAAAAAAAGAATAACAAAATAGCTAATCTCTCTTTAGAAGCACAGTTCTTTTTTTCAAAAAAATTATCTTTTTGGCCAATAACTGTATTCAATGTTTGCTCTAGGCCCAAGGGGCAAATATTTCTTAATGTCTCCAATTCTCTTAAAACAAGAGTAAACTGTTCCTTCTTGCAGAGTATATTCACTGATGACCAGAGATGACAGCTCTCCTCGGCAGGGACACACAGGCCCTATTCAGGGAATCTCCAGAGCCAGATAGACTCTCTGTCATTGCCATTCATATTGCGTGTGCCTAGACTGAGGGAGGAGGGAGGGCTTGGATTTAGTGGAGCTGTCCTTTTTGCAACAGAGGAGATGTCCAAGATTCAGCATTCAAAGGAAATGGTGCACTTTTGGAAGCTATGTGCAGTATGACATATAGACTGTATATTTTTATATCAGGTGAGGCAAGTGGGACCTTGTACCTCCCTCCTGTTTCAGTGACAGTTTTTCTACATAAAAGATTTTGGCCTGTAACACAGAACAGTCTCCTGAGAAGTTCTCTGCTCCAGATTTAGCTGGGAGTGTTGAGGGCTGGGATGTCTAAGCTATGGCAGAGTATCTCCCAAGACAGCCAGCACGCGTTCCTTCCTGCCCTGGATGTGTACTCATCGGGAGCTGCAGTCTAGTCCTCCATGCTCTTGAATCTGGGCTGGTTGTGCTTGCTTTGACTGGCAGAATACAGCAGAAGAAATGCTGAGCCAGTTCTGAGCCTGTTTTTATAGAAGACTAGCAGTTTCCAGTTCCTTGCCATTGCAATTCTCAGCTGCTAATTCCTGTCAAGGCTCTTTATGAATCTGAACATCTGCTACCCCATTGCCATCTCTGAGGCCACCCAAGCAAGATCCATTCAGCAGAGAGCCCAGTCAGCCTTCAGGCCTGGGATTGAGGATCATATGTGGTTATTCTTGAGACCTTCATTTCTGGGTTGATTGGTTATGCAGCAACAGATGACCAGATCATTAGCTCAGCTCACCTGCAACCACAAAAACCCAAAAGTGGTAGGCTTTGTAGAACAGAACCAGACTCAGCACGCGGGTTCCCAACATGCCCATCCTCCAGAGCTGCTGGCAGAAGAGGGCGGCCCATGGCATGGCCAGGTGGCCTGGCTTCATGAAGCCCATGAAGCGAGTGTAGGACACCAGTGCCCAGGAGAGTGAGGACCAGGAAAACAGGGTGCTCACCCCTGCAAGGGAAGCAGAAAGATGTGGTATGCTCTGAAGATTCCGAAGTAACAGTACCTTGTGAAGATTCACTCATGGCATTTCTTTAATGGGATGTGTAACCTCTTGTTAAAGCCTGGCTGCACAGAGAGTATTACTAACCCACCACTTTGACCAGTAGGTAACATAACAACTCTATGTCCAAATACACCTGTCTATATTCAGGAAGAAATGGGGATATGCAGGAAATATTTCCACTGCTCAATGTACTAAATGCTCTTCCCAGCAAATGGGCTGGACTCTTCCTTTCTACGCCCTTTAAGAAAAACGTCCCAGCTCCTGATCCTCTAAGTCCTCTGTATATAACAAAGCTGATTCTACAAGGCTCTGAACATGGTTCCACCCCAAATGTACTTTGCTGTTTTATCCATATGAAGGAGGTTTAATAAAAGAACGAAAACATCAAATGGTGTCAGGCTCTTTGATAAAGATGGATGGAAGGACAGTGCAGGCATATATGTGAAGCATTTAATTTGTGCATATGCAATTGTGGACACTCAGCAAAGAGGAAGGGAGAGATGAAGATGGAAGGGGAGAGGTGGGGAGGGAGAGAAGGGGGTGAAGGGGAGGGGAGAAAAGGGGATAGCAGGAGGGAGAGGGAGAGGGAAACAAGAAGCAACTGAGAGAAACAGGGAGAGACATAATGAGAATGTGAATGGCCTGAAATGAGTGGGAGCTGGAGACAAATGTTGCTGGGGCCTGAGTTGTTCTCAGTTTCCACATGGCTTTGAAGGTATAAGCCTCTGGCTTTGTTAAGAATTATTATTATTATTATTATTTTGAGACAGGGTCTCACTCTGTCACCTGGACTGGAATGCAGTGATGCAATCATGACTCACTGCAGCCTCAAACTCCTGGCCTCAAGTGATGCTACCACCTCAGCCTCTTGAATAGCTGGCACTGCAACTGCATGCCACCATGCCTGGCTAATTTTTGTATTTTTTGGTAGAGATGGGTTTTTGCCTGGCTGGTCTTGAGCTCCTGGGCTCAAGCAATCCACCCACCTCAGCTTCCCAAAGTGCTGGGACTACAGGTGTGAGACTTGTGCCCGGCCAAGAATTATTCTAATGATTAAAGACACAAGAAAAACATGTGCAGTGAGTTTATGGAGAGGCAGTCTTTCCAAGGCATTTTGAGGATAATTTTGATTATGGGCAATTTCTATCTTATGGGCTGACTTTAGAACATGACCCTTAAGAAAGAAGGGAGCCAACTCTCTGTAAACTCAATGCACCAGCAAAAGCCAGTTTTAAGCATCATCTGTGCCAGTGAGCTCAAGGTGCCCTAATGCTCCTAAGCAGAGGAAATCTCGAAGGGAGGGTTTTGCTAAACAGGCTCACATTCCTGTCCCCCTTCGGCAGTCAGACAGTCTGTGCTCTGTGGTGACAGTTACTCACCTGGCACAATATCTGTGAAGTCTGAGGCTAGAAAAACATATGTCTGAAGCAGCAGGTGGGGCCCAGTCTGCAGCAGGGCCTCCAAGAGTCGAAGGGCCGACAGGTCGGCCTCCTGCAGCTGCAGCCAGCCTCGGTGGGGAGCCTCCAGTTCCTTCTGCAGACTGGTCAGTGCAGCGTCCCAGTGCCTAGGGAACAGCAGAGGGCACGTGACACGGAGCCAGGCTGTGGCGAGATTCAATAGGACGAGCTTTCATTTAGAGACATACTACATGCTAAGCAATATCCTATGCCCTTACTAGTCACCTAGAGTTACTAGTTAGGCTGTTGCCAGCCTCTGACTGCAAGCAGAAGACGTCACTTCTATGTAAGTTCCCCGAGTCCTGTGGTGCTCAGCCAGGCCACACTCTCCCCACGTCTGGTACCCCAGTACCTGACCTGGGGGCTCTTTGAGCTGGAGCGGCTGCATGGCAAGGGAACCCAGACTGCCAGCTCTGTGAAGCTCGGCAATCACCCCGACCTGAGTCCCACCCCGGATCCTCTTGGGATGGGAATTCATTTATCGACAGATGTCTGTTGCAAGGTACTGTGTGTTATCATCTCTTTGAAGGACAAAAAGTAGAAAAAACCCTTGTCTTCATCCTCACAGAATGTAGAACTCTGTGCTGCGAAAACTGGGGCACATGAAGAGCAGACAGGGAAGAAGGATCTGGAGGCTTTGCTGGGGAGTGGCCAGAGGTCCAGGTGGCTGGAGCACCATGCGGAGCTTGGAGGCTGATGTGGTCCCGGTGAAGTAGATCAGGGCCCTGAACTTCAGGCTATGGGGTTTGGATTTTGCTCTGGAAAAATGAATTTGGCAGAGGTAATATGTACTGTCTGGGGTATGAGATGAATGTGTATGGATTTGTGTGTCTATGTATGTGTATGTGCATGTGCGTGTATATGGGTGAACACACATGTGGTGTACATGTGCTTGTGTGTGTGTGTATGTATCTGCATGTGCATGTATGCATGTGTGTGTGCAAGTGTGCAAAACATATGCATATGTATATAGGCATTATGTGCTTGCATATATATAGTGTGTATGTTTATATATGTGTGTGCATGAAGGTATATGTGTGTATATTCATGTATGTGTGCAGTGTGTATCTGTAGTGTGTGCAGTGTGAGTGTGTGTGTGTGCACGCATGTAGTGTGTGTGTATGAACAGGGGATAGGAACATCAGGAGGAAACAGAGCTAATAGAATACTTCCAGCAGTAATTGGTGAAGGGAGTCCTAGGAATGGAAAGTAGGGAGCAGGTGCAGGAAATAGTGGGGTTGGAGATCAGGATTTGATGACTGAACAGGGGAGATGAGGGAAGTTGCAGTGGCTTTGAGGTTTCAGGCCTAAATGACTTGGAAATGGTGGTGCTACCGACGGAAATAAGCCAGGTGAGGAGTGCTGGATTGGCCACGATATGAATTTCTTCAGCAGTGAGGAATGTGAGGATGGGTGGAGCCCCCATAAGGAGAGATCTGGATGACCAGTTGTGGTTGAGGGACTGGAAGTGGCCAGAAGAGACTGTGTGAAGACAGCATAGACCAAGGACAGCACCCTGGGGACTGTTCCCACTAAGGGGCCTGGATACGAAAGGGACACCAGCAAGGGTGGGTGGAAGCCGAGAACCAGGCAGCGGAGAGAGCTGCTGATCTCTGCACTGTGGATTACAGGATGGGGTGGCCCAGGGCCACGGGGACACATCTGCTCACCCAGCCTGGGTGGTCCTCCGAGGCTCTCGGAAAAGGAATCAAGCAACAAGAAAGAAGTCAGAACATGTCCTTGCTTCAGTCTGTTTCCCATGAGCCTATGCCAGGCACCTTTACTGGAAACTTCATCTCATAAGTAGAAAGTGGCACAGACCACCTTCCTTACAACCTGAAGATCCACATAGAACCCATGACCACGAAGCCACTCCCCACCACACCAGCGGGCTCTCAGGCTTCGAGTCTCACCTGGAGGTCAGATTTCGCCACCACCCACCAATTCCTCTCTGGGTCTACCTAGCAGCAGCAATAAGGAGATGACCACAGCCACCTGCACACGAGCCTGCTGCCCAGCAAACCCACTGGATTCTGCTTCCCTGTCTTGTTCAATTTAAGAACTAGAGGTCACTTCAATTTAGCAACTCCTGAAGCCAAGCTGGATGCATCTCGAAGGTCACCTGCAAAACTCGCTGTAGAGACCCCTAAGGCTCTGACTGGCAGGTGACAAGCTGGACCCTGATGGGTGGCAAACATTTCTATGTCCAGAGCAGAAGATTCGGGGACTCCTCTTTGAAATGGCTTTATTCATGGTGCTGAGATCCCAGGACAGATGTCTAAGAAAAACAACTTTCCTTTTTCATGATTTGGAATCCTGGAGTGAACCCATTTCTTACTGTGTCTTGATTCCTGACATAAACTTAATGTTAAGAAAAACATATGACACTAAAAAATGTAACCATGAGGGCAGGCAGTAGTTTTCTTTTCACTCTCAAATCATTTGTTCCTGACATGGGGTAGTTTCCTCTTCTTGCTCTTCCAGAAAGCTTTGTTTGTTCAACATGCATTTTTCTTGGGCTTTGAGAGGCCCACCTGCTACAGACCACAGGCGAAGTAAGAGAAATGAATCCCAGCTTTTTGGGAGGCCAAGGCAGGAGGATTGCTTGAGCTTGGGAGTTTGAGACCAGCCCTGGCAACATAATGAGACTCCATGTCTACAAAACAAAACAAAAAAAAGAGCTGGGATAGTGGTGGGTGCCTGTAGTCCCAGCTACTCAGGAGGCTGAGATGGGAGGATCACTTGAGCCCAGAAGTTCAAGGCTGCAAGTGAGCCATAATTATGCCACTGCACTCCAGCCTGGGTGACAGAGGCAGAAGACTCTCGTGAAAAAAAAGAAAAGGGGGGAAGTGAAATGAAAGATGTCTTTTAGAAACCTAAGATTCAGTGTGGAAAGAAAACATACAAATGCGAAAAGCTTCAAGAGGAAGAAATATAAGTATCAACATGAGTGGCTTGGGTAGTGGTGGAATCAGAGTCACAGGCAGAGAGAATAAGGTGGTCAGGGAATGCTTCCTGGAAGAGGAGGACAGGCAAACTCTGGACAGGTAGATGGTAGGAAGAGCCTAAAGGAGTGTCTGGGGTCAGTGGCACAGGGTACAAGGCACTGAAATGAAGGTCCATGTCTGGGAATAGCGAATATCTGGTGCTTGGTAAGGCGGGGGCCAGGAGAGGCTGAGTTGTGGGGCTACTCTTGTAAGAAACAGAGGACCAGTGGGAAGGTGACTAGCCCGGTTTTCTGAAACGAGCTGTCTCGAACCCATTGCAGAGGGAGAAATTCAGGCTGAGACCCCTGGACAGCCACTAGGGAAGCCGGGGAGGAAGCTGAGGCGGGATGGAGAGCGTGGGGATTTGGTCACTAGGTCCTATGAGATGGTGTCCGACATCTGTCCTCACAGTCGCTGCATCATTCCAGGTCCTTATCAGCACTTGCCTGGATTTCTGGCTGCCTGCATGGACCCCGTCCCTCCCAACTCTGTTGCATTTTATTGTCCCTGGTGCCATCTGTCTACAGGCTCATTTGCCCATATTATTCCTTTGCTCAAACCCTTCCAACAGGTCTCCAATGCCTGAGGATAAAATCCAAACTCCTTAATCCAGTAGAAAAGTTTCTTCATGGTCCAGCCCATTTATCTCCTGCCACATTCCTGCCATCTAGGAAATTCTTACCCTTTAGTCTCAAGAACCTCATCCTAATTTCCCATATACACCACTTCTGGCACGCATCTATGTCTTTGCACCAGCGGCTGCAGCTTGCTGTGTCGGAAACGCCTGTTCCCTCCCTACATTGATGGAAATCGCAACAGCCTTCAAGCCTCACTCGAGGGATCCTGAGGCAGGACTGGGCCCTCCAGGGCTAGGGCTATATTTTATATACTTTTAAATATTAAATCTCCACCCATTTATGCTGAACCTGTCTTACATACCTTTAGAGTTTACCTTAACTTTCCTTTTGACAACCTTGAACTTTCACTAAAGAAAAATTGCTAAACCAAGGTGCATGCTAAGGATGAGATAGGCCTTCTTCTGTCATCTCATGCTGCATTTACAAGTGGATTTGTGGGCTTAAAAAGAAAGATGAAAAAGATGTTGGTAACATACAGTATTAAAGTGTAAGTAAAAAACCTAAGTAGAAGAAAGTAATGGTCTTTGTTTAAATAAGTGGTCACCAATGTCAGGTTCTCTTGAACAGAGTCAGACTTAAAATGAACATAGTATGTATTATTGGGAACGTTAAAAAGAATACACTTATGGCTTAAATCCTTGCCTTTTTATATTTATTTATTTATTTGAGATTGAGTCTCATTCTGTTGCCTAGGTTGGAGTGCAGTGGCGTGATCTCAGCTCACTGTAACCTCTACTTCCCAGGTTCAAGCGATTCTCATGCTTCAGTCTCCTGAGTAGGTGGCATTACAGGTGTGCGTGACCACGCCTGGCTAATTTGTCTATTTTTAGTGGAGATGGGGTTTCAACAGTGTTGGCCAGGCTGGTTTAGAACTCCTGGCCTCAAGAGATCAGCCTGCCTCCACCTCCTAAAGCACTGAGATTACAGGTGTGAGCCGTCACGCCAGGCCAAATTCTTGCTTTTTTTTTTTTTTTTTTTTTTTTTTTTTTGAGACGGAGTCTCGCTCTGTCACCCAAGCTGGAGTCCAGTGATGCAATCTCGGCTCACTGCAAGTTCCGCCTAACGGGTTCATGCCATTCTCCTGCCTCAGCCTCCCAAGTAGCTGGGACTACAGGCGCCCGCCACCACGCCCGGCTAATTTTTTGTATTTTTAGTAGAGACGGGGTTTCACCGTGTTAGCCAGGATGGTCTGGATCTCCTGACCTCGTGATCCGCCTGCCTCGGCCTCTCAAAGTGCTGGGATTACAGGCGTGAGCCACCGCGCCAGGCCTCAATCCTTGCATTTTTATAAGCAACTTTGTGTTTTACTGGATTCTCAGTTAGCAGATTCTTTTGTATTTTGTGATGAGGACACTCAAAGTGACCTATTCTTAGGCAATTCAAAATTGTGCCAAACGCAATTGTTTTGGCTCCCCCTACAGGTCCTTTTCTAGAATTGCAATTTGGAAAGCTGGATTGCCTCACTAAAAATACTGCTTCACTCAGTGTTGTCTTTGAACCCTATGTGCTAGTTTCAGGATGAGGAATGGATCCACTGCTGTCTATTTTAACTTTCAAAGCTTTCCTCTATGGAAGTAAATTTCTGTTTTTTGGTTCATGTTTAACCTGAGAAACACTGCAAATCTTGCGGCCTTTATGCTTGCACTGGCTGTTATAAACCTTAGGGCCAAATTGTGACCCGCTTCCGATAGCTGTGCATTCTGGCTCTATCTTGTTTTCTAACATTTCATCTCGATACCTGGCCTTTCTCATTTCTTTTCTTTTCTTTTTTGTTCTTTTAAGGATGTGTATTTTTAAAGTCATCTTAACTTCTTTTTCAAAACAAGAATAAATATATATGACTAATGGTTTTTCCTAATTTATAATTTTCATGTATCTCTTCACTTATCTATATGATTTCACTAGTATATACCAGATTATTCAAGTTCGTTTTTTTATATACACCAGAAAATCATGGCATCACTTAAGAAAATTAAGAGTGCATGGGAAAGACAGTGTGGGGTCCACTGTGAAATACCAGCAGCATGAATTTGGACACACCGTGGTCCCCTGGCAGCCCTCATCTCTGAGGAAGGCAGTGGATTCCATGAGGCCTGAGGGTCCACACAGCCTCAGAAGGCAGATTTGTCTAACCGTTCATTACCCAGGAAGCTTCTCTAAGTGACCACCTGGGCTTACCTCTCTCTTTGGGCTGCCAAACATGGGCTCATGGTAGCTGACTCACTCAACAGGCCTCTGTCCTCGAGGGCTCATGCCTTACGACTGTGATGGTCAAAGCCAAGTAAGACCCAGAGCCCTTAAGGATTGATTACTGGGCTGGGCCGATCAGGGAAGGAGACGACAATGGCAGCTAGGGCACAGGAGAGGCTCTGACCCTACGAGGCCCTCCGAAAGATCCTTCTCTGCCTTCTCCGCCATGGAAGGAAGGGCCCTGTCTTTTCAGGGGAACGGCACTGCTTGAACACCAAGGCCGAGCTTTTGGCAAAATGCCTGTGGCTGCAAATATGCTTTCGGTGCTGTTAGAGGTTTAGGGTCCAACTCTGAGGGTCCAGTGAAACTGAGAGTGGGTGCTTGAAGTCTTTCTCAGAAGCACCCTCTACCTCCTAGCTGAGATTCTACTCTGGGCGGGACGGCACCATTCCCTGCTCACGATGATGCTCTATGTGGGGCTCATCACTCATTTCAGTGCCTCCGGAGAAAGTCTTGGGAATAGCTTGCAGGCATAAACCCCTAGGACACACAGCAGCATTGGCCACGACCCCTTGAACACCTTTCCAACCCTCAGTGCCTATGATTTAATGAACACTTGAGCTGCAGGGCTTCACCGCTCTGATCCCTGAATTTTTCTCCCTTAAAAAAAATCCTGTGGCCAGGCGCAGTGGCTCACGCCTGTAATCCCAGCACTTTGGGAGGCCAAGGTGGGCGGATCACGAGGTCAGGAGACCGAGACGATGCTGGCTAACCCAGTGAAACCCTGTTTCTACTAAAAATACAAAAAATTAGCCGGGCATGGTGGCACGTGCCTGTAGTCCCGCCTACTCAACAGGCTGAAGCAGGAGAATCGCTTGAACCCAGGAGGCGGAGGTTGCAGTGAGCCAAGATCACACCACTGCACTCCAGCCTGGGTGACAGAGTGAGACTCCATCTCAAAAAAAAAAAAAAAAAAAAAAAAACCTAACAACCCAATGGAATTATGAGGCAGCAGCTGCCAGCTGAAATGTGCCCTTGATATAAACTCACTGACACATCTCTTCTCATAGCTCCTTGAATCCAGGTTCTCAAAGTAGAAAAAAATCAGCCCTCACCTGTCGTGATGGTCTATGGATCACGGATAAGCCCACCAGGCCCCAGAACTATCCCTGGCTACTTCTTTAGAGAAAAAACTAGCCCTGGCATCCAAATGACTTTTTCCTGAGATGAAGTCTTGAAGCAAATGTCAACAGGCTGGCTTCATTGTCTAGTCTGTGGTTCACTAAACTATGCCACCTTCCTGTTCTAAGGTGACAGGTGTGCAGATGGAACTGCCTTAAGTAAGTTGCTTTATATGGAACTAACGGCTCAACCAACAAATCAAAACAGCAAGACAGGGCTTCATCTGAAGACAAGAAAAAGCCTTTCGTAAGGTCACAGCTTCACAGAGAAAGAGCCTCTGAGGTTGGAGATGCTCAAAAAAGTGCAGGCTGGACCCGGGCATGCCAATATCAGAGCAGGGGTTTGCTGTGGCCGCTTTGAACCTCTTCCCAATGCTGAACTTTTATGAGCTTGAGGACAGAATCCACATGGACAGAAGATTCCTCTCACTGCACTTGTGCAATTGTGCTCCAGAGGTGAAAGAGGCAGCTGTTCTTACCGCTTCCAAACACCAAGCTGTAGGAGGTGCAGCATCACCAAGGAGCAATGCCCTGGATGCCCGTCTGCTCGGAACCACAGGTAGCTCAGGGCCTGGACCAAGAACCCGGGCAGGAGGACAGCAAGGGCCAGCCACCCCCACAGAAGCCGTCCTGTGGTGAAGTAGTAAGCCACGGTGTAAAGGCCTGGGTGAGAAGGGGAAAGGCAAGCAGGTTGTTGGAAGGCTGGAGTGAGACTGGGTACCTGCATTTTAAACAACTGAACATTTTCTGGATGTTATGATGTTCTGACCTCTTAAAATCTTTCTGGCTGGGGAGTGACTGTCCCTCCCAAGGCTAGCAATTATTTCAGCTAGCAAAGGGCCCAGCCAGGAGCTTGCCTTTGACATGCGAACTAAATCTAGCCAGAGCCAGACCTCCCCTACCTGGCCCATACCCCCGCAGAAGGCAATCTTCTTTTGCCTTAATCATCCCAGGGCCCAGTGCCAGGAAACTAGGGACCACCCTTATACCCCAAAGCCACAGAAATTATTCAAAGGGCTAATCTGAAGCTGGTGCTCTGCCCTAGCAAAGCGTCTGGCCTCAACTTCCCCTGGTTCCTGTCTCCTGCCTCCTGACCACCCTGGTGACATTCCCCTGTGGCCCGGCATGGTGTGCCATGTCTCCTGTCCTAGGACCTGTGAGTACAGCAAACTTTGCTTTCCAGAGACTCTCCTGTGTCTCATCTTGTGGCCACACCTAATTATCTCATTAAAAACAAAACCAAAGCACTTTGGGAGGCCGAGGTGGGCAGATTGCTCGACGTCAGGAGTTCAAGACCAGTCTGGGCCTCTCTACTAAAAATACAAAAATGAGCAAGTTTGCTGGCTGCGTGCCTGTAATACCAGCTACTCGGGATGGATGAGGCACCAGAATGGCTTCAACTCAGGAGGCGGAGTTTGCAGTGAGTCGAGATTGGGCCACTGCATTCCAGCCTGGGCCACAGAGCAAGACTCTTGTCTCAAAACAAAACAAAACAGTAACCAACCAACACAGTGTCCCCATCACCAGCAAGAGTCTCCTAGGAGCAGGCTGGGAGCCAGTAGAGCCTCTGGCAACAGGGACAGGCTTTCACTAAATGACATTGTCAGGGCTTTCCAGAGCTGTTGGGCAATATACGACATGTGTGAAGCGCCTAGCATCTTGTGCATCCTCGAGAACGATGAAACCTCCTCTCTGGTTTGTTTGCTTGTTTGTTTTTGATGGTGGTTACGCAGTGGAGAGAGAATGTGCACTCCGCAGTCAGTAACTCCGCACTACGAAACCGTTAGTCCCTGTGGGGTCACAGCTCTCTCTGTGGGGTCCCTTTTCTCCTACTTTCACATGGGGAACTCCCTGGCCTGGAACTCTGGGCCTCCCCAATACTCCTAGCACGGCCTCCTGAGGGTTGTCTGAGGCTGATCTTGGAGGCGGTGCGCTGGTAGAGGCACCGCACACAGGCATCGTTTCACACAACTGTTACTTAGGTTTTCCAATAGTAAAGTTCTAGGTGGATGAATGAACACAAGCCGCGGATTTTAGGGAAACTGGGAAAACTGCCCTGAGGTACAGCTGCAGACGCTGCAGCTCTAGACCGCGGGGTCCGGGCTCAGGCAGCCCTTAGCGCCCAGGCTGGGTCCGGCTGTCACCACCCCGAGCGTCCTGCGGCAGCCTCCCTTGCACGAAAAGCCTTCGGTGCTGCAGGGCTGGGGAATGCTGACACCCAGTCCGTGCCCAGCTGGAGGGCAAGGGAGGACACCTGGGGTGGGTGCCGACCCCCGCAGGTCCTGTCTCAGCCCTTCCAGTCCGGGGCGCGGAGCCAGGGCGCTTGCGCGTCCTCCGTGTGCGTCCTGCTCGGCGCGCCTCGGAAGCAGCGGGACCTGCGGGGACGCCCGCGAACTCAGGGAAAAGTCCCAAGGCGGCGTTCCCAGGGTACCCCCTCTTCCACCCCAGGGACTCTGCCCGGGAAAAAGCTTCCGCAGGGAGCCCGGCGGAAGTGGGCGGAGACGCTCCTCCCGGCACTGAAGGAGTTACGCGTTCAAACCAGAAGGGCGCGAAAAATGGGGCCATCTTGCTCCGCCGCGGCTGGCGGGCTCTGGGTTCCCCCTGCGACGGAGGTGGCCCCGAAGGGCCGCGTCCCGCCCCGTCCTAAACCCCGAAGCGGAGTCGCCGTCCTACAGGGCCGCGTGGATGCGGAGCCCTGTCCCCCTCCCCCCGCCACCCCTTCTGCGAGCGGCCTCCAAGTCGCAGGGTCCCCCTGGACGGCCGGGGGTCGGGGGAGAGCCCGGGCGCCCCCAGACTTGCGCTCAGCACATCTTGGCATCGCAGCACTTTGCAAAGCTTGTGATGGAAGGAAGGGCGGATACATCTCCCCTGCTTCTGCGAGGGGATCTTGCATGCGTGGGGCGGGGGGATCGTGCATGGGCGGGAGGAAGTCAAGCACCAGTCGGGAGGGGGGGGACCGAGCATGGGTGGAGGAAAATCATGCATCCTTGGGGGGATGGTGCATGCGTGGGCATCTACTAAGGACGGGAGGACGTGCTCTGCAGGTGGGATGGCCACCACCGTGCGTCACCGGCGCGCAGTGCTGGGCGCAGGCTGGGGCAGTGCCCGCCCGGGCATAGGCAGCCTGTGCGGCTCCCGGCGCCGGGGTCGGGTTAGGGGCTGCAGGGGTGAGCACAGCCTCGGGCTGCCGCACTCACGCGCGCTCTGTTCGGCCGCCTGCAGCAGGGCCGAGAGCCCCAGGAGCCTCGCGTGCATCTTCCGTGCCGACCCCGCAGCCTGCGCCCGCCCCTTCCCCTGCACGCGGCCCCGCGTCGGGGAGGTTTCCGGCCCGGGGCCCGACTGCGGGTGGCATTTCTGGCTAAGCCGTTAGGCGCGAATTGTATGTCTGGTTTATTCGTAGTGGCCAGCAGGGGAGGGAGGGAGGATGCTTGGGGTTTCTGGCTTCCAGGGTGGGTGGGGACGAGGTGGTGGAGTCCAGCTCAGGTCCGGGCTCCTGATAAGGGCAGAAGCGGGTTCTGCGCTGCCCCCAACCCTGTAACCGCCAGGAAAGCGCTTGGTGAGCGTCGGGACTGCGCAGGTTCCTCGGGAGGTGGCTAAACTGGCCACCGCCTCTGGGGCCGCCTAAAGCAAGTCCGTTAACCACTAGTCAGGGAGGAATACTGTGTTTGAGTAAATATATGTAGAGTTGGGTTAGAATCATTGATTGGGTCTTTTTGAAATCTTACAGTTCTGTGGCCAGAAAACACAGGGCACGTTACCCGGTATCGTGGTCTACACCTCGCCCACAAATCCATCCCAGGCTGTATCCTCATGGAAGCTTTTTCCAGATGTGCTTGAGGGTTAAGATCGCAATGTGCAAGAAGAAAAACTGCACATTGGAAAACCTTCTCTTCGGAGATATCTATATCTATATTTATATATATTTACAGATATGGAGATATATACACACACGTATCTGAAAACATTCTGACGTTTTAAAAACGGTAAGACAGACTTTTATTCAGAACCATTTCCTTAGATGTAAGGGACTGCACTGAGGTTTTGCAGCAGGGGAGAGAGATTGGGGTCCGAAAATAATAAGGAAAAGTGGGGATTTATAGCCAAGGAGCAGTGTGGGGGACGGTGGATGGAAAGTCATTGAGAAGGGGACATCAAGTGGGGGTTCTGGCTTCCCTGACCTAACAGGATTCCTGCTGAGGGTGGGCCAAGTTGATCCACATCGGGGATGGGGGTGGGGTGGAGCAGGTGTTGGAATTTGGTCAGATATGGAGGGTATTCAGACACCTGAGGTGGGGAATTGGGATTAAACTGACTTAGCAGGATTCTTGCTAAAACTAGACTCTGCAGGAACAGAGGAAGGAATGCCCAGGTTGGGCCCAGTCGTGCAGAGAGCTCGGAGGAGGCTGTCCAGAGTCTGATCAGGGAGACATTCTTTGTCATTCATGTATATACCCATATATTGTAATAGGCTGTTCTTGTATGACTATAAAGAAATACCTGAGACTGGGTAATTTATCAGAAAAGAAGTTTGATTGGCTCACAGTTCTTCAGGATTTACAGGAAGCACGGTGCTGGCATCTGCTCAGTTTCTAGGAAGGCCTTGGGAGCTTATGCTCATAACGGAAGGTGAAAGGGGAGCAGGCACATCCCATGGCGAAAGCATGTTCAAATTAGCATAAGAAGAAAGAGAACTTGGCCAGGCATGATGTCTCATGCCTGTAATCCCAGCATTTTGAGAGGCCAAGGCAGGCGGATCACCTGAGGTCAGGAGTTTGAGACCAGCCTGGCCAACATGGCGAAACGCTGTCTCTACTAAAAATACAAAGATTAGCTGGGTGTGGTGGTGGACACCTGTAATCCCAGCTACTTGGGAGGCTGAGACAGGAGAACCGCTTGAACCTGGGAGGTGGAGGTTGCAGTTAGCCGAGATCGTACCATTGTACTCCAGCCTGGGTGACAGAGGGAGACTTCATCTCAAAAAAAAAAAAAAAAAAAAAGAGAGAGAGAGAGAGAGAATTTGAATAGTCCAGTGAGTGTTAGAGAAATTAAACTGGTAGTCAAAGACTATTCAGGTCTAGGTAGTTTTACAGATTAATTCTGCCAAAGTTTCAATGAACAGTTAACTGCTACCTAATATAATTTGCTCCAGGAAACAAAGACCGAACTTTACCCAGCTTATTTTAAAAGACTGCTGTAGTTTTGATTGTAAACAAAGATATACATAGAAAGAAAATTATTTTAATGACAAGCACAGATGCAAAAATCCTAGGTAAAATGATAAATTCAAAATATATTAAAATAGTATTATATGATAAGGTGGGTTTTACTATGAATTTTCACAACCCAGAAATCCTTTGATGTCACTCCATTATCATTTTGAACAAGAAAAATCCTTTTTTTTTCTTTCTTTCTTGAGGCAGTCTAGCTCTGACATGAGGCTGGAGTGAATAGGCGCAATCTTGGCTCACGGCAACCTCAACCTCCTGGGTTCAAGCCCTGTTCTCATGTCTCAGCCTCCCAAGTAGCTGGAATTGCAGGCGTGTGCTACCAGACTCAGCTAATTTTTGTATTTTTAGTACAGATGGGGTTTCTTCATGTTAGCCAGGCTGGTCTCGAACTCCTGAGCTGAAGTGATCTGCCTGCCTCGGCCTCCCCAAGTGCTAGGATTGAAATAATCAAATGATTTTTCTTGGTTGGGCACAGTGGCTCACAGATAAGAAGACAAGCATGCTCAGTATCACAACTACTGTTTAATATTGTGTTGGAGGGTATACCTAATGTATAAGGAAACTGAAGGAAATAAGATCATGTAACTAGCAGAAAGGAAGGGTGAGACACTCATCATCTACAGATGCTTCTCTACCTAGAACAATCAACCTTGTCAAGCTGATGAAATAGTTCAAAACGTGGCCGGGTGCGGTGGCTCACGCCTGTAATCCCAGCACTTTGGGAGGCCGAGGCGGGTGGATCATGAGGTCAGGAGATCGAGACCACCCTGGCTAACATGGTGAAACCCCATCTCTACTAAAAAAAAAAAAAAAAAAATAGCTGGGCGTGGTGGCAGGCACCTGTAGTCCCAGCTACTTGAGACGCTGAGGAAGGAGAAAGGTGTGAACCCAGCAGGCAGAGCTTGCAGTGAGCCGAGATCACGCCACTGCACTCCAGCCTGGGCAACAGAGCGAGACTCCGTCTCAAAAAAAAAAAAAAAAGGCCAAAAGGCCTTCTAATATAACTTACAAAAACCAATAGCATTTCTCTGTACACGTACTATACAAAACTGGAAAAATTAAGATAGTTGTAATAGTTAGAATGTCTATAAAGTGCTTAGGAATTGATTTAAAACATACATAAGATTTGTCTGGAGCACACCATAAAACTCTAATAAAGAATATAAGAAATGATCTGAGTAGATATATTCTTGTTTTTGATTCAAACAGCTTAATAAAATTGTCAATTCTTCCTTAATTAATCTATACATTCAGTGGAAACTTATTAAAAATTCCAAAATGATCTTTACGAAACTTGATAGACTTACTCTAAAATGTGAATGAAGAGAGGAGGTCCACAAATTAGCCGACTTTGTGAAGAAGGATAAAGAGGCATTTGTACCCTTCTAGATATTAATATATATCAAGAAAAAGTCATGTTTATAGAACGTTATGGTATTGGCACAGAACAGACAAAAAATCTATAGAATGCAGTGGAGAGCTCAGAAGCTGACCTACAAATACATAGAACTTAAAATATATGACCAATAGCGGCACCACAAATCAATGGAGAAATACAAATTGTTTAGTGAATGTGTGATAAAATGAGCTCATTAGATCCAAACAATAAAAGTAGATCTCCACCTAGCGCATGCCCACAGGTGGACGCCATGTAGAGTAAAGACCTACATATGAAAGATAAGACTTTAACAGAAAGAAGTACAAAAAATAGCAGAATATTTTTATGACTTAGTAATGGAGAAGGATGTCTTAAAAAACACCTCAAAACACAAACCACAAGGGAAAAATGGATTGCATTTTTTTGTGTGTAACAACTGAAGCCTTCTGTTTAGTGAAGGACCTTGTGGACATTAACGGACAGAAGTTAGATACAGTGGGAGAAGTGTTTTGCAATGTCTCAAACTGACAAGTCATTAATATATGAAATATACAAGTAACTCCTATATTTCAACAAAAACGAGGAGGCAGCAACCTCAGTAAAAAAGGGGAAAAGGCAATTTATGGAAGAGAAAAACCCGAAAAGGCCTAATTTACTGAAGAAAATGTTTCCAAACTGAAGATAATTTAAGTGATGCTTAAACCTATAAATATTTTAAAAAGTGCAAAGTGAATGACATCACTTTATTTATTTATTAGACAAGATCTTGCCCTGCCATCCAGACTGGAGTGCAATGGCGCGATCTCAGCTCACTGCAACCTCCACCTCCCGGGTTCAAGCGATTCTCCTGCCTCAGTCTTATGAGTAGCTGGGATTACAGGCACGTGCCACTGTGCCTGGGTAATTTTTTTATTTTTAGTAGAGACGGGGTTTCCCTATGTTGGCCAGGCTGGTCTTGAATTCCTGAGCTCAAGTGATCTGTCTGCCTCCGTCTCCCAAAGTGCTGGGATTACAGGCGTGATCCACCACTCCCGGCCTGACATCACATTACTTCTTTAGATTGGCAAAAATTACAAATTGGGTGATGCCTAGCCTCAGTAGCCACATAAGGTCCCAGGCTCCAGGGACCTCTGGCACTGCTGCTGTGATTAGAGCAGTTCAGGTTAAGTGTGGTACAGTCTGATTAAAAATCAGAAGCAGCGTCTTCATAATTAAGGCAATTCTTATTTTAATGTTGGGCATACATTTTCTAATCTTTATCTGTCTATCTTTTCTGTTACATTAATGAAATAAGAATGAGCCTTGAAGTTAATATTCTGCATTTTACACTCAATGTATCAGGAATACATTCAAATATTGGTATAGTACTTATTATTGTCAGCAAATCCTACGCAGCTGAAGATTTTATTTGTTTACCTATTTTTGTAGTGTTGATACCCCTGCAACAACCATTTGGGGAACACAGTTCCTCCACTGTCCTCTGCTGGAATGTTTACTTTTAGATAAATTTCCAGGAGTACGTTATGAGAAATGAGAGTAAACGGAATGTTTTGGCTCTATAAATTTGTAGCAATAGTTGAAGGAGTTGATGTGGAAGATACTGGTGTCTTCTGTGGTCGCTAACCCTGGGATGATCCACGAGCCAGTCGGGCCACCCACCTTCTTAAGCATCCCTCTTCTAGTGCGTAGGAGAAAGCCATGGTTGCCAAGGCTTTTCTTGCCCCCTCCTCCAAGCCATGTAAACTAATCGTCCCTCAAGCCCATCCGGACCCTGTAATGCCATGGCTTGTTTGCACCTGCATAGATAGCAGATCATGAGAGTGTGCACAGCGTATAATGCCTTCTCAGTGCGTGTTGGGTGTATGAATGAATAAGGGAATAAACAAGTAAGTGAATGAATGAAAGCAAGCAGTCAGGAAGCGCTGCAGCTCAGTCTAGTCTTTTCCCAGGGCAAACACCCAGTAGGTGGCGCTGTTGCACCGGCGGTTGCAAACCCTCAGAGCACGTTTAAACAGAGCTCTCTGACTCTGGGACAGAGGAAGTGGAAAACCTGTGTCTTCAAATCACGTCATTAGGTTTGAAGATGACTTAATGTGAAAATAAATGTATTTTAACGTCATTAAAATAATCCTTAGTACTTTAAAATCTCAGCTAGCTTCTGAATGCTTTGGGAATACTTTCTCCATAGTTAACTGCACACAAGCCCGTGGGGTGGGCAGGGCAGGTATTTGCTCTCTGAGATCCAAAGAGGGCAGTTTCTCGGCTGGTAGAGGCAGAGCTGGATGCAGAGCCAGGCACAGAGCCAAGGCGCGTCTGACCCCAGTCCAGCGGGATCTCCTGCAAGCCGCAGTGTTTCCAGAGGCGCACTTCAGTGTGTGGAGTGAAGGGAGAGTCTCCGGACATGAGAAGAGCTGCTCTGAGCAGTGTGGCGGCCGTTTTTGTTTCCTTTCTCTTTCTCCTCCTGGGGCTAGGCAGACACCGGGCACAAAGAAGGAAACAGGCCTTCTGTGAGTGCAGCAGCAATCAATAAAGAAGCAGCCCAGAGCGGCCATCCCTCTTCTGTCTGCTGTGACGCTCCGGCCCAGGTGTCCCTGGGGCTGCCCTCCCCAGGGCCTGTGTGTTGCATATATGGGGTGGGGTGAGGGCAGCTGGAATTGAGGTGGGGACCCTGCAATTGTGAGGGGCTGCGTGGCAGAGGTGGGCGGCTCTCGCAGGCCTCTTCCTGGACACTTGCACCCCCTCATCCTGCTCTCTTTTTCTTCCTGCACTTACATCATCTCATTTGTTTATTTTCTCATTGTCCGTCTCCCTCTACAGGAGCACCAGAGGAGGGGGACTTCATCTGACTTGTTCAGCACTGTCTCCCAGGCCCTGGCACAGAGGGAGCACTCGATACACACCGATGGGCTGAAGGTGTGAATGGATCTGGGGACTAGAGTGATGGTTATTTGGCAGACAGCATGCCCCGCCTGGGCAGTAGCCGTGAAGACTCTTCTTTTCCTCTCCTCGCCTGCACTCTTTAGGATTGAACAGCATTGGTTCAATGCATATTCTGGGAGCACAGAGAAAAAAGGGATCAAGTTCCACCATTATGCAAAAGGGACTCCTGTAAGCCAGGTGAAGAAGGGGCAAGGCCCTTCTTGGTCAGCAGGGATAAGGCAGTTGCGTATGGGAGAGCATGCGAGGAGGGCGAGGGCTGGGGGAGATGGAGCAGGAACATTTGGTTGGGGCTCTGAGGCACTCTTCTGCTTGGGGAGTGTGTGGGCAAAGGCAGGGGCTGTGCAGGAAGGATTTAGCTAAAGCCATAAAGCTGGAAGAGGGTTTGGGGAACGGCTTTGAAGTTACATTTGTTTTGCAAGTTCTTTGTTTTTATTAATGTTTGCATGTTATTTGGGTAGCTGTAGGGAGTAGGTTTTCGGGGAGTTAAAGTGCACTCTCTCACCCCTCCTTCAGTCCTACTACTGCCCCTAGATACACAATCACCTCAAGTGACTTTCACGTCACCAGGAATGGGCAAAGTCTAGATTTTGGAACAGAAAATATTTTAGGTCCCCGTCCCTCTCTGTAACCAATAACCAATGCCATATAAATGGAAAAGCATAAAGAAGTCCAGAAATTCTTATTTTCCCCTCAACGACTAGTCATGCATGACATTTTAAAACTAATACTTCACTGGCATCAGAGCTCCTGGGCTGTGCTTGATCAAACAATTGGGATCTGGCTCTGAAGCACATCCTTGATCCGTACGGATTTTTGTCAGAGAATCTTCCGCTTGAAAGGCAGTGTTCGGGGTCTTCCAAGGCACACTGAACTACGTTAAGCCCCTCATACACACCCAAAGTACGTAAGGCAGAAGGAACCTGGATACCCTTTGTGGTTGATGGTGAGGCGGGCCACCACTGTGGCCCTGAATCCCCCACTGAATCACACCCTTTGTGATCTGACTCTGCAGCTCTTTCCATCTGCAGTGGTGTCTGTTTCCCCAGCTCAGGAATCTAGTTGGCTTTTTGACTTGTTTTGACCAATAACAGCAGCAGAAGGAGCCAGTTATGAAGCTAGGCCTCAGGACACCTTGCGCGTGGCTCTACAATTCACATTGCCTTGGCGGCAGCCAGCCTCCAATGGACCTGGAAGCTAACTGCAGATGCAGGGGTAAGCCCGGTGGGAAGGGCTGAGTTGTGTGCACCCGAATTCCTATGTGGAAGTCCTAACTCCCAGGGCCTCAGAATGTAACCGTATTTGGAAATAGGGTCTGTGCATAGCTTATTAAGTTAAAATGAGGCCTTTAAGGTGGCCCCGATTCAGTAGGACTGGTGTCCTTACAAGAAAAGGAAATTTGGATACTGACACACACATGCACCAAGGGACGAACACACAAAGATACAGGAAGAAGGCGGCCATCTAGGAACCAAATCAACCCTGCGGATAACCGGATGTCAGACTTCCAGCCTCTGGGACTGAGAGAAGTAACCTGAGGTTACTCTTCACGCACACACAGTATTCCTTCCTTTTCTGCGTCTAGATACATGTCTCTCCCAAATAAGCATCGTAATCGCCATTCCTAAATCCAGCACCTGGTCATTTATTTATTTTCAAGAGGTAATACGGTAGAATCTTTAGAGCTAAAGTGAGCGTTCTATTTCGCTCTCCAGGTTTCCTGTGCTCAGGTGATCTTCAGCCCGTCACAGGCCCTGGCTGCATTTCTTTCTTCCACTGTAGGAGGAACCAACGGGGATCTGCTGTATTGTGCAAGAAAATATACATTGGCCGCCATTCTGGAAGCACTCAGGGATTTTCGAAGGCATTGGCCATGGCCTGTGGGGAGGGAAGTATATTTCAGCTCCTCAGCTGACAATGGTATTCCCTATGAAGCCCGCACTGCGGTCTGTGTCAATCTGTGCCACGCTGTCGGTGGTTCTTGGCTTGCAGGACAGCCTCAACTCTAAAAATGCCAGATTCCATAGTATCTGCCCCAAATGCTGACTATTAGCTCCCTCTTGCACCCCAGCTTCCAGTCCCTGCTAAAGAGATAGAATGGGGTGGAGATTCCGTAACAGGAATCTCTGCAACCTTCTATGAGTGTGAAGACAAGCCAGAGCACAGCCCCTACTTGCCCTGCGCATAGAAGGGCAGGAGGCACTGGGCAGAAAGAGTGGACAGGACTCGGGGGACTGGGACCCCATAGGCCACTGAGATACATCCACAGCCTCAGGAGGCCGGCATGGTGGGCCGGCTTGGCGGGAGAGGAGGCAGAGAATACAGAAAACAGAAGCCGGAAAGCAACAGCAACAGAAACACCGCCACTACCTCCAATGTCTGTGATGCTTTAAGAGGCTCTTCCTGAACCTAGCCTCAGGTGTCATCAATGAAACCCTCTGTGCCACGTGGGGTTTTTATTCCTGTTTTACAGAGACAGGGTTGAATTTGAGGACAACTCAGTTACTCGCAGGAAGGCCCACTGCGAGTGAGTGTCAGAGCTGGGAACCACACACTGTACTTTGGCTCCCAGGCCGAGCCCTCTTCTGTATCCTGCACTTTCTCGCAGGCTGAGCCCTCTTCTGTATCCTGCACTTTCTCGCAGGCTGAGCCCTCTTCTGTATACTGCACTTTCTTCCAGGCCGAGAAATGAATCAGGTGGGAAATGAGCCCTGGGGACAGGTGCCTCCTATGAGGCAGTTATCTGCAAGGCCTATTTCTAGCGCTAACCATATCTGCTGTCCTAAAAGCCTGGCTCATTCCTTTCACTGTCTCCCTGGTAAGTCGGTTCTTGTTCCAGGGAAGCAACCCTCAGTCTAAAGAGATCCTGGAGGATGTCTCAGTAAGTTAAAAAAATATATAAGCATTTTCCTTGAGTCTGTATTATTTTGATCCTCTCCCTGATGCTCAGATTTATTACTTATTTCTAGACCCTGAGCCGTTGTCAAAACACAGCTTAATCCCCATTCCCTGGGCCCGAGACCCTGCAGCCCCCACGCTGCCCGGCTTCCGGTCTTACCTGGGGCAACCTGACCAACAAGAACGCGGAAGGCCAGGAGCCAAAAACAGAGACTCCTGATGGGTAACAGAAGGAAAAGGTATGTGCCCTGCTGAGACCACGAGGCTCGCTGGAAGAGCCTCTGTTTATACTGCTTCTGGCTGCTTACACAACAGATCTGGAAGTGTTGCCTGTTATGAGACTTAATTATAGAGAATGATTCTTTGTTTTTAAATTTTTTTATTTCTTTTTTATTTTATTTTATTATTATACTTTAAGTTCTAGGGTACATGTGCACAATGTGCAGTTTAGTTACTTATGTACACATGTGCCATGTTGGTGCGCTGCACCCATTAACTCGTCATTTACATTAGGTATATCTCCTAATGCTGTCCCTCTCCCCTCCCCCCACCCCACAACAGTCCCTGAATGTGATGTTCCCCTTCCTGTGTCCATGTATTCTCATTGTTCAGTTCCCACCTATGAGTGAGAACATGCGGTGTTTGGTTTTTTTGTCCTTGCCATAGTTTGCTGAGAATGATGGTTTCCAGTTTCATCCATGTCCCTACAAAAGACATGAACTCTTAATTTTTTATGGCTGCATAGTATTCCATGGTGTATATGTGCCACATTTTCTTAATCCAGTCTATCATTGTTGAACGTTTGGGTTGGTTCCAAGTCTTTGCTATTGTGAATAGTGCCGCCATAAACATACGTGTGCATGTGTCTTTATAGCAGCATGATTTATAGTCCTTTGGGTATATACCCAGTAATGGGATGGCTGGGTCAAATGGTATTTCTAGTTCTAGATCCCTGAGGAATCGCCACACTGACTTCCACAGTGGTTGAACTAGTTTACAGTCCCACCAACAGTGTAAAAGTGTTCCTATTTCTCCACATCCTCTCCAGCACCTGTTGTTTCCTGACTTTTTAATGATTGCCATTCTAACTGGTGTGAGATGGTATCTCATTGTGGTTTTGATTTGCATTTCTCTGATGGCCAGTGATGATGAGCATTTTTTCATGTGTTTTTTGGCTGCATAAATGTCGTCTTTTGAGAAGTCTCTGTTCATATCCTTTGCCCACTTTTTGATGGGGTTGTTTGTTTTTTTCTTGTAAATTTGTTTGAGTTCATTGTAGATTCTGGATATTAGCCCTTTGTCAGATGTGTAGGTTGTGAAAATTTTCTCCCATTCTGTAGGTTGCCTGTTCACTCTGATGGTAGTTTCTTTTGCTGTGCAGAAGCTCTTTAGTTTAATTAAATCCGATTTGTCTATTTTGGCTTTTGTTGCCATTGCTTTTGGTGTTTTAGACATGAAGTCCTTGGCCATGCCTATGTCCTGAATGGTATTGCCTAGGTTTTCTTCTAGGGTTTTTATGGTTTTAGGTCTAACATGTAAGTCTTTAATCCATCTTGAATTAATTTTTGTATAAGGTGTAAGGAAGGGATCCAGTTTCAGCTTTCTCCATATGGCTAGCCAGATTTCCCAGCACCATTTATTAAATAGGGAATCGTTTCCCCATTGCTTGTTTTTGTCAGGTTTGTCAAAGATCAGATGGTTGTAGATATGCGGCATTATTTCTGAGGGCTCTGTTCTGTTCCATTGATCTATATCTCTGTTTTGGTACCAGTACCATGCTGTTTTGGTTACTGTAGCCTTGTAGTATAGTTTGAAGTCAGGTAGTGTGATGCCTCCGGCTTTGTTCTTTTGGCTTAGGATTGACTTGGTGATGCGGGCTCTTTTTTGGTTCCATATGAACTTTAAAGTAGTTTTTTCCAATTCTGTGAAGAAAGTCACTGGTAGCTTGATGGGGATGGCATTGAATGTATAAATTACCTTGGGCAGTATGGCCATTTTCACGATATTGATTCTTCCTACCCATGAGCATGGAATGTTCTTCCATTTGTTTGTATCTTCTTTTATTTCATTGAGTAGTGGTTTGTAGTTCTCCTTGAAGAGGTCCTTCACACCCCTTTTAAGTTGGATTCCTAGATATTTTATTCTCTTTGAAGCAATTGTGAATGGGAGTTCACTCATGATTTGGCTCTCTGTTTGTCTGTTATTGGTGTATAAGAATGCTTGTGATTTTTGTACATTGATTTTGTATCCTGAGACTTTGCTGAAGTTGCTTATCAGCTTAAGGAGATTTTGGGCTGAGACAATGGGGTTTTCTAGATATACAATCATGTCATCTCCAAACAGGGACAATTTGACTTCCTCTTTTCCAAACTGAATGCCTTTATTTCTTTCTCCTGCCTAATTGCCCTGGCCAGAGCTTCCAACCCTATGTTGAATAGGAGTGGTGAGATAGGGCATCCCTGTCTTGTGCCAGTCTTCAAAGGGAATGCTTCCAATTTTTGTCCATTCAGTATGATATTGGCTGTGGGTTTGTCATAGATAGCGCTTATTATTTTGAGATACGTCCCATCAATACCTAATTTATTGAGAGTTTTTAGCATGAAAGGTGGTTGAATTTTGTCAAAGGCCTTTTCTGCATCTATTGAGATAATCATGTGGTTTTTGTCTTTGGTTCTGTTTATATGCTGGATTACATTTATTGATTTGCATATGTTGAACCAGCCTTGCATCCCAGGGATGAAGCCCACTTGATCATGGTGGATAAGATTTTGATGTGCTGCTGGATTAGGTTTGCCAGTATTGTACTGAGGATTTTTGCATCAATGTTCATCAAGGATATTGGTCTAAAATTCTCTTTTTTGGTTGTGTCTCTGCCAGGCTTTGGTATCAGGATGATGTTGGCCTCATAAAATGAGTTAGGGAGGATTCCCTCTTTTTCTATTGATTGGAATAGTTTCAGAAGGAATGGTACCAGCTCCTCCTTGTACCTCTGGCAGAATTCGGCTGTGAATCCATCTGGTCCTGCACTTTTTTTGGTTGGTAAGCTATTGATTATTGCCACAATTTCAGAGCCTGTTATTGGTCTACTCAGAGATTCAACTTCTTCCTGGTTTAGTCTTGGGAGGGTGTATGTGTCGAGGAATTTATCCATTTCTTCTAGATTTTCTGGTTTATTTGCGTAGAGTTGTTTGTAATATTCTCTGATGGTAGTTTGTATTTCTGTGGGATCAGTGGTGATATCCCCTTTATCATTTTTTATTGCATCTATTTGATTCTTCTCTCTTTTCTTCTTTACTAGTTTTGCTAGCAGTCTATCAATTTTGTTGATCTTTTCAAAAAACCAGCTCCTGGATTCATTAATATTTTAAAGGGTTTTTGTGTCTCTATTTCCTTCAGTTCTGCTCTGATTTTAGTTATTTCTTGCCTCCTGCTAGCTTTTGAATGTGTTTGCTCTTGCTTTTCTAGTTCTTTTAATTGTGATGTTAGGGTGTCAATTTTGGATCTTTCCTGCTTTCTCTTGTGAGCATTTAGTGCTATAAATTTCCCTCTACACACTACTTTGAATGTGTCCCAGAGATTCTGGTATGTTGTGTCTTTGTTCTCGTTGGTTTCAAAGAACATCTTTATTTCTGCCTTCATTTCGTTATGTACCCAGTAGTCATTCAGGAGCAGGTTGTTCAGTTTCCATGTAGTTGAGCGGTTTTGAGTGAGTTTCTTAATCCTGAGTTCTAGCTTGATTGCTCTGTGGTCTGCGAGACAGTTTGTTATAATTTCTGTTCTTTTACATTTGCTGAGGAGTGCTTTACTTCCAACTATGTGGTCAATTTTGGAATAGGTGTGGTGTGGTGCTGAAAAGAATGTATATTCTGTTGAGTTGGGGTGGAGAGTTCTGTAGATGTCTATTAGGTCTGCTTGGTGCAGAGCTGAGTTCAATTCCTGGGTATCCTTGTTAACTTTCTGTCTCGCTGATCTGTCTAATGTTGACAGTGGGGTGTTAAAATCTCCCATCATTATTGTGTGGGAGTCTAAGTCTCTTTGTAGGTCACTCAGGACTTGCTTTATGAATCTGGGTGCTCCTGTATTGGGTGCATATATATTTAGGATAGTTAGTTCTTCTTGTTGAATTGATCCCTTTACCATTATGTAATGGCCTTCTTTGTCTCTTTTGATCTTTGTTGGTTTAAAGTTTGTTTTATCAGAGACTAGGATTGCAACCCCTGCCTTTTTTTGTTTTCCATTTGCTTGGTAGATCTTCCTCCATCCCTTTATTTTGAGCCTATGTGTGTCTCTGCACATGACATGGGTTTCCTGAATACAGCACACTGATGGGTCTTGAGTCTTTATGCAATTTGCCAGTCTGTGTCTTTTAATTGGAGCACTTGGCCCATTTACATTTAAAGTTAATAATGTTATGTGTGAATTTGGTCCTCTCATTGTGATGTTAGCTGGTTATTTTGCTCGTCAGTTGATGCAGTTTCTTCCTAGCCTTGACGGTCTTTACAGTTTGGCATGTTATTGCAGTGGCTGGTACCGGTTGTTCCTTTCCATGTTTAGTGCTTCCTTCAGGAGCTCTTTTAGGGCAGGCCTGATGGTGACAAAATCTCTCAGCATTTGCTTGTCTGTAAAGTATTTTGTTTCTCCTTCACTTATGAAGCTTAGTTTGGCTGGATATGAAATTCTGGGTTGAAAATTCTTTTCTTTAAGAATGTTGAATATTGGCCGCCAGTCTCTTCTGGCTTGTAGAGTTTCTGCCGAGAGATCCGCTGTTAGTCTGATGGGCTTCCCTTTGTGGGTAACCTGACCTTTCTCTCTGGCTGCCCTTAACATTTTTTCCTTCATTTCAACTTTGGTAAATCTGACAATTATGTGTCTTGGAGTTGCTCTTCTCGAGGAGTATCTTTGTGGCATTCTCTGTATTTCCTGAATCTGAATGTTGGCCTGCCTTGCTAGATTGGGGAAGTTCTCCTGGATAATATCCTGCAGAGTGTTTTCCCACTTGGTTCCATTCTCCCCGTCACTTTCAGGTACACCAATCAGATGTAGATTTGGTCTTTTCACATAGTCCCATATTTCTTGGAGACTTTGTTCATTTCTTTTTATTCTTTTTTCTCTAAACTTCCCTTCTCGCTTCATTTCATTCATTTAGTCTTGCATCACTGATACCCTTTCTTCCAGTTGATCGCATTGGCTTCTGAGGCTTCTGCATTCTTCACATAGTTCTCGAGCCTTGGCTTTCATCTCCATCAGCTCCTTTAAGGACTTCTCTGCATTGGTTATTCTAGTTATCCATTCGTCTAATTTTTTTTCACAGTTTTTAACTTCTTTGCCGTTGGTTTGAATTTCCTCCTGTAGCTCGGAGTAGTTTGATCGTCTGGAGCCTTCTTCTCTCAACTCGTCAAAGTCGTTCTCCATCCAGCTTTGTTCCTTTGCTGGTGAGGAGCTGCATTCCTCATATATAAATGCAGAAATCACCTGTCTTCTGCGTCGCTCACGCTGGGAGCTGTGGACCAGAGCTGTTCCTATTCGGCCATCTTGGCTCCACCCGAGAATGAATCTTATCTGCACAGGGAGTGCTTTCCGATTGAGCAGCTCCATTCCTACCCTTCTGCTGGCCAGCCACACGTTTAGATGGGAAAGACCTCATATTTAGCTCCAAGGGTGGACGCTTGGCCCACATACCTGACCACAGAGGTCAATGGGCCTCAGGGAACACAGACAGCCAGGGCCAGAAGAGGGATGGAAATGTCTGTCAACTTCTCATTTAAAGAATTTGAAGGTGATCTCTGTTGTGGCCCTGCACAGAACCAACCTGCTTGGTGCTGACTTCTGCAGTGAGAAGTCAGCTCACTGCAGAAGTTAGTACCAAGTATCCACCTGTTCCACAAAGCCAGATTCTAGGACAGCTGGTGACAGACAACTCAGCGAGGGGAGACCAGGGGCCCAGGGCAGGTCACTGCAAGGGGAATTCCCACACACCAGAACCCACTTCCCACCATGCAGATGCACACACCCATAGCTGCACATGTATGTGTGCACTCATACATGCACACACACACACACATGCATACCCAGTCACACTGGAAGATGCACACATGAACATACATGCCTGCCTGCACACACCTACATGCACATACACCCCATACACACACCTGCACATGCACACCTGCGCATATACACACATGCACACCTGCACACACCTACATGCACATGCACCCCATACACTCAACCTGCACATGTGCCTCTGCACATATACAGACATGCACACCTGCACACATATGCACATGCACCCCATACACTCATACCTGCACATATACACATATGCACACTTGCACATAGACACAAATGCATACCTGAACACACCTATATGCACACACACACCACATACACTCATACCTGCACATGTGCCCCTGCACATATACACACATGCACACCTGCACACACCTACATGCACACACACCCCACACACTCACTCCTGCACATGCGCACCTGCACATATACACACATGCACACCTGCACTTCCTGCACCTGCATGCACACACACCCCATACACTCCTGCACATGCACACCTGCACATATACACACATGCACACCTGCACACACCTACCTGCACATGCACCCCATACACTCACACCTGCACTTGTGCCCCTGCACGTATACACACACGTGCACCTGCACACACCTACATGCACGCACACACCCCATACACTCACACCGGCACATGCGCACCCGCACATATACACACATGCACACCCACACACACACCTATATCCACACACATCCTGTACACTCATTCCTGCACATACACACACATGCACACCTGCACACACCTACATGCACACTCGTACCCTCAAATGCAGATGCACACTTGCACAAATATATGCACACTTGCACACACTCATACATACACTTGCACATGCACACGTCGATACATGCACACCTGCATAAACCTACGTGCATACGTGCACACTTATACACTGATATACATGCAGATACACATGCACACCTGCACACACTCAAGCATGCATGCACGCACACCCCATACACTCACACACATCCACATGCATATACATGCACACCTGCAAACACCCACGCCCACATATGCACACACACACACACACACACACGGTCTGAGTGTCTGTTTTCCCATTTACTAGTAGGAGGGTGTCTGCAGAGGGCATCTCTGTCTCCTGCAGGAATCCGTTTTCACCTTAGCTGGATCAGGGTTATCCCGTGACTCCCTCTCTTAACCTGGGAAGCTTTCTGAATCCAACCTTTGGGGCCAAGTGGAAACTTCTTTGGGCTTCCTCGTCTCTGTACCAGCTGGAGACCCAGGCAAGAGGGGTTCTTCTCGGGCCTGGGGTTAAGAGGTCTTCTCTCTGGCCAGATCTATGTCCCTTCTCATTAATCATTCTCTGGGCTCCTATGACCTAAGAATTACTTGCCCCCAGCCTTCGTCTAGGGCCTTTGGAAGTTTCTTCCTTGGGTTGGAACCCCAAGGTGAGACGTGCTCCCAGGGTGTGTCATAGGCCGAGTGGTGGCTGCTGTGAGACTGTGACACAGCTTAGAGATGCAAGCCAAGAGGTCCTGTGTGGGAGTGCATGAGACCCTGGAGGCTGAGGATGGTCTTGGCTGTAGGGAGAGAAAGGGGAGGGGCTGCAAGCCAAGGCCCTGCCCTCTTTGTGCTGTCTGATTCTGGTGCGGGACTTGTGGGAGTCCAAGGATCCTACATTTTTCCTGGAGGTCCAGGTTGTCTTGGAAGTATATTTGTTTAGGGTGGGAGGATAGAACACGTTTTAGTCAACAGTGTGATAGTTTGATTTATAGCTGTTAAATATTAGTCTCTTGGCACATAAGTCTCTGTTTGTTCTTCCCACTATTCTCAAATATTTGTGGTGGGACTGAGCGGCCTGCAGGGAAAATCACTCATCCATCCCAGGGCAGGACTGCAGCTTCTGCCTGCATTGACAGTAGGGCTCAGTGCTTCTCAAATTATGGGTGTTTCCTGAGTCTCTAAACCTTGGAGTCTTTGTGCACTTCTACAACCTCCTCGCTTGGCTTCTCCCTCTTATCAGCTGCTAAGTCTTTCCACACAGCCTGTCAAAGGGAGAAAGACATGTTTCTAACTGCCCGCATTCTGCTCTGCTGCATTTCTCATGGTTTATCTGATCTCTGAACTGGGCCCCATCCCAGGGAGCCAGAGAAGCTGGCTTCTGCACTGGAGGAGAACCACTGCCTTCAAAACAGCCCCAACCCTTCATGTCTTGTTCCAGGAAACTTTCTCCAAGGGGAGACCACAAGTTAAATCATCTCCACCTGGTTCTTTCACTATCTTGTTTCAAGAACAAACAAGTCAAGTTGCAACGCCCACTGAAAAGAGTGGAGCAGGATGCAGTTTGTAATGCCTACCTGCCTGGGGAGCCATGGTCCAAGCACCTCCATAGACTTTCTACAACCTTCAGACAAAGCTTTCAGGACTTGACCGCAGGGAGTCCATCAACTCCCTGCTTAGCCTCAAATGTCTTCCTTGCACTCCTTGGTCTAGAAACAGCAGTGAGTTTGGAATGCTCCATCTGGCCTGTGAACCCCCAAAATCTGAGACAGGTCTCAGTTAATTTAGAAAGTTTATTTTGTCAAAGTTGGGGTTGTGTGCCTGTGAAACCGCCTCAGGAGATCCTGAGGACATGTGCCCAAGGTCTTCAGAACACAGTTTGGTTTTACACAATCTAGGGAGACAGGAGACATCAATCAACATGTGCAAGATGAACATCGGTCCGGTCTGGAAAGGCAGAACAACTTGAAGCAAAGGCGAGAAGACAAAGCAGGGAGGGGCTTCCAAATGATAGGAAGGGCTTCCAAGAATGCAAATGGTTGCATTCTTTTGAATTTCTGATGAGCCTCTCCAAAGGAGGCAATCAGATATGTATTCATCTCAGTGAGCAGAGGGGTGACTGAATAGAATGGGAGGCAGGTTGTCCCTAAGCAGTTCCCAGCCGGACCTTTCCCTTTAGCTTAGTGATTTGTTGGGGGACCCCAAGATATATTTTCCTTTTGTAGGCCCTAGATACTTCTGCTGAATTTTCCATTCTGCAGATACGGCACCTGGGTTCAATGAGGCTTCTGTCATCTCCTAGATTTGAGTTTTTGGTGTGTCAAGAGGATATGAAATTTTAGGATGCTGTGATAGAATCAGAGTTTTGCTGGCTTTAAAATATAGCACCAGAAATACAGTGAGGCCAACGGATCAGGACACGGTGCCATTGAAAAGGGAGTTTGTTAGACCCACAGATCCCAGGAGGGGCACACAGAGCAGGGGGGCCACATGGGGAAGCCTGGGGTTAGGAAGTAGATGGAGACAAAAGGAACTGTGGGCGAGAGCCTTTCTTGTGATTTCCATGGGAAGAAATGAGAAGACAGGGCAAGCAGGTTTGGGATTTGCTAGTATGAATAATTTCAGCAGTTCTGGGGCACAGAGGCTGTCCCTAGTCGTCTGGTACCTGGCCCAGGGTAGATAAGGGCTGGTGGATAGAGACCAGAGCATGAGAGCCTCCCGAAGAGGGCAACTGGGGGTGTGGACTTTTGATTGGTTGGTTTGCATTTGAAAGGGGTGCTCCTGGGAGAGTTGCCTACTATCTCTAAGAATTGGCTGACTCTGAGGGGGCAAGTCCCCAGATATCAAGGCATGAGAATTCAGACAACAAGAGATACGGCGAATCCACTGCTCCAACATGCCTTCCCTCAGCCGTGGCTTGGCAGTGGCTCTCAGCAGGTAAACTGTACTCCCTGACCCGCCGACACAGGGCCTGACAGTGTGCCTTGTGTCCACCAGCAGGAAGCAGTGGCTGCGTGCCTGTTCCAGAAAGGGCAGCATGTGTCTCAGCCCACAGCCTTCAGCCCTCAGCTCCCATGGGGAGAGCGTGTCATAGGCAGCCCCTGTTCACTGAGCATTTGTCCCCGACAGGGCCACACACAGAGCAGCCCTGAGCCCAGTCCAGAGCCGGCTGCAGAGGCCACAGAGCCAACTGTGAATGGCGACATGAATGTTTGTGACTTCCAGAATCTGAGATTTGGGGACGTTTGTTCTTGCAGCAAAAGGCGATCAGTACAGACACCTGGGATTTTGGATGTGCGGGAATCTCTAAGAGCTGCAGGGGCTTCATATCTATACTGCAGGCTTCACCTTTTCCCGCCACCTTGAAAACTGCTCTTGGTCCTATGGGACTTCCAGACTGCAGGAGGAGATCTTCGAGGCCGTCTTTGTCTTTGACCTCACACAACTCACCGAAGCAAGTTTACCTTGCCTGTTTTTACCTCCTAAATGTTTCTCGAATCTTTGTCCTCCTCTCTGTTCTTAGTATCTTAGGTCTGGCTTCCATTGTTTCTCCCAGGATCAATACAAGAGGCTCCCACATGGGCTCCCCACCTCCAGAATTGCCTTTGGACCTCACATCTGTACTCCACCCAGCTGTTAGAGGGATCCCTCTAGGATTAGTGTCCTCGGGCTGCTGTAACAAAGTATGAGAAACCGGGTGGCTCAAAACCACAAAAATGTACTGCCTCACATTGTACTGGAGGTCACAAGTCTGAAATGTGGTGTTGGCCGGGCCATGCTCCATCTCACAATGCTGAGAGAGGATCCCATCTTGCCTCTTCCAGCTTCTGTTAATGGCTGGCAATCCCTGCCTTCCCTGGCTTGTAGAGGCATCATGTCCAGTCACACAGCCCTGTATGTCTTCACGTCGTCCTCTCTCTGTATGCCCCTCTCTCTGGGTCCAATTTCTCCTTTATATAAGGACACCGGTCCTATTGGATTAGGGCCTCCCAAATGACTCCATTACAGGTTGATTATCTATGCAAAGACCCTATTGCCAAATAAAGTCACACTCTGAGTGGCTGGAGTTAGGACTTGAATGTCTCTTTTCCTGGGGACACAATTTATGCCATAGCATAATGTATCTGAATTTCATGTCTGACTGTGTCACCTCTTCAAGGACCCAAAGTTTTCTGAGGCTCCTCATCTCCCAGGCTGTGCCCCGACCAAAGGTCAGGAGCTGTCTGCTGGAGCTTTGACAGCAACAGGCAAACATGGTCTACCTTCCTGGAGCATTGTTTTTCCTCTCAGGATTCAAAAATGATTACCTTGCAATGCAATGGAATGGAATAGAATGGAAGGGACACATGCCTTTGCCTGATAAGATGCAGCTTTGAAGGTATTTTGAACATCCAGCAGGTAGCCCCTTTGGCACCAGTGGGGCTTTTGTTCTCATTTGCCCACGCAGGTGAAGCATGTTGCAGAGCATTTGAACAGCTCTCACCTACAGGAAAAGGCCCAACATTGTTAAATTGTGCAAGGTCATGCTGCACAGATTATTTAATCTTAGCTCAACTCAGCCATCAGCTCTCTTGCTAACACTTTCCAATGAGGCACCATCAAACTGTTCTTGCTCATGCCTCAGCTCCTGGACTGTTTGCTGATCCCTACTTTTCCCTTGTCCAACAGGCCTGACTCCCAGTCAGTTAAAGAACGCCTTCTCTGATCCTCTAGGTCTTTCCCACTTTGTGACAGTTACATTCCCCGTGCTTGCGAAAGACGTTGATAACGTCTTTATCTTTGTATGTTCTGTATCATATTACAATTTGTAATTACCTTTGGAATGTGACAGCTCACATTAGCAGGTGAATTCTTTAAGGAAAGCAATTTTTAAAAATATTTTAAATCCTTCATGTCCTTGACATTTGGTGGAGTTCACTTCCTGGGATATACTAGACACTTAACACATGTTTGTGGAAAGCTGGTGATGTTTTACTTCCTGACACTACAATTTAAAAAATCTCTATCTCACTTTTCAAAACCTTGAAAATAATGCAAAAAACTTTGGGCAAAAATACATTGTTTTGTACTAATATTCAGAAGACTTATGCAAGTATTATGACATAATTGATTTGTTGGAACTTTTTCATTTTCAATTACAATAACATCCATTTTTTATAATAGAAAAATTATGAATACATATACAAGGAAAATAAAAATCACAGAGAAAAATAAGCCCAAATGGATTTAGGATTTGTTTGTGAAGGCAGAAATTTAAGTTAATTTGAGTAAAGTAGTGTGCGATCTTGATTACCTCAAGTAGGAAAGAATTGTTTTTTTTTTTTTTTTTTTTTTTTTTTGGTGAGATGGAATTTCTCTCTTGTTGCCCAGGCTGGAGTGAAATGGTGCAATCTTGGTTCACCGCAACCTCTGCCTCCCAGAATCAAGCGATTCTCCTGCCTCAGCCTCCCAAGTAGCTGGGATTACAGGCATGAGCCACCACGCCCGGCTAATTTTATATTTTTAGTGGAGATGGGGTTTTACTGTATTGGTCAGACGGGCCTTGAATTCCTGACCTCAGGTGATCCACCTGCCTCGGCCTCCCAGAGTGTTGGGATTACAGAAGTGAGCCACTGCGCCTGTCTGAGGAAAGAATTTTTCTGAAGTCATGAAAACTACGAACTGATGGGAAAAAGTCTGATATGTTCTACTCCGTTAAAATCAAGAACTTCCTTTTTATGCTAAAGACACTATAATGGAAGTGAAAGCCAGTTCAAAACTGGAGGAAGATATTCTTACAAATATATTTTACAAAATGTAAGTACGTCTGAATGCAGAAATGACAGAAAGCCAGTTCCCTGCAACCCTCCCCACTGGAAGCATATCTTCTGCCCAGTGGTGAATTTGCTTAAAGTGGACTAATCAAATGACCGGTGTGCTGGACGTAAGAATTTTCAAAGTCCTCAGCTTCTCTGTGTCTTCACCATATCAGTTTTGTTTCTGTGATTTGTCACAAATATCTGTTTCATATTTCAAATCCAGGTGCATCAAAAATGCTCAGTGTTGGCCAGGCGCAGTGGCTCACGCCTATAATCCCAGCACTTTGGGAGGCCGAGGTGGGCAGATCACTTGAGTTGAGGGGTTCGAGACCAGCCTGGCCAACATAGTGAAATCCCATCTCTACTAAAAACACAAAAATTAGCTGAGTGCAGTGGTGCACACCTGTAATCCCAGCTCCTTGGGAGGCTGAAACAGTAGAATTGCTTGAACCTGGAAGGCGGAGGTTGCAGTGAGCTGAGATCATGCCACTGCACTCCAGCCTGGGTGACAGAGTGAGTCTCCATTTCCAAAATATAAATAAATATAAATGCCCAGTTTTATAGATAGAGGTGTGTGAGGTTGTCCTGAGATGAAGTTTGCGATCTGCATTTTGGCAGGTTCATGCCTGCCTGGGTCCCGTGCTATTCCCACCTCTGATCTTGCTGTGGTGCCTGCCTCTACCCCTCCCATTCCACCTTCATCCCAGGGACTGCCCTACTCCCCTCCTTCCCCATCTCCAGCACCCCTTCCCCCTCCCTCATTCAGCCCTGTTTCACCCTGGTCCTTCTTTGCTCTGGAGGTTAAAAGAATCTGGTGACTTGTCTTAGGCACAATTTAAAGTTGCGGGACAATAGGTCATTGGGAAAAATGTATTCAGAGAGTTGTTTTTTTGGAAAATTAAATAATGGAAAATCAGTCATTCAGGGATTTGACTTGGAGCCCCAGGGAAGAGACCTGGAGCCCAGATTACCCAGGCTACCCTTACTGGCCACTAGAAGGCGGCCTTGAGAAAGCGAAGATTTGGACCCTGCAGAAACCAGCTCTTCTTCCACCAAACTTTCTGTAAAGAGCGGGTGCCTGAAGCCCGTGGGTTTTGCATTAAAAAATGAAATGCAAGGCCAGACGCGGTGGCTCACGCCTGTAATCCCAGCATTTTGGGAGGCTGAGGTGGGCGGATCACAAGGTCAGGAGATGAAGACCATCCTGGCCAATATGGTGAAACCCGGTCTCTACTAAAAATACAAAAGTTAGCTGGGTGTGGTGGTGCGCACCTGTAGTCCCAGCTACTTGGGAGGCTGAGGCAGAAGAATCGCTTGAACCTAGGAGGCAGAGGTTACAGTGAGCCGAGATCATGCCACTGCACCCTAGCCTGGTGATAGAGCAAGACTGTGTCTCAAAAAAAAAAAAATGCAGATGCTCACCCAAAATTGTAGGGTGACGTAATGTGGAATCTGAGACCTAGGACTACCTCATTTAAAAATGTCGTGTAAAAAAGAGTGGTGAAGGAGGTGGTTTTCTCTTAACAGTGCCCTGTGAAGGTTCCCTGGTGGGGGCGGTGGGTGGATGAGGGGCCCCTATAGCTACAGATGGACAGACGGACAGCACGGCAATCTCCTGCGTCATGTCCATCTTCAGAGTCTTTTCTCATTTAGTTGGTAACAGGGCTGTTCACTGGCAAGAAGGAAAAGGAAAGGGTTTTAAGAGATTCACAGAAAAACACAGGAATGATTTAATTTTGTTGAACAGATTTAGAATTCAAATTTGTTAAGAGCTTAACTTTAAAAGTTGCCGTTCAAGAGGACAGCAGGAAAAGTTAAGGATGCTCCATGCAGAGGTATAGTTTTAGTAATCTGAGAGGTCAGCCCTCAGGACCTGGGATGTCAGTGGTTCTGTTGCTTGGTTGCCCAGGGGGAATTCGTAATTCAGGATTTATGACTCTGTAGCTTAAAGGACTTTTATGGTCCTCTGTGATTGTTTTCTTTGTTCTGGCAAATACCCAATCATGATGATGCCTATAGAAAAAGAAAAGAATAATCAGTGTCAAAAAGATCAGACTAAAATTCAAGCTTTTCTTTCCTTCATACTTTTTTCTTTCTTTTCCTGGCTCCCTTCTTTCTTCCCTCTTTCTTTCTCCTTCCTTCTTTTTCTTTCTGTTTTTCCTTCCATCTCTTTCTTTGCTTTCTTTTCTCTTTTCTTCTCTTTCCTTTTATTTTCTCTCCTCTTTTTTCCTTGTCAAATGACTTGATTACTTTTTCCTTACATGCTGGAACATTTTAACTAATTGCATCTAGTTTTCAATATTATATTTCTCCAAATTTCTTCATTCAAATTAAGACTTTTCAGGTTCTGTTTTTTCGTTTGTTTGTTTGGTTGGTTGGTTTTTTTTTTTTTTTAGACGGAATCTCACTCTGTTACCCAGGCTGGAGTACAATGACGGGATCCCGACTCACCACAACCTCTTTCTCCTGGGTTGAAGCAATTATCCTACCTCAGCTTCCTGAGTAGCTGGCATACAGGTGCCCACCACCATGCCCAGCTAATTTTTGTATTTGTAGTAGAGTCAAGGTTTCACTATGTTGGCCAGGCTGGTCTCAAACTCCGGACCTCAAGTGATTCTCCCTCCTCGGTCTCCCAAAGTGCTGGGGTCACAGGCGTGAGCCACCGCGCCCGGCCCAGGTTCTCTTTTGAATTCGTTCCCACTGGCCTTTGTGTTTTTAGTAAATTTGGCCCTCTCTGTCTTTGTGATGTCATCAGCCTTTGCGGACCTGCAATGTCCCACTCCTCTGCCAGTGTGGAGCCCAAATACACATCATGTCCTCTTTCTCTTTGCAAGCCTGGAGGGCATCCTTAGACTAGGCTAACTTGAGCTCAGCTCTTGTCTGGACATTGCTGACTGTGTGGAGTCTATTATTCTGAGGTGGACAGGGAGGAGCAGGGAGGGAGGGGCTGAGAGCTGAGGTTTCTGTCGGGGTGGGTGGTCTAAACACCTGCTGCTTGCATTCAAGGATCTGTTAGTTTCTGCTAGGGTCACTGTGAAAGCGGCTGGACTTAGATCATTTAGTTGACATGTTGTCCTGTAACTACCCAATGGGTTCACCCTGCCTGCTGCCTAGACAGAGCCAACTTATCAAGACAGGGGAATTGCAATGGAGAGAAAGTAATTCATGCAAAGACTGGAGTTTTGTCGTTACTGAAATCAGTCTCCCTGGCGTTTGGGATCAGAGATTTTAAGGATAATTTAGCAGGTATGGACTCAGAAAGTGGGGAGTGCTGACTGGTCAGGTTGAAGATGAAATGACAGGGGGTCAAAGTGAGTTTTTGCTGACTTCTGTTCCTGGGTGGGATCACAGAACTGGTTGAGCCAGATTTTCAGTCTGGGTGGTGTCATCTGCTGCACTGGAATATAGGATCTGCAAAATACTTCAAGCACTGATCTTAGGTTTTACTATAGTGACGTTATTCCCAGGAGCAATTGGGAGAGGTCCAGACTCTTGTAGCCAGAGGCTGCATGGTCCCTAAATCATGATATCTAACTGTGTAGCTAATTTGTTCCTACAAAGGCAGACTGGTCGCCAGGCAAGAAGGAGTTTTTCTGATATCTAATTTTGTAGCTAATTTGTTAGTCCTACGAAGGCAGACTGGTCCCCAGGCAAAAAGGGGTTTTTTTGGGGGAAAGGGCTAGTATCCATTTTGTTTCAGAGTTTAAACTATAAACTAAATTCCTTCCCAAGGCTAGCTCGGTTTAGATGGGGTGGGGGAATGAACAAAGACAGTTTAGACGTTAGAAGGAAGATGGGGGTCCGGGGGTCTGTTAGGTCTGATCTTTCACTGATATAATTTCCTCAGTTATAATTTTGCAAAGGCGGTTTCGGTCCTGCCTCTCATTACAGGGCCACTTGTTGAGTAAAAGGGTCTCAAAAGATAAAGATATTGGCTTTGATGGGGGTGATGGAGGAGAGAGGATGAGCCTGACGTCATGTCCCATGCCAGTGAGTGGGGCGTCAGGAAAAAGAAGGAGATTCTTTAACAATGGAAAGCTGCTAAAAATCTATGGAATTGGACTGAGAGACCATTAGCAGTTTTTGGAAGAAGAAACCACTTCAGGTTTGCTCCCTGGGAAAGAAAAATATCTTGGGCCCCCAAAACTCACTAAGCTAAAAGGAAAACTCAAGCTGGAAACCGCTTAGGGCCAACCTGCCTCTCATTCTATTCAACCTACCTCCCATTCTATTCAACCTACCTCCCATTCTATTCAACCTACCTCCCATTCTATTCAACCTGCCTCCCATTCTATTCAACCTGCCTCCCATTCTATTCAACCTGCCTCCCATTCTAGTCAAAGTTATCTCCCTGCTCATTGAGATGAATGCATATCTGATTGCCTCTTTTGGAAAAGCTAATCAGAAACTCGAAATAAGGCAAGTTTGTATTTCACCTATCTGTGACCTGGAAGCCCCTCCCTGCTTCAAGTCTTCCTGGCTTTCCTTCAAATTGTCCTATCTTTCCAGACCGAACCAATGTACTTTTCACATATATTGATTGATGTCTTATGTCTGCCTAAAATGTGTAAAACCAAACTGTGCTCCAACCACCTTGGGCACATGACGTCAGGACTTCCTGAGGCTGTGTCACGGGTGCGCGTCCTCCACCTTGACAAACTTTCTAAATTAACTGAAACCTGTCTCAGATTTTGGGGGTTCCCATACCTAACGAGTCACATCAGTCAAATCAGTTATAACACTTTGCCGAGTAAGTTCCCATAAACGTTTTATTACCATGTTTGCCATAATTTTAAGGGAGAAAAACAAGGGCCCGAGAGTTTTAAGTCCTTGTCCAGGTAGACACGCAGGTGGGTGGTGGCAGAGGAACTGGACCCAAGGCCTTCGCCTTCACCTCTCTGGATGGTTTCTAGTCTGTTCGGCTTCAACTGTGACATCCTTTCTGCTCCAAAGCCTTTCAAGTGTCCAGTTGTACCTGACTTCTGTCTTCTTGTACATATATTCTGATTCAGCCCTGAGCCATACTCTAGGCCACAGTTGGAGGCTCTTCAATCCACAGAAAGAGCAAAACCACCTTATGAGAGATGGAGGCAGATGGAGGCAGCCAAGGAAACCATGTGTGGATGGGCCAGTCAGGCTCCTTCACGCTGGCCGGCTGGACGAGGTGACTCAGGTGTCCCATCCATGACACCTCCAAGAGCAAGATGGAGAATGAGGAAGGAGACTGAGATGAGCTGAGTTCTGATTGTATGTCAGGGGCTGGCTGGGCTGGATGAGTGCCACATAAAGGTTATCTCACTGAGTCCTCACACCTGTCCGGGGGGGTCCATTTATTCTACTCACTTTCATACACCCAAGAATGCAAGAATCAGAGAAGTTGTGCAGCTTGTCCAAAGGCCCAGGTCTGTCTGACTTGAGAGTCAGCCTGTGGTTTCCTGCCCCACGTGGGGTTCACGGTGACCTGCTTTGGTGCTGGGTCATAGTCGCTGGATGAGAGATTCTCTAGTAGCTGGAGGAAGGGGATCTAAGAGGGGCTGGGCTCACAGAACATGGGGAGGTGAGGAAAAACACACTAGAAGCTCTGGCTCAGGTGGAGGCAGGAACGCTCTGGGGTGAAATGTGTTGTCAACCATGGGATGATGGCTGCCCCGGGACAGGACATGTCTAATCACACTCTGCCCTGGTTTCTGCAAGAGTCACTGGGCTGGTTACGAAGCTATTGTTTCTCAGCTCCAAGTTCCCTACTCAGTACCTGCTTTCCGGTGGGGCGGATCTGGGAAGGTCCTGCTCAGCTCTGCCCACAGGGCAGGGAGCGGGTAGGGAGGCTGGTGGGGAGTGGGGGAGGCTGGTGGGGAGTGGGGGAGGCTAGAAGGGACGTGGGGAAGCTGGTGGGGAAAAGGGAGGCTTACGGAGAGTGGGGAGGCTGGCAGGGAGTAGGGGAAGCTGGTGGAAGGGGGGAGGCTGGCGGGGAGTGGAAAAGCTGGCGGGGAGTAGGGAGGCTGATAGGGAGTGGGGAGGCTGGCGTGGAGGTGGGGATGCTGGCAGGGAGTGGAGAGGCTGGAGGGGATGGGGGAGTCTGGCAGAGAGTGGGGGAGGCTGGCAGGGAGTGGGAGAGGCTGGAGGGAGTTGGGGAAGCTGGTGGGGAGTTGGGGAGGCTGGTGGGGAGTGGGGGAGCTGGTGCAGAGGTGGGGAAGCTGGAGGGGAGGTGGGGAGGCTGGCGGGGAGGGAGGCTGGCTGGGAGGTGGGGAGGCTGGTGGGGACGGAGGAGGCTGGCAGGGAGTGGAAAGGCTGGCGGGGACGTGGGAGGCTGGCGGGGACGTGGGAGCCTGGCGGGGACAAGGGAGGCTGGCGGGGAGGGGCTCCTCCTGTGGCTGCTTCCTGAGGCCTCCAAAGTCTCTGAGCAGGCCCCCTGACCTACGTGTACCCCGACCTGGCAGCAGCAGTTTCTTCTTGTGGCAGCAGCTGGATTTGATTTTGCGTGTTTCCCACTTAGAATCAGCCTCATAATACCCTGTTGGGACTCAGTAAGGGCCTGTGAGGTGAGGCAGGCGTGTTGGCTGGGTCTGCATCTGTTGTTCTTCCTGCCACTAGCAGACTGCCTCTAGGCAAGTAGCAGACCCAGAAGCATGATTTACCCCCAGGGGGTGGTCTGTTATTCACTCCTTGTTAGGTCGCTATCAGTCTGCATGGAAAGTCTGCTGTGAATAGGACTCTGCTAGACCCAGGGGTACAAAGTGCTCTGAGACGCAGGGCTGCTCTGGGCTGCGCTGGGGTCCAGGTGTGAGAGGTGGTAGAAGGTGCAGGGTGCGTGTGCAAGCAGAGAATGCTCAGGAGGTTTCGGTGGTTTAAGGGGAGAATGTGTCAACTTAACATAATAGAAAGGGTCAGAAACTAGTTTACAGAGGGTTTATTCAAGTGCAGAGGTTGAAAACGGGACATCTCTGGGAAGCACAGATTCCAAAGAATGGAAGTCAGTGTTAGCAAGTGTAGAGATTTGGGATTGCTTTATATAAACAAAGCTTAGGGGAATTTCACAGAATTTCAACATCTGTGTAAGGCTTAATGCATAGTTCCAATGATCTGATTACTTGAGGGGGGCCTCTTTTGGAAAGGTATATCTAACATTCCACACTGCCATCTAGGCTGAGTTACGGTCAGGACTCTTAAAGAGGTGGTAAATCTGTAACAAAGGTCTGTGATTAGAAGGCGGAGATCTGGTCTCCGGTGTTTCCTAGTCATTACAGAAAAAGAAGAATGAGGAAGAGTTAAGCTGTAATTCAAGCAACAGAATTGCAAAACATGTTCCATGACCCAAATCATAGCCACACCTCTCTCAAGGCTTGAAGAGTCCTGGAAGTTCCAACAGTTTTTAAATGTAATTTATTTTCACAAATGCAAATACGTATTTAAATATCCTGGCTAGGAAATGTCCAGGAATGCCTGGAGCATATATTTTAGAATACTCTGTAAGACTAATTAACAGGGGAGAACTGCCCAGAACGGGTTTGGAGGCACAGGTTGGCGGACAGAGAGCCATGCCCAGAGCGGAAGGAAAGTGAGAGCTGGAGTGCTGCCTGGGAAAGGCCCAGAGGGGAGGAGCTCTTAGCGAAGGAGGTGAAATGGGATGTGAGGTTTGTGGGATTCGAGACACCAGGAGAAAGTTAAGCTTTGCCCAGTAGGGCTCCATAGGGAGCCACAGTGATTACTGTGGTGACTGCAGCCTTAAACAAATGGTAGGCGACTTTGTTAAAGGTGTGAGTTGAGCTTATCTAGCCAGGTATATTAGCCAGTATGTGAAAGCCAGGTATTTATAGTTGAATGTATTTATAGTTGCAATGTGTATTTCTAAACTAAGTCTACTGTGCCCAGCAAAGTGACATCAGAGACTTTAGACAGAATGCCCCACAGGCTTGGGGTGGGGAGGGAGCCCCGCTGGCAACAAGCGTGGATGCTTACTGTGTGCTGAGAGTAAGTGGGGTTCTGTCTGGGGGGCTGCAGAGACAGCAGAAAAAACTATCTTTAGAGTCCCTTACAGGAGACCTGTTTTTGTGACTTGTCTGAAGAGGACCAGTCAGGTCAGACTTGACTAAGCCCAGGAGCAATCATTTCGGCAGTTCCCGCGTGTTTATCAGTGAACCTGGTTTTTAGAAAACAGCAAAACAAAACTGAAACAAAAACAAAATCAGAAACCCAATTAAGCAAGACTCTTTACTTACCTCCGTAGGTGTCTGGTCTCTACAGGTAGAATGAGTCCAGGGAGCTGGGAGGGGGCAGTGATGACACCTCTCTGCATGTCTGGTCTGATGTCACTTACAATAATCAAACACGGGCCGGGCACAGTGACTCACGCCTGTAATCCCAGCACTTTGGGAGTCCGAGGAGGGTGGATCACAAGGTCAAGAGATCGAGACCATCCTGGCCAACATGGTGAAACCCTGTCTCTACTAAAAATACAAAAATTAGCCGGGCGTGATGACAGACGCATGTGATTTCAGCTGCTTGGGAGGCTGAGGCAGGAGAATTGCTTGAACCTGGGAGAAGGAGGTTGCAGTGAGCCGAGATCATGCCACTGCACTCCAGCCTGGTGACAGAGCAAGACTCCATCTCAAAAAACAAAAACAGAAAAAAACAAAAATAATAATAATCAAACACACAGCAGGACCCCTGGCCAGCTGGGGAGGGGGCCAGTGTGGGTGCGTCTTCCTGGGGCCAGCCTAGGAGAAAGTGCTTTTCCTGGGTGTGTGCCCAGGTCACCTGGCTGTGGGACATGCTTCAAGGAATGGGTCTGCCAGGTCACAGTGTTCCTGGACCAAACTGTGGGTCAGGCTGCTATTTCTTGTGGCCCAATAATGAGAGGCCAATGAACTGGGGAGGAAGAGAGTTTTTATTTCTGTAACCAGTTACAGGAAGAAGGCCTGGAAATGATAACCAGACCAACTCAAAATTACACAGTTTTCCAGAGCTTATATACCTTCTAAACTATAGGTCTACATGTAAGTGTGCACTCATCGAAAGACATAAGTGATTAACTTCTTTTAATCTATAACTAAGGTCTCCATCCTGAAGACTTTCTTCTGGATCCTCAGTAAATTTACTTAATCTAAATGGGTCTAGGTGGTGGGGTGATTACCCTTATCTTGTCTCCTGATGAATCATAAAGGTTTGGGGAGTTCTGTAGACCCCAACAAACTTGTCTATGGAGGCCTGGGGGGTTTATTCAGACCCCCAGTAAAACTTGTTTAAACTTGAAGGTCCTGTTAAGAATCCCTTCATTATCTTGTCATGCTCCAAGGCCCACGAAAAGCCTAGAGAAAACTTTTGGTGGGCTCGTTGTTACATTCCAGCCTTTGTATAAGGGCACTGGCTCAATTAGCTTTAATGTTTAATGTAGCTGCTCAGTCAGTGCTGGGACAGTTGTAAGGGAGGCCTACATTAGTGAGACCTGGCCCACCACAACAGGGCAGCAAGGGAGGCAGGGGAGAACCAGGTAAGGTGAGGCTGAGATGGGGGGTCAGTCCCCAGCCCCATGGTGGACCTCTGGTCCTCCTGCACCTGGGTGAGCTCCAGCGAGAGCCAGGTGTCTTTCCTCTAGAGAAGAGCCTGTAACCCCTCCTGCTATGGGAGTCTCCTCCTCCTCTTCCAGGTCTTGTGGATGATGACCAGCGGGGTGATCCCCAGTGGGCACCAGTGTATTTGCCTGTCAACAAGGGAACAAGCGAATCAAGTCCCCGTGTGGTTCACGGAGGGGGAAGATCAGGTTTCACTTGTGAAGAATGGCGGGTGCTTGCACTTGGAGACTATGCCAGTGAATGTGGAGGGCTGCACCCTGACTAGGCAGCAACAGGGTCTTTAGTTTGCACACATTTGGTTAAAACATTCTACGCTGTTCATTTTTCAGAAAGGAGTCTTCCTTTAGGTGAATGAGGCACTGTCGGAGTCACTCTGAGTTCTGAGTCACCGTTCAGTCTGGGCTGGTTGGAAGAAATTGGGTTGAATCTCAGCATTCAGGTTTGACATGTTCTGGGCAAGGACTGCTCTAAATGGAAACTTTTCCCTTTCTGTTCCTTAAGGATGTGAAGAACCCAGCAGCCTTTCCTGAGGCTGTGTCTTCTGTGCACAGCATCTCCTAAGGCCATTCAAAAACACCCCTCCATGGATCTTAAAGCACCCCCTTTTTCCCTTAGGAGGGGGAGTTCTGCAGCTCCTTAATCTAAAGCCAGATGGATGCAACTAAGAGAGAAGAGAGAACTCCAGGCTGCCCCCTTGGTGAATAGGCTGGGCCCAGCATGGTGCAGTCCTTAAAGAGGACCACGGTGGATGAGATGAAGCCACCAGGGCACTGTGTGTACAGAAACAGCAGGAATCAAAATGCCATATACCCGATGAGTGCAATGATGAAACAAAAAATTTATGTGCCGACTCAGATTGGAGAAGTATACTGGGAAAAACAGGCCAATAGTAGATTTGATTGGAAGAGTAGTATTTTGAGCAATTTTTGTTATAGCACTGTTTTGTATTTTGACTGATTGTGACAAGCGTGTATTTTTCTGCTGATATTTGTGGGTTCTCAGGCTTTCGTGGCATAAAACAACCTTGATCAAAAATGTGAATGGTATAAGAAGTTAGTGAATCAGCTTTCATGCCTGTCCAGAACAGAACAAAGGGGCACCGACATGACAGCTCACTAAATTTCTTTTAAAAACCTGTTGTCTTCCAAGATTTGGGACTAATAATAAAAAAGCCTCAAGTGGCTTTTGTTCATAAATTACCATCAGTCCGTGATCTAACAGAAGAGATAAAGGCAGGGGAATAACTATTTCTCCCAAGCCTTTTTGTTATTGTGATTTTAAAAACTATTATTTTTCAATATTTTGGATAGTTCATGTATTTTCAGAAGAAAGCAGCCATGAACAAGTGTATGTATATTGGGAGTTAACTGGAAATATCCATTTTCATGGAAGTTCTCCTTCTAAACAATGGACAGAATCAGGTCTATCCCCTAAACCAGAGGTTGGAAAACAATGACCTTTGGCCAAATCTGGCTTGCTGCCTGTTCTTTTGAACACAGTTTTATCGAAGCACAGCCACTCCCATTTACTTATGTGTCAGGCAAGGATTCTTGCACTCTGCAGTGACAGAGTTGAGTACTTGCAACAGATGGGATATGACTCACAGAATTGAAAATATTTATTATCTGGCCCCTTTGAAATATTTGACGACCCATGTGCTGAGCCACTGACATAGCCATCTAATCCCATGTGGCAACCAGTGGCGGTACATCTGTGGTTTAAACTCCTCCTGGCCACTACTAAAAGTGTAATCAGGGTCCATTGATACAGGAAGACTTTTTTTTTTTTTTTTTTTTTTGACAGAGTCTTGCTCTGTTGCCCAGGCTGGAGTGCACTGGCACAATCATAGCTCACTGCAACCTCTGCCACCCGGGCTCAAACAATTCTCCTGCCTCAGCCTCCCAAGTAGCTGGGATTACAGGCGCCCGCCACCAGGCCTGACTTTTTTTTTTTTTTTTTTTTTTTTTTCCAGTAAAGATGAGGTTTCACCATGTTGGCCAGGCTGGTCTCGAACTCCTGACCTCAGGTGATCCACCGTCCTTGGCCTCCCAAAGTGCTGGGATTACAGGTGTGAGCCACCACACCCGGCCAGGAAGACTGTTCAATATAGGGGCCACACAAGACCACATGCTGGCTGTTTTGTCTCCTTTCTCTCTTTTTCAACAGTCATGCTCCTTTTTTTTCATCATGGCATTGGTTTCTTGGAGAAACAAGGTTATTTTTCCTGTAGAATGTCTCACACTCTGGATTTGACCCACTGCTTCCTGTGCTGTTGTTTCGCTTGTCTCCGAAAGTCCTGTATTTTCCGTAAACTAGTAGTTAGATCTAGAAACTCAATTAGTTTCAGGTTCCATTTCTTTGGGCAAGAATAGTTCATGGGTGGTGCTGTGTAATTCTTATTACATCACAACAGGAAATCCATTAATGTCTGGTTGTCTCAGTTTTAGGGAGGGTAAGACTGATGATCGAGTGCACCCTTAACCCTCAGTTATCAAATTCCCTGCCAAGCTTTTCACCAAATGGTTCTAAAACAGTCCATTGATGATTGCTTTAGACCTATAATTTCATTCAGGGTTGCAATATGGTGATTTTATTATTCTATCATCCCTTTTTCATTTATTAGTTGGGGAAATTCTATAAAGAAGGCATTTCCTTAACTATTGTTCATCCTAAAAGGCAGTTTGTACTGAAAATGCAGAATAAATTTCTGAAGTGATAAGTTGGTGCTGTAACAAGCTCTAATTATAAATGAAACTATTTAATTGTCATCATGAACTCATGGATGTTTATATATTTGTGTGCGTCAATCAATTGTTATCATTAGTTACTGCAGTTAGGAAAAATGTCTCATCTGTGGCCATTGGGCTCCCCTTTGATTTGGAGCTGGTGTTCTTTTGGTGCGACCCTTCAGTCTTTGAGATGTCTTATTTCTAGCACAGCAAAATAACTCAGGCTTGTCTTGTACATCTTATGTTCCAGACTTGGAGGCTGCCATTTCTCCAAGTAGTCCTGGAGATTCTCAAATGCTAAAGTTAACCAACACAGTGCCCTAAGACCAGAAAGGAGAAAAAATGGAAGTTCTGGGTCCTGCCAAAGGACTATTTCACTGAGCAGACTGCTGAGACCTCTGAATTATGTGGACACTTGAGAATCAGTCATGTGTTGGGGCCGGCGTCGTGGCTCATGCCTGTAATCCCAGCACTTTGGCATTTTGGGAGGCCAAGGCGGGTGGATCACCTGTGGTCAGGAGTTCGAGACCAGCCTGGTCAACATGGTGAAACCCTGTCTTTACTAAAAACAAAAACAAACCCCAAAAATTAGCCAGGTATGGTGGCCGGCACCTGTAATCCGAGCTAGTCGGGAGGCTGAGGCAGGAGAACTGCTTGGGCTTGGGAGGCAGAGGTTGCAGTGAGCCGAGATTGTGCCACTGCACTTCAGCCTGGGCGACAAGAGTGAAACACCAGCTCAAAAAAAAAAAAAAAAAAAAAAAAACAAAAAAAAAAAAAACAAAATCAGTCACCTGTTGGTTTGTGGATCAAACAAAGTGGAGGTGACATCACTGAAGCCTAGGACGTCACTCCCCTTTTCCAGGCAGGCTTTGTGGTTCGACCTGTCTCACGTTCCAACCCATGCACCCTAACCCCCTACTTCTTTACCTCTTCCAATTGAGACACAAGATTCATTTTGGCCCAAAGGAGGTATACTTCAAAAGCAATTTTCCTTTATTAAAAGAATGCTTATAAAAAGTTCATTTCACTTCTGCGTCATTTCTTCTGGTCACTCCCAGCTCACTTGCAGCACTTGGCCTTCCCTCTGTAACAGGTGCCTTGAATTTTGGTAAAGATCGGGCAGGCAGAATAGAGACATTGCCCTCCACTGCTGACGCAATTGTAATGATCAGATCTGTGGCCAAGGCCTGTGAGAAAGTTACCACCTGTAAGGAGGGAACACAAACACTTCAGACTCATGGCTTGTAGCTGCAACGATTTGAGAACATCTCGCGAAAGCAGAACAAATAACTGCAAAACACCGGAGAGTCTTCTCTTCCAAGAAATTGGCCCATGATTGATCTTTGGGGCTACTCATGAAATGAGGTGTCTGAAGAGCTTACTCAGTCTGGGGCTATGCCAGCTGTGGCCAAATACAAGCCAAGGAATGAACAGTGGGGTTCTGAGTGGGGTTTTCTTCTGCTGAGAGATTTTAAATGTGCAGGGAATTCAAGTTATTTTTCCAAACAAGTTTTCTGCCTTGTCTCAACACACCCCAAAATCACATCCTGTGTTTTAGAAATGTGGAAGCAGCTGCCACTCTTCAAACACAGCCTACACTTCCCTCCTTCCATGCCTTCAGTTACGCTGTTCCCTCTGCCTTGAATCCCGGCCCCCTCACTTCCCACATCACTATTTCAGCTGAAATCTAGGATCGTTTCACATCGGGCTGAAATTATGGTTACTCTCTAAAACTTTCATAGTTTTTTTTTCTACTTGGACTTTATTTTGCCCTTCTCCCAGTATCCCAGATCTGATAAATAGAGACAGTACTCTGGAATAGCCTTCTATTCCATGCAACAGGGAACAGTCGCCTGTGATATTCCTGGCGAGGGACCAGCAGGCCGCCATGTTGCAAGTCTCCACTGGTAGGCGTTTTGGACTGAACTGAATCCCCTAGGAAAAGAATTCCTGTGTCGAAGCCCTAACAGTGCCTCAGGAGGTGATTGTATTTGGAGAGAGAAACTTTAAAGAGGTGATTCAAGTTAAACACGGTCATTGGGGTGTGCTCTGATCCATAAGACTTGCATCCTTATAAGAAGAGATTGGGACAGACACACACAGAGGAAAGACCATGTGAGGACCCAGGGAGGCGGCGGTCATCTACCAGCCAAGGACAGACACCTGAGAAGAAGCCAACCCTGCTTCCACCTTGATCGCAGACTTCCTGCCTCCAGGACTGCGAGGAAATAAATTTCTGTTGTTTAAACTGCCTGGTCTGTTTATGGGCAGTTTAAACGATAAATCTGGTAGCCTGAGCGGACTAATACAAGAGGCCATCGCTACCCTAGGAGACAGTACATTCTCATGTTGCAGATCTCTGTTGGAAAGATGGCTTTCACACCGATGGAAATTGTCTCATCAGTAACTTCCATCCAAAGGCTATTTTTCCACTTTTTGCAGTAATTCCACTTTTGAAAAACTCTTCTCATTGTCCTCAATGCCTGGTTTCTGGTCCCTTCCCAAACCTCTTCATTCTCCTGTGGATGTGTTTAAGTTGGCCAGTACACTTCCCAAAGTTTGAAGCCTGGTATCAATACAGAGTCCCTTCAATGTGTTCCGCCAACCAAGGTAAATAGAGGCTTCATTTCTCTCATTTTGTTCTCAAAGCAGCACCATCCAATATGGCAGCCACATGCTCCCTGTGGCTGTTCTCTTTTAGGTTAATTGAAATCACCCTAGCCGCATTGCAAGTGCTCACGAGCACTATGTGGCTAGTGGGTGCTGCATTCATCAAACAGCAGATATAGAATCTTTTTACCACTGCAGAACGTTTTATTCAACTTCATTTCAATAGAAGGTACTCTGTATTGATACCAGGCTTCAAACGTTGGGAAGTCTATTGGCCAACTTAAACACATCCACAGGAGAATGAAGAGGTTTGGGAAGGGCCCGGAAACCAGGCATTGAGGAGAATGAGAAAAGAAGAGTTTTTTTGTGTTGCTGTGGAGATGGAAGGGAATTGAGAGGCACTCTGGTTCTCCCATCCCAGTACTCAGGGAAGCATCTTGGGCCAAGGCCACTCATTTGTTCATACAAAACACAGTCTCTTGATTGCCAGCTTATATTCTTTTTCTCTGACTGATTCCTAATGAGGCTGTCTGAGATTGTACTATGTTTTAATAATCTCGCCATAATGTTGACCTCAAGTAAGATCATGACCAGCTAGACTCTGCCAAAGTCTCCACTTTCTGCTTTAGTCTCCCTGCACTGGAGGCTCCCAGTGCTGGAAAGATGCTTAGAGGATGCCTACTCCAACCCACGCTGCGAAAGATGGAACCTCTCCAAGTGATTATCTGTTATTAGAGAGATCAACTGAGCATATAAATTTGAAAGCACTTTGAAATCGAGAAGGTTTATACATCTTTGTTCTTGATTGTTCTTCTCAGTAATCAAATGGTTGGGTATATATATGCTGAGTAAGCAGAGGAGGCCCAAATTTAATATGGATGTAGCTTTTTAGAGCCAGGATGGACTTCGGAACTCAATTAATTCAACCTTTCTGTGATCCTCTCCCCAGATGAAGGAACAAGGTCCAGTGATGTCCGCAGAGCATGTAGCTGGTCAAAGACCAACCCCAGACCAGAATGGATGCCTCCTGATCTCACTTCAGTTCTCATTCCACTTCACCACACTGCTGGTTGACTGTGGTGTCACGGTGCATAACCAGAACTAATTTCTGGCATTACCTTCCAGGATCTAGTACATTATGGGACACAAAAGGAATTGCAGCAAAGTTAGTGAGAGGGTACTTTGATTACATTCTGTGTTCCACATCTAATCTACTGTGTGATCTTTTGCAAACCACTCAACCTCTCTAGGCAGCAGCTTCTCAAATTTAAAACGGAGGAGACTACGCAGCCATAAAAAAGAATGAAGGTGTGTCCTTTGCAGCAACACAGATGCAGCTGGAGGCCAATATCCTAAACAAATTAACACAGGAAAAGAAAGCCAAGTACCACATGTTCTCAGTTATAAGTGGGGGCTAAACACTGAGACACTGGGGGCTACTAGAGGGGAAAGGAGGCAGAGGAGTGTGGAAAACTAACTGTGGGGTACTATGCTCATTACCTGGGTGACAAGTCATATTCCATTCTTCAGCATCTGAGTGGGTCTGGGTTGGGGCTGATAATTTGCATTTTAAAACAAGCTCCTAGGTGACACTGAAGCTTCTGGTCCAGAGGCCATACTTTTACAACCTTTGGTCTGGAATAATGAGGTTCCTTCCTGTTGGAGCAGTCTTTGCTGCTTTCAGTCTAGGGGCCTTTTAAAAGCACTTGCCTTTAACATTTTCATGACATTTGCCTTCACCTTGTGTTCGATATTGCTGTGCCTGTGTCTGTTTGTCTTACGTGCTTCTTAAGGATGTTAGTGTAATCTAAATGCTTCTGAAGGTTTTTGTTTTCCAATAATTGTGGACCAGGCAGCCCAAAAAGAACAGCTAGAATATCTGACATACACACACACACACACACACACACACACACACACACACGCACATGTGCACTTTGTAGGTATTAGAGAACCAACAGTAAAGAATTACTAGGTCAAGATTTGAGAGAAAGACAGAAACAAAAGCAGGAACATCACATCCTACTAACATAAAAAAAGTTATTATGAAGGCATGAAACATTTTGAAATGAAGAAGACCTAAATGAGTGGAAATGCTCTGTTAAAGCATTTGAAGATTACTTTTTTAAAAAAATTAATCTTCTGGTTCAACCAAATACCATGGGAATCCCCAGAGGTTCTAATTTGACAAAGTGATTCTAAATTTTATTTGGAAATTCAAAGGGCCGAGAATAGCCGAGACACATTTGGAAAAAAGGTGAGAGGTCTTGCTTTACTGTATTTCAAGACTAAGTGTAGAGCCACTGTAATTAAGGCAATGTGCTTATGGCACAAGGACAGAAAAATGTCCAAATGGAATAAGATAGAGTGTAGAAAGAGGCTCATGCATACATGGAGAATTGATGTAGAATAGTAGTGTCTCAGCAGAACGGTGGGGAAAAATAGTCTTATCAACAGTTGGTTCTGGGCTGGGCATGGTGGCTCATGGCTATAATCCCAGCACTTTGTGAGGCAGAGGCAGGCAGATAACTTGAGGTCAGGTATTTGAGACCAGCCTGGCCAACATGGTGAAACTTGCTCTCTACTAAAAATACAAAAATTAGCCAGGTGTGGTGACAGGCGCCTGTAATCCCAGCCACTCGGGAGGCTGAGGCAGGAGAATCCCTTGAACCTGGGAGGGAGGGGTTGCGGTTAGCCAAGATTGTGCCACTGCACTACAGCCTGGGTGACAGAGCGAGACTCAGTCTCAAAAAAAAAAAAGTTGGTTCTGGACAATCAGATATTCATATTGGGGAAAAAAAGTAACTTGACCGTTACTTCATACCGAAGCCACACACACACACACACACACACACACACACACACACCCCATTGCCAGATGGATTATAAGTCTAAATGTAAAAAGAAAAAGGATAAGCTTTTAGAAGACAATACTGGGGACTATCTTCATGTCTTTGATGTAAAGAAAGTCTTCTTAAACAAGATAGAAAGTGCAGTAACCTTACGGAAAAAGACATGACACATTCGACTACATTGAAATCATGATAAAAGCCTCTTTTCTAGGAAAGTTTCCATTAAGAGAGTGAAAAATCAAAACACAAAGCAAGAGAAGATATTTGTGATGTATATAATTGACAAAAGGCTTGCATAGAAAATACATAAAGAACTACAAACCAATAAGAAAAGACAGATAATCCAAAAGAAAACATGGACAAAAGACAAACAGGTATTTTACAAAAAATAACCCAGTTGCCTGTAACTATGTATAAAAGGGCCCAACTTATTATTTATCGGGGAAATGCAGATTAAAACTCCAGTGAGCTATTGCTACACTCACCAGGTGGTTAAAATTTAAAAATAATTGATGTTATCAAATGTTGGCAAGGATACAGAGCAAGAGGAACTCTTATTCACTGCTTGTGGGAGTGCAAATTGGTGTAAATAATCTTGGAAAACAGTTTGGCATTGTCCAATACAATTGAATATATGCATAGCCTATGATCCGGTGATGCAACTTTTCAGCATGTAGAAATAGAGGCATAAGGGCACCTACTGGCCAATAGAAATGTGTGCACAAACCAAGCTGTACTATTCAACCTGAATATTAATTAGTGTGGCAAAAGTGTAAATATGAAAAGTTACCACCATAAAAGTCAAGTGAGTGATTATTCTTGGGGGTAGGAGGGAGTTGTGACTGGGAAGGCTCGAGAATAGCTTCTCATAATTCAATTTAGATATAATAGACTGAAAACAAAAATTCTTTATGTTAACAAAGTGCCTTTCAAACCCTTTTGAGTTTGGACTGAACCACCATCAGAAAGAAATTTCTCACTGCTACTCAGTAAAAACATATGCACACACCCCAAACTGAAATATGGGTGTAATTAAATAGCATCTACTTTTACTACATGGCATGAAGTAATATTTTCTATTCCTTTAAAAAAACATGGGCCGGGCGTGGTGGCTCATGGCTGTAATCCCAGCACTTTGGGAGGCGGAGGCAGGTGGACCATGAGGTCAGGAGTTAAAGACAAGCATGACCAGCATGGTGAAACCCCGTCTGTACTAAAAAATACAAAAATTAGCCAGGCTTGGTGGCACGCGCCTGTAATCCCAGCTAACTCAGGAGGCTGAGGCAGGAGAATTGCTTGAACCCAGGAGGTGGAGGTTGCAGTGAGCTGAGATTGTGCCATTGCACTCCAGCCTGGGTGACAGAGCAAGACTCCATCTCAAAAAAACAAAACAAAACAAAACAAAAAAACACGGTAGGCTGAGTGGAGTGGCTCATGCCTATAATCCCAGAACTTTGGGAGTCTGAACTAGGAGGGTTGCTTGTGCCCAGGAGTTTGAGACCAGCCTGGTCAACACAGTAAGACCTTATCTCTACGAAAAAATAAAAATAAAAAAATTAGCCAGGTGTGGTGGTGCATGCCTGTAGTCACAGTTTCTTGGGAGGCTGAGGTGGGAGGATGGCCTGAGCTCAGGAGGCAGAGGCTGCAGTGAGGCGAGATCACACCACTGCACTTTAGCCTGGGTGACAGAGTGAGACCCTGTCTCAAAAAAAAAGCAAAGCAAAACCAAAAACCAAAAACCAAAAACCAAAAAAAAAAAAAAAAAACAAAATCCATTGTAGCAACTGGCAGCATGAAAAGTTCTGCATTTAGAATGCTTTTGTACTCAGCTTTCAGATGGAAAAACTGAGGCATAATTGGAATAAATTAAGCCTATCTGCTGGATACAGTGATGGCCTAGAGAAACTTACAATAGGATCTTACAGAGACTTTCTGAACTGGAGTGCTTGCTTTCAGGATCATCCTTCCCAGCCCCTCATTCTGCAGATGAATAAACCAAGGCTTAGCACCATGTGACTCGTGTGAACAAGGATAGGGCTGGGATAAAACATGTTCCCGATTCCTCCCGCACGTCCCACCATCATGTCAGGGTCATGGCTGCTTTGGCCCAGAGAAGCTGACATACACCTGGCTCACAGGAAGCCCCCTCCTATTGACTGGGGAGACTGCTAACCTGGAGAATGTGGATGCATTTCTCAGGAGAGGGAGAGGACCGCCTGCCTGCACACGAGGTGAGTCCAAGGCACCGGCTGAGCTGGCCTGATGGGTGGGGCGGCAGCACCTCACCTGTACCAGGGCACCCCAGGAGGCTGCACCCAGTGACGTGGGCTGAGGATGGGGCCGGCCCCTCTCTCTGCATAGGAAGCTGGCCTCTCAGTGTGAGGAGTCGTCTTGCAGGGGAAGCAGCAATCTCATCCACATAGGATACTGTCTACATGTCCAGGACAAGGATGTAGGCAGCTGCCTGTGACAAGCGCCATGACCCTGCCAGGCTCACTCCTTGGCGGCTCACAGACCCTGAAGGCTTGGCAGGGCTTGCCTGCTGCCTTCTGCCAACTGCAGGCCACTCAACCACGGGATGCTTTCCTGCTGCTTGTTCCTCGTCCCTTGGGACACGGAGGCAGCCATCCGAGACTCACATCAGCCCCATTGTCCCCAGCCCTGGGGATGGGAAACTCTAGCAGGTACCAGAGCTTACCTGAGGCCATCTCAGACAAAAGTAAGCAGAGAGTAAACAGCAGAAGGTAGGAAGTTCTCATGGCGACTGGCAGGCAACACTCAGGATTTCAGGAACTGGGGAGAGGCTGGCTCCTTTGGAGGCTGAGCTGACAGAGGCTTCCAGAGGCTGGAGCGTCACTGTATTTATAAGACTGGTGGATTGCACAACCTCGTCGACGGAACTGAAGGGAGGTGCCACAGTCAAGGGTGAACTTCTAATCGCTAACCCCTGGTGTCATTTGCCCTGAGCAGTCAGCAGTCACATGGCACATTGTCTCCATCTGGCTGCCGCTGGATTTAGCTTTCAGCCTGGAGCCCTGGTGCCAGCTCCTCCTGTTTGGTTTTCTAGGTTAGGCAGTTCTGATGGGGTTTCTGGAACAGGCAGTTCACACTGGAGTCCCTCCTTCTGGATCACATGGAGGAGAGCCACAGGGAAGCTCTGAGCAGGGGGCCGCTCGGCTCTAAGCTGGTGTTGGCCTCTTTAGTTTGATTGTCTTCCTGCAAGACAAACTCAAACTTCACCCTCTTCCCTTGCAGAAGGAGAGCTGGTTGTAATGAAGTTTCTTCCTCTGGCCAAGGCTACCTTCTCATCTCTCCCCTTATGCAGAACACTCTCCTCGATGGACCAACTTTTCTCTTTTCCCACTAGACGTGTTCCTGGGACGTTTCCAAAGGGCACTCCTCAGAAAGTGAGCCCCCAGTGTGGCCCTTGGAGGGTGAGGGTCTGGCCCAGCCTGGGCCCACCCTGCAGAGCTACAACTGCCAGATTGGGGTGCTGTTAGCGACTCTCCAAGTATCCCTCAGGTTTTCCTTGATTCTAAAGATTTAAGAAACATTTTATTTATTACTGATTTTCATTGTAATTCTGTGAGCAGCTTTCCTGATGTCTCAGTGGCTTATTTGCAAGCAGCAGACGCTGGCTCTCGCTGACCAAGGAAGGGAAGAGTTTATTCGGAGGATATCAGGGTTGGTGGGGGGTGGTGGCATTGCTGGAGAACCCAGCTTGAGGCTCAGTTTCCAGGAATGACATCCACCCTACACTGTCACGGTGGTCCAATGAGAACCCCATACTGCAGCCACATGGCATGAGACACCCAGAGTGGAGTGACCCTCAGCCACTCTACCGCTGGCAGAATGCCATTCTGCACCCAAACATGAACCTGCCGTATACTCCCACTTCAACCCTGCCAGAGAAAGACAGAGAGAGATCCAGAAAGATGGACAAACAAAAACAGAGACAGAGGAAGAGACAGAGACATGCAGAGAGACAGTAGAGAGACAAAGAGAAACAGAGAGATAGAAACAGACAGAGAGAGATGGAAATAGAGAGAGAGAGAGAGATAGAGAGAAATAGATTCAGAGAGACAGAAAGAAGGAGACAGAAAGATGCAGTGGGATCCTGTAGCTAGCTCATTGAGGCAGTTCACAAAGGGTGTTTGGGAGAAACTTGGAAGAGGCTGAGCCATGCCTGACCTAGGAGCAGTGAGATTGTGGAAAGAGAAAAGAAAGAACCGAAACACAGCTTTCCTTGCTGGTGCTGGGTAAGACATGGCTCAGCCTCTTCCAAGTTCCTCCCAAACACCGTCTGTGAACTGCCTCAATGAGCTAGCTACAGTATTCTATCGGATCTGTTTCTGTCCCTTTCCTTCTGTCTTATTGAAGCCACACTATGATTCTTTGACCAGGCAATATAATGCTCATGTTAGAGAAGAAAAACACTGGGGTTCAGAGAATTGAAACAAATTGCCCAAGGTCACCCTGCTGGTAAATGGAAAACTGGTATAATGGCCTGGAAAGCCTCATTCCCTAGCCTCTGTGCTGACCGCCTCCTGGGGAGGCTTCCAGGTTATTACACCAGGTGTGGGTTCAATAAGATTGTGAAAGAAAAATATCTCGGGCACCTTCAAGCTGGGAACTGCTTATTGCGAATCTGCCTCTTTTTCTACTCAAGTCATCTTTTTGCTCCCAGAGATACATGCGTATTTCGATTAACTTTTTTGGAAAGACTTATAATAAATTCAAAAGAATGCAACCGGTCAGGGCGCAGTGGCTCACGTCTGTAATCCTAACACTCTGGGAGGCCGAGGCGGGCAGATCGCCTGAGGTTAGGAGTTCGAGACCAGCCTGGCCAACATGGTGAAGCCCCGTCCTTACTAAAAATACAAAAATTAGCTGGGTGTGGTGGCACACACCTGTAATCCCACCTACTCAAAAGGCGGAGGCCGGAGAATTGCTTGAAACCAGGACACATTGGTTGTAGTGAGCCGAGATCGCACCACTGCACTTCAACCTGGGTGACAAAACCGCACTCCGTCTCAAAAATACAATAAAAAGAATGCAACTGTCTGTCTCTCACATACCTGTGACCTGGAAGCCCCCAGTGGTGGGGGCCTTGCTTTGAGCTGTCTCTGCCTTTCTGGACAGAACTATTGTACTTCTTATATATTGATTGATGTCTCATGTCTCCCTAAAATGTATAAAAGCAAGCTGTGCCTTGACCACCTGGAGCACATGTTGTTAGGATTTCCTGAGGCTATGTCACAGGTACATCCTCAACCTTGGCAAAATAAACTTTTTAAATTAAATGAGACCTGTCTCAAATTTTGGGGGTTTACAAGATAATAAAGTAAAAAATCTCAGAATGCTGCCGGGCACCATGTGAGGTCCGATGGTGTCTGTAGATCCTGGGAGTGAAAGGAATCTAAACCCTGGAATCCTGATTTTCAGGACTGATGTTTTCTGCTCTGAACCTGGAAAACTTTTTTTCTAAATTTCATTTTTATTTTTTATTTATTTTATTTATTTTTTTATTATACTTGAAGTTCTAGGGTACATGTGCACAACGTACAGGTTTGTTACATATTTATACATGTGCTGTGTTGGTTTGCAACACCCATTAGCTCATCATTTACATTAGGTATTTCTCCTAATGCTATCTGTCTCCCCTCCCCCTACCCCACAACAGGCCCCGGTGTGTGATGTTACCCACCCTATGTCCATGTGTTCTCATTGTTCAATTCACACCTATGAGTGAGAACATGCGGTGTTTGGTTTTTTGTCCTTGTGATAGTTTGCTCAGAATGGTGGTTTCCAGCTTCATCCATGTTGCTGCAAAGGACATGAACTCATCCTTTTTCATGGCTGCATAGTAGTCCATGGTGTATATGTGTCACATTTTTCTTAATCCAGTCTATCATTGATGGACATTTGGGTTGGTTCCAAGTCTTTGCAATTGTGAAAGTGCTGCAGTAACATACGTGTGCATGTGTCTTTATAGCAGCATGATTTATAGTCCTTTGGGTATATACCCAGTAATGGGATGGCTGGGTCAAATGGCATTTCTAGTTCTAGATCCCTGAGGAATCGCCACACCGACTTCCACAATGGTTGAACTAGTTTACAGTCCCGCCAACAGTGTAAAAGTGTTCCTATTTCCTCACATCCTCTCCAGCACCTGCTGTTTCCTGACTTTTTAATGATCGCCATTCTAACTGGTGGGAGATGGTATCTCATTGTGGTTTTGATTTGCATTCCTCTGATGGCCAGGGATGACGAGCATTTTTTCATGTGTCTCTTGGCTGCATACATGTCTTCTTTTGAGAAGAAACACTTTGCTTTTTAAGGTTACATTTTCAGGATTTCAAGCATCCTGTGAGGGTGCTAGAAGAAGGTCATTTTAGTCCCAGTGTCCAGGGCATCACCCTGTTCCGCTCACGTCCATCAACAGGGTGATGCTGGAGAGCAGAGCTCACTCCTGGGCGCTCTTGAGGAGTGAGGCGTGGTAGCCAGCTCGGAAGGCATGGGAGCCCGGGCGAGATGATAAGGAGGCCAGGTCCTGTGCCATGTGCCCAGGAGAAACCACATACAAGCAGAATGCAGCATCTACTTTCACATAAATATTGCAGTGAGACTGGCCAGAGTCCTGGCTTCATCACTCACAATTGACCAAAGTGTGGCCTTTGTGGGTGGGCGCTGACTAAGGAGACTGATGGGGGCTGTGGTGGCAGAAAGTGCACAAGCCTTTGACAGCCCAGGGATGAGGCTACTGACCCACCTGTGATGAATGACAGTCTAATGGAGGAAATGACACCCGGGATGAGGCTGTAGAGCAGATGGGGGCCAAGTAGATGAAAGTGTGGTGGGAGGACCACGGACATCTCAGGAGAGCAGGGACCAAGGCCTATATAGGAGATGCATGCGTGTGTGTGTGGTGCATTAAGGCTTATGTGTGGTTTGCATTTAGGCTCATATCTTTGTGTGCGTGTGGTGCACATTTAGGCTTTTCCGTGTGTGCATTTAGGCTTGTGTGTGTGTCTGCCTGTATTTGGGATTGTGTGTTTGTGTGTGTGCATTTAGATTTGTGTGTGTGCATTTAGGCGTGTGTGTGTGCGTGTACGTGCATTTAGGCTTGTGTGTGTGTGTATTTAGGCTTTTGTGTGTTTGCATTTTGGCTTGTGTGTTTGTGTGTGTGTCCATTTAGGCTTTTGTGTGTGTGCATTTAGATTTGTGTGTGTGTGCATTTTGGCTTGTGTGTGTGTACGTGCATTTAGGCTTGCGTGTGTGTGTGTATGTGTGCATTTTGACTTGCGTGTTTGTGTGTGTATTTACGCTGTGGTGTGTGCGTGCATTTAGGCTTGTGTGTGCGTGGAGGGTGCACATTTAGGCTTCTGAGTGTCTTATTGAGCAGCTTTGGTTTTCTTCTTAGGCAATAGGGAGACTTTGGAAGAGGAATTATATGAGCCTGTTGCCATTATAGAACTAGTCTAATATGGAGGTGTCGAGGATGCATGGAGAGGGCGTCAGCTTGGACTTGGGAAGACCCAGGAAGGGGCTGAGGAGCCATTAGGATCTTACACAATATGGGGAAGGGGGAAGAAATGAGACAGGAACTTGAGAGGAATTAAGAAGCTAAAGTTAACCACCCTCCACTGGCAGATGGAAGGAGCTGGATTTCTGGTCCTGGATGGAAGGAGCTGGATTTCTGACCCTGGATGGAAGGCGCTGGATTTCTGACCCTGGATGGAAGGCGCTGGATTTCTGGCCCTGGATGGAAGGAGCTGGATTTCTGACCCTGGATGGAAGGCGCTGGATTTCTGGCCCTGGATGGAAGGCGCTGGATTTCTGACCCTGGATGGAAGGCGCTGGATTTCTGGCCCTGGATGGAAGGAGCTGGATTTCTGGCCCTGGATGGAAGGAGCTGGATTTTTGGCCCTGGCTTGACTGAGTGTGGTGTCAGGCCCTGAGCTGGGTGAGGGGAGGAAGAGCCGGTATGGGAAGACGTTGAGTTATGTAGACAAGTGAGTGTAAGGGGTGCCCTCATTCGCCATCACAGTGGCTGATGTGTCCTCTGCATGCTGGTCTCTCCCTCCAGTCATCAGTGAAGGCTGACGGAGGGGAGGGGCTGTGTGGGATTTCCACAGTCTCCCCTCACTGGAGGGTCCAGGGTCTGGCATAGATAATCAGTCACTGTTTTGGAATAAATGAATAAACAGAAGAGTGTTGCTATGGACGGAACACATTCCCTGCTTGCATAAATATATAAAAGGATATTTAAGGAGGTAATTAGGCTAAATTAGGTCATAGGACTGGTGGCCTAATGGTTAGACGAAGAGAAATCAGAGCTCTGGGGCATGGCGAGAAGGCGTGACGCACAAACCAAGAAGCGTCCCTCCCGGGAACCGAATCAGCCTTCATCTTCATCTTGAGCTTCCAGCCTCCAGAACCATGAGAAATAAACTTGCATTTACCCAGCCTGTGGCACATTGTTGTGGCAGCTGGTTAGACTTACACAAGTGTTGTCTGTATTCTTGGTGAACTCTTCATTTCTTCTAGGACAACAAAACTCCGGGGACTCCATTCCTGGCAGCACCCCAACCTCCTGTTACCCTCACCCCTATGGGGGCTTCCTCTTCAGGGAGGAACTTCAGGTTTTTAAGACATGGATGCTTTGTTTTGGCTTGAGACTGTGCGAGTCCCATAAGTGGTGAGCACAACTTGGAACACTATTGCTTATTTCCTTACCCGCAATAGTTTGTTTGTTTTTTTTTTTTGACAGAGTCTCACTCTGTTACCGAAGTTGGAGTGCACCGGTGCAATCTCGGCTCACTGCAAGCTCTCCCTCCTGGGTTCTGGGCATTCTTCTGCCTCAGCCTCCCGAGTAGCCGGGACTACAGGCAACTGCCACTATGCCTGGCTAATTTTTTGTATTTTTAATAGAGATGGGATTTCACCATGTTAGCCAGGATGGGGTTGATCTCCTGACCTCGTGATCTGCCTGCCTCGGCCTCCCAAAGTGCTGGGATTACAGGTGTGAGCCACCCCACCTGGCCTTTTTTTTTTTTTTCTTTTTTTCAAGACAGACTCTCACACAGTGTCGCCTAGGCTGGAGTGCAGTGGCGTGGTCTCGACTCACTGCAACCTCTGCCTCCCGGGTTCAAGCAATTCTCATGCCTCAGCCCCCCACAAAAAGCTGGGATTCCAGGCGTGAGCCACTGCACCTGGCCACTCGCAGTAGATCTTGATTATGATCTGCTAAAGGCACGTCCTTGACTGCTGACCTCACAGGCCACGCCACTGGCAGCTGCCCAGAGCAGGAGCTGTTTGTGTCAGGTGCTTGTCACAGCTCTGGAGCATGAGACCTGAGTGTGAAGAGGGGAGGGGGTCTGGGGTGGGACAGAAGCTGTGTAGGGCAGTACCTGCCCTGGGGTTCCACCTGCAAGGTCAACAGGACACAGTCCTTACATGGTGGGGTTGAGCTGGTTTCAGTCCTAACTCAGGAGCTCCTCAGAGAGTCAGTTCCACCCACGTAGGTTGGAGCTAGCTCCTCAATGCCACTGTGAAGGAAAACGAAGGACACAGCCTCACCAAGCACCACCCCAGCCAGGTGTGACGCCACTGTGAATGTGTCTAGTCCTCAGGACCACGAGAGGCTGTGTTTGAAGGGAGCTGGGCCAGCCCCTGAGTCAGACAGGATGGATTCAGCTTCTGTGCCTCTGTGGAGAGGCAGGGCCAGCTGGGCCTGGCACTCACCTGTCCTGCTGCTAGTAGCAATGGTAAACTGTCTAACACCAGAGGATTACGTGGGTTTAACACATTTATGCGCACAGATGAGGAGTGTTCAATTAGTGCTGGTTCTTACCATGATTATTTCTATTCTTTCCCATATTATGAGGTCATCATTACCCCATTTCCTAGATCATACACCTAGACTGGCAGAGAGTAATGTACAGGTAATGAGTGGTACATCCAGAACTGACCCAAGCCATCAGCATAGGGGGTTGAGTGTCATCCTCTCTTTTGCAGGCAGGACATCCCAGTGCTAAGGAGAGTGACCTCAGACACCAGAGACACAGCAAGTGCAGCAGAGCTGACGGCTCTGGGAACACTGGTCTTCAAAGTCTTCCCCGTTGTTGGTTTTGTTGTCTTTATTTACAAATAAAGTAAATATTTCTTATTTATAGATAACATTTTATTTATAAAAATAATATACGTGTTGCAAAAAGTTAAAACAATACTGATGTGTAGCAGCAGAAAAGGGAAGTTGTCTTGAATCCTATTTCTCATGGATAAACAGATTGCTAACAATTGGGTTTCTCTCAGTTAATGACATTCTCTTCTACACACATAAAGGTATCTATTCATGTACACTTCAATACTTACAGATTGTAAAAAGGAAACACTTTGTAATACTGATCTGCAGCTTGCTTGTTTTCCTTTCCACCTAGTAGTTGTACGTCTTTCAATATTTTAGATCAAATCCATTTTTACAGTGCATGCATTTTCAGTTGATCCTTGAACAACTCGGGGCTGAACTGTACAGCTCCATTTACACATGGATTTTCTTCCACCTCTGCCACCCCTGAGACAGCAAGACCAACCTCTCCTCTACTCCTCCTCCTCAACCCACTCAATGTGAAGATGATGAGGATGCAGACCTTTGTGATTATCCTCTTCCACTTAATGAAGAGTAAATATATTTTATCTTTCTTATGTTTTCTTTAATAACTTTTGTCTCTAGCTTAGTTTATTGTAAGAATACAGTATATAAGACATATAACATAGAAAAAGTATGTTAATTAATATTTTGTTTTATTGATAAGGCTTCTGGTTAGCAGTAGGCTATTAGTAGTTAAGTTTTTGGGGAGTTGAAAGTTATATGTGAGTTTTTGACTGTGCCTCATGTATAACTTTTCATGTACTTATTACCCAGTGTGATCTACTGATACAATGCAATCCCTATCAAAATCTCAATGATTTTTTTGGCAGAAATAGAAAGTCCATCTTAAAATTTATAGAAAATGCCAAGGAACTCTAAATAGCCAAAACAATCTTGAAAAAGAATGAAGTTGGAGGACTCAAACTTCCTGACTTTAAAACTCATTACAAAGGAACAATAATCAAAACAGCTTGGTACTGGCATAAAGACAGACATATAAATAGTGGGATAGAATAGAAAGCCCAACAGTAAATTTTTGCATATGTGTTCAAATGATTTCCAGCAAGGGTGCCACTCCACTGAAAGGGAGAAAAGACAATCTTTCCAATAAATGGTGCTGGGAAAATTGGATACCCACATGCAAAAGAATGAAGTTGGACCCTTAGCTAACAGCATATACAAAAATTAACTCAAAATGGATCAAAGACCTAAACACAAAAACTACAACTACAAAACTCTTAGAAGAAAATATAGGCGAAATAGTTCACTATAATAGATTTGGCAATGATTTCTTGGATATGACACCAAACACACAGACAATAAAAGAGCAAATAGATAAATTGATCTTCATCAAAATTTAAAAAATATTTTTATGCATCAACATACATTATAAATGGAATAAAAATGCAAGTCATAGAATGGTAGCAAATATTTGCAGATTTTATGTCTGACAATATTTTTATGTCCAGATATATAAAGAGCTTCTAAAACTCAACAACAAACAACCCAACATGATTTAAAAATGGGCAAAATAGACATTTGTCCAAAGAAGATATACAGATGCTCAGTAGAATACTTTTTAACCACATTCCTATAAATGGACATTAGATTGTTTCTATTTTTTTTACTACTATAAGAGTGGTGCAGTAATCACTGTTATAATACCAAATGTATGTATATACATGTATTTACTTGTTATAATTACTCATCTAAATTATTACTCATGTAACAAATATATACTAAGAACCTGTAAATGCTTGGTCCCTGCTTTAAAGGAGGAGGACTAGTGAGCCTATTTAATTATTTTGATGATAAATATTATGAAGAAAAAGCACAGGGAACCATGAGGATGAATAACTTGACTTGGGCAACTCACCGGTGGGTTTTCCTGAGGTAGGTAATATGGGGTTTACTGCATTAATTCTTAGGCTTGGAATTGTTGGCTGAAAGGTTAAAGGGGTTTCATCTTTAAAATTTTAATACATATTGCCAATTTGTCCTCCACAAGGTTTACTAATTTACAATCACATGCAAAAAAAAAAAAGTATAGACTTGCACCTGTTTCCAATATTACCATTCATACTGGCCTGGGTTTATCCATTCATTTATAAATTATGAACTTTCTTGGATACTGACTACATGCCAGGCACCATGCCAGGGTGAATTAGAGACATAGTTCCTTGTCTTGACAACTTCACTGTGGGCTGGGGAGAGACAGACAATAAATACGACAATAAATACATTACTTTAAATGACTTAGTTATGTTTCCACACCCAGCTGAAATGGGCCCGGGAGAATCACTGTGTTTCTTGTTGTCGATCTGGGATGAAATTAGGGCAGCTGGGTTAAAAACATAGTTGAAAGCAGTGGTTTTCAAGCAGGGGTGATTTTGCCACTCAGGGGACTTTGGTGATGTCTGGAGACACTTTTGCTGCTGCAGCTTAGGAGGGAGCACTATGAGCATCTGGTCACTAGAGGTCAGGGGTGCTGCTGAACATCCTGCAAGGCACAGGGTGGCCTCCTATGATAAAGAATTATCGAGCCCCAAATGTTAATTGTGCCAAGGTTGAGAGACCCTGGCAAAAGAAAGAACCAGACAAGGCAGGGTTCAAATCCTAGGCTAGCCACTGTAAAGGCATCTCAGCGGTCGTCAACATGCTTGTCTTTTGCATAGGGGACGAGATTAGATGTTGTGATTATTAGATGAGAAAAATGAATTGAACTGTGGAGCACAGGACACAGCAGAAGTTGTCCATGAATGGTGGGTCATAGTATAATGATGACACACCACAGTGGAAGAAGGATGGGAGATGGATATTTCTTAATGTGTAGCTCTGGGACCACTTTAGAGGAAGCATGGTAGGAGCAGGAGGAGCTGTGGGGCTTGGTGACTTAGGGAAGGATGGATCCGTGCCTCTCGTTGTTTCTCTGCTATCTTGTTTGCGTTGCATTTTCTTGGTCAGTTCTGTTTGTCATTTTTGAACAGTTTCTTGGATCATTTAAAAAATTGTTTTGCAGCTTTTTTTTTATCCTTTGAAATCAGTGCTGTTGTTTCTCATGCATGTTACCAGTGTTTCCCCCACTTTATCATTCAACCTGATTCATTATGTTTCTTCTTTGTTCTGCAGGATAGAATTGCTCAGTGTAATAACAATGTTTCAATGTCTTCTATTTTGAATATAATCACAATGTCCACTCCTTTGAGTAAAAAATGATAGGTCCGGTGATGGCCATTGGCCCAAATGGTGGCCTTACTGAGCTACACAGCTCCAAAGGGAGCCAGCAGTAGAATCCTGGCTTTCTGGGCCACATTTGGGCCACCGTGGAGATAGATGAGTGTGTGATGTCAGTGTACCTTACAGAGGTGATGCAAGTAGCTCAGACTCACACTGTGAATCCACAGTGCTTGGTGCTTTCAAAGGGTTTCAAAGGATTTCTTGAGAAGCAAATTCTATTTGCAGATAATTTCTATTTCAGTTCCTTTCTGAAATATGAAGGCAAAATGTTAAAAAAGTGACATTGATATTATAACTCATAATTCGCATAACAACCTTTTTGTTGGCCGGGTTGGAGACGTTACACACACTTTGAAGAAACACAAAGCCAGTAGTAATTCTACAATTCAGAAAAAGCTTTATCTGGCAGCATCTTTTTGTTCTACATCCAAATCCCATTGTGATATCTAATAGAAAAAGCCTTAGAGGTGGCAAAGAGGTGGATGGATGGTCTTAATGTCCACCCTAGCTCCCCAGCGATCCTCCTAGGATGTGTTGCAATGCGTCTAATATTCTTTCCAGAACCGAGTGTTGAATGGTGTTCCCCACTGCAATAGAAACACACTTGGAATAGGATAGCATTTATAGTCATGACCAACCTGTACCCCGCAGGGAGTTGCAAGCTGTGCTCTGGCAGATGGAACCGAAAACACACCTCTGCCAGGGAAGCTTTGAGCCAAGCAAGGAAATCAAATTCTTCCTGTTGTGCCCAGAATTGTGATTTACTGCCCATCCGAATCATAGCCTCATAATATCTCAGCTGGAAGGACGTAGCCAGTGTCTACTCCAGGGAGTTTCTGGGAGTCCCTGGGACTTAGAGTTCTGCCAGTACCAACAAGGCTGCGCTCGACACCTTAGCCCACTTCCTAGCCATAGCCATTTCTTCCACAGGCCAGGACTTCTGAATGGCTTTTGTGTGACAGACAGTTTCTGGCAGTTAATAAAAGGAAAGGTAGAACTAATCTAGCTCAACATCATCAGATAATTTACAGATATAGAAGATAATTGCAGAGTGTAAAGAGATTTGTTCAAAGTGACAGCGTGAAAGCTAAAAAAGGGACAATCAGAGGCTTCCCTGAGCCTCTGAAGTGAGGTGACTGTACCTGCATCTGTCCCAGCACCGGGCCCAGCCAATCCCACTTGGCTGGGGTGGGTGGTGCTGCCTGAGAGTCCGGGCAGTCCCTTTTCACCCCTGAGCCTGACCCTGGTTTCTCAGAATCTCAGAATCTAGCTATTTTGAAATATACAATACATCATGGTCAACTATAATCACCCTACTGGGCAGTAGAGCACCAGAACGTTTTCTTCCTGTTTAATGGTAACTTTGTGCCCATTGACCAACCCCTCCCCATCCCCCCTCCCCCTCCCCTCCCCATCCCCCCTCCCCGTCCCCTCCCCAGTCTCAGGTAAGGCTATTCTCCTCTCTGCTTTTGTGAGATCCACTTTTTGGTTTCTGCATATGAGTGAGATCAGGTGGTATTTGTCTCTCTGTGTCTGGCTTACTGATGATTACACAAGGTGTACATATGTCAGTATCACAGTGTAACTCATACATATGTACAATTATTATGTGTCAATTAAAAATAAAGCAAAGAAAAATAAAAACAAACAAAAAAAATCTGAGCATACATAGGGCTCTTCAAGGTCCTTAACTTTTGGGGACTTCTTTTTGTTTCACACCAAAAGGAATCATGGTTGTCCTCTGCCAAATGCCAGCCAGGTTGTTTCATACTGTTTTAACCTTGTTGAAAACAAAGGCAATTGGAAGCATTTCAGCAACTCAAGAGATCATGTGTTTATGTGATTTATTGTGAGTGTGGAGTAAAAGGGTTACTAGACGCTAAAGGAAGTAAAACCAATTTTGTGTGTGCAACTATCAGCTCCCATCTGAAATCCCCCCAGACAGCTTCCTGCTGTAACCAGCTTTTTCCTGTGAGTGGTTTGTTCATTGGCTTTGCAGAAATGAGAACAGCCAATGATGTCAGGAGTCCGGATTTGCCGAAGTCATCAGCATCTGGCAAAGCCTGAGCTGGAGCCAGAAGGAGGCGCCATGGCCTGGTGGGAAGCCCCGATGAAGAGTGGGAGGTGAAGCTGGAGTCAGGGTTTTGTGGAACCGCCTGTGCCCGATCTGTGAGAAGCTATGGGTTATCAGCCACCCCCGGTTTCCTCCCTTTTAAAAGAAGAGGGTGAATTTTATGTCTTTTTAGGGACCAATTTTCAAACTAGGCAGCTCATCAGAATCACCTGGTGATTCTTCACCCAAAAAAAAATCACCCTCGCATCAGAATTTTTGATAATGAGGCTCTAGGATCTGTCTTTTTAACAAACCCCCCAAATGGCCACAACTCACACAATGTTACTGCTTCATGCTTTTACACATCTTGATGTATTTCTAGGATTTGTGAATGTATGCTTTTTCAATTTTAGCATTTTGAAGTTAAGGTGAATCTTATAATTGATGTAAATAATTAATGTGGTCTTCTCTCCCCTTCCCCCGATTCTCCTTGAGAAGTGGATAATGAATTGTGAATCTTATATGCGGCGGTATTTTTAAGTGAAGGAAACACCTCCTCTCATTTCCAACTTTACAACAACTACGTGAAGTAGGTTGTGCAAGAATTATTTATCCCCTCTTCCCAGAAGAAGAAACGGGCTTGAATAGGTTAGGCACATTACCCTTTGATTTATTTATTCAACCCACGTTAATAATAAGCATCTTCTGTATGTAGGGGCTGGGCTAGATTGGGAGAAAGCAGAGATGAAGACCTGGCTCCTGTCCCCAAGGAGCTTGCAGGCTTGTGGGGGCATCAGAGCAATAATTCGTGCCCGTGGCTAGATCAATATTGGCTCTAGAAGTCTCCTCTGGGAGGTGAGGGGAAGAGCGACTGGTTCTCATGGGGCTTAGGAAAGGCACCGTTGGAGAAGTGGCATTTAGAGGGAGCTTGAAGAATGGGTAGGGCATGCTGGACACTGTTATAGTGCTATCCTCGGAGACTGCAAAGCCAAGGAATCAAACCGTAGACACACAGCAGGATTCTGGTGGTGGAAACACATGTTGGCATCCTTGCTCTCTCAATGTGACTTGGGGCAATTTGTGACCATCTCTCCTCTGAAGAACGGAGGGCTGTTGTTGGAGTTAGGTGAGACGATGTTGGCCAAGGGCTTGCATAGTGTCGACACTTCAGCAACACAGGAAGTGGGGTAGGACCCAGGTGTGATGGGTAATTTTCTTTATCAACCTGACTGGGCTGTGTTCAGAAAGCTGGTAACACACTCATTCTGGGTGTGTCTGACGGTGATTGGGAGAGCTGTTAGCATTTGAATCTGTAGTAAAGAAAATGTGCACTCACCAGCATGGGCGGCATTGTGCAATTTCTTGGGGGAGGAATAGAACAAAGAGGCAAACTCGCTCTCTTTTCTTGAGCTGGAACATCCATCCTTTCCTGCCCTGGGACATTGGAACTTCTAGTTCAGGCGCTTTAAGACTCCGATCAGGATTTTCTCCGTAGACTGCCCTGGTGCTCAGGCCCTCGGGTTTGGACTGCACGACATCTGCAGCTTTCCTGGGCCTCTGGCTTGCAGATGGCAGATAGTGGGACTGCTCAGCCTCCATCATCACATGAGCCAGTCCCTCCTAATAAGCATCTTTCTATCTATTTATGAATGTGCTTTTGGTTCTTTTTCTCTGGAGAACCCTGACTAATGCACCAGGCTAGGAATGATTCGGAAGGAGGGAAGAGGCTTAGGGCCCTGCCCTGCTGGGTTCTGTTGCAAGTGGAGGGCAGGCTGAAGGGGAGCTGGCTTTGTGATAATTCATGGGGTTGAACACTTGGTAGGCTCTTCGGCGTGAAGAGATCAGACCCATCCTGCACTCCTGCCCTCAGCCCACTTTTGCTCTTTTGTCCACTGTCACTGAGGGACTTGGCGGCGTCAGAGCCACAGAGAGGGAAGGCTTGGACTCAGGAAAACAGTGAGCATGCCACCTCTTCTGTCATCCAACAGTAGGCCTGGAAGGACTTTTATCAATGCTGTGCCTGGCACTACACACACACACACACACACACACACACACACACACACACACACACAAACACACACGGATGAGACAGAGATGGGTCTCATTCTCAGCACGGCATACAAGTGTTAAATAATTTTGCAGGTGTTAAATCTCTTGCAGGCGCAGCACACGGACTAGTATTCATGTGAATCCAGGGTCGTGACATCGTTTGGGTGTGAGGGAAGTCCTTTCAGAGCTTGGGGTGTTGAAGTTGAGATTTGAAAGATGAGCAGAAGCTGTTCAGGCAAAAGGAGTGGTGCAGGGAGAGAGGGGCTATGAGCACTCTAGGCAGAGGACATAGACCCTCAGAGGCCATCCATGTTAGGAACCAGCAAAGTGCATTGCAGCTGGCCCTGAAAAACGGGGAGAGGAGGACAGCAGGCTCAGGGGCTTGGCCACCATGCCTGGGGAACCCTGCCAAGGATGGGGAACTTTTCTTTTCTTTTTTTTTTTTGAGACATAGTCTTTCTCTGTTACCCAGGCTTGAGTGCAGTGGCCTGATCATGGCTCACTGCAGCCTTGACCTCCCAAGCTCAAGAGATTTCCAGGCCCCACCTTAGTCTCCTGAGAAGCTAGGACTACAGGCAGGTGCCACCACTCCTGGCTAATTTTTTGTTTCTTTTTCTGTGTGTGGGCAGATGGGGTTTTACCATGTTGCCCAGACTGGTTTTGAACTCCTGGGCTCAAGAGATCTGCCTGCGCAGCCTCCCAGAGGCTGGGATTACAGGCATGAGCCACTATGCCTGGCAATGTGGAACTTTTCTACAAGGACAAGGGGAAACCGTTGAACAGTTTCTTTTCTTTTTAAATATTGTGGCAAAATACACATAACTCAAAATTTACCATTTTAACAATGTTTAAGTGTGTAGTCCAGTGGCATTAAGTAAACTCACGTTGTTGTTCAGTCATCACCATCCATCTCCAGAACTTTTTTATCTTGTAAAACTGAAACTCCATACCCATTAAGCAGTAACTCCCACTTTCCTCTCGCCCAGCCCCTGGTAAACCCAGCTATACTTTCCATCTCTGTGAATTTAACTAGTGTAGGTGCCTTGTCTGAATGGAATCACACGGTATTTGTCCTTTTGTGTCTGGCTTCTTTCACTGAGCACAATGTCCTCAAAGCTCATCCATGTAGCATGTGTGAGAATTTCCTTTCTTCTAAGGCTGAATACTATTTCATTGCCTGTGTATACTACATTTTGTTTATCCAGTCATTCGTTTGGACACCTATCAAAAGATTTTAAGAGAGTAACATGGTCCGATTTACATTTTGGAAACATCAGCCTCGTTGCTTTGTGGAGGCTGATTTGGAAGAAGATGTGAGTGGCTGCAGGGAGCCCAGTTAGGAGGCTGCCAGATGAGTCCAGTATAAGAGGCTGGGTGGCGGTGAGGATGGTAGAAATGGAAGGTTTAAGAGCTATTAATACTTAGAAGGAGGAATGAAAAGTTTATTTGGGTGTAGGAAGTGGAGGAGAAAGAGGACTCAAGAGTCATTTCAGGTGGATGGGGCTGTTATTTACAAGGGCAAGCTGCAGACAATGAGTTGGGCTTTGGGTTTGTGGAGTTTGAGAAGTGCGTGGGCCATTCAGGCAGGGATATATGCTTCTAAGCTCGAGGCTCATTTGGGAAAGTACTGGCCTAGAGAGGCAATCAGTGCCAAAGGGGTGCGTGAAACTCCTCTCTGCAGAATGAAAAGCAGAAAAGGCCAAGGAGACATTCCTTAGTAACTCCAACATCTGAGGTCTAGTAGAGTTGGATTGGCCAACCAACAACAGTACAAGGGGTTGTTCTGAGAGCACCAAACCAGAGGAGTGTGGTGTCATGAGAGCCAAGGGAAGATAAGGGCTTTTAGGAAGAAAGTGTTTGGTGAGAGAGACTGAAAGAGCGCTCACTGGTTTCAGCAACACAGAGGTAACTGGTAGCATTGGTGAAGGCAATGGCATATTGAGAAGCTGCAGAAGCTGAGACATTCGATGGTTACCAGCTGTGTGTTCTTGGTGTAGTTGTTCAATTTCTCTGAGCCATTAATTCCTAATCTGCAAAATGATACACCCAATAACTCATAGCACCTGTGCATTTAGGGGTTGGAGGTAGATAGAATATGGCTTCCAGAGTCAAGGCAAGGTCTATCTGTACAAGGTGATCTTCTTGACTTTGTGGTTGACTCCCTGGACTCTCTGTTCTATGCAAGCCGGCAACAAAGGGGTTTTGCAGCGTTGGTCAATGTTGTCTTCAACATTTGCACTCAGGACTTTTAATGGATGGGGGATTAGGATGAGCAAGAACAACCAGGCTTTTCTGCTGCAGGAAACATCCCAGGTGCATTTACTCACTCTCTGGTGTTTTATTTCTGAGAAGCCAGCAGCAAGAGAGAGGATGCTGGGGTTGGGAGGCTTGGACTCTGGGCTCAATGCTGTGGGTGACTGGCCATGCAGCCTTGGCAAGCCACTGACTCCCACCTTTGAAATTCCTAACCTATGACATGGAGCCTTCTTCAGCTAGATAATTCTGGAATGTACTTCCTCATTTCAGGTGTGTCTGTATTGCAAATAAGTCCCTACCAAAAAAAGTTGTTGTATTTTGGACAAAAAGACACATCTCCAAGCCAGGTACTTGCATAGCTCTTGTCACAGTTAATTCCCAAAACAACTCTGTGATGTGGGTACTGCTAATCCCATTTAATACATGATGATTGCTTGGCTTCAGGGGCTAATGACTTGCTCATGTGGGAGAGAGTGTTTGTATCAGGTAGCAGGAAGTTATGTTTAGGCAGGGGATTATTAATTGAAACCGTAATTGATCACTTGCTCTTTTGCAAAAGGAATCTGTTGTGTCAGCCAATGCCTGGAAGAACCCAGACACTCATTCCTGTCCTGAGAGTAAATCTAAGATCCTCAGCTGACGCTTGGAGACCTCTGTTCTTTGGCTCCAATCACATTTTGCTGGTTTAGTGTCCACTTTTCTCTTGCACTTCCACTTACACCTATGCTTTGGTTTTACTGCTCCCTCCAAGTCCTACATCTTCTGCCTTGATAGCTTTGGGCAGGTGACTCCCTTGGCCTGGGACACCCTTTCTTGGTGACACAGTTTGGAATTCTGTCGTTGTGTCAAGGCCAGTGAACCTTTCCTGACCTCCCAATGCTGTAGCATTTTCCTCCTTTTGAATCTGCACTGTATTTTTTACTTTCCTCCTAGTGTCTCTGCCTTGAATCAGAGTTATTTGCCTCTTTATTGCCTTTATATTAGAACATGAAGGTGATTTAGTCTTTGAATTTCATACAAAGGAAACCCATGACAACAGTTGGCACGTAATGAAAGCTCAGTGGGTATTTGTTGATTTCAGATGCATGCATCCTTAACTGGTTTTGGCTCACTTATGCACTCATTGATTGAACAGCTAATTATTAGGGTCTCAGATAATGAATATGATGTTCCATCACCTTTAGCTTGGAGAAAACATCCCATGAAATGGCCACACATTTCTTCTGGGATGCCCCCCGTTAGCCGTCTCGGCTGGGGCTTCCTGTCCTGGCATGTTCGCACAGCATGTAAGAGGTCCTGTGGGACACACGCTCTCATATGATCACTGCCTCAGCCTGTGAGACTAGTATAGCAGATCCATCTTCCCCAAGGTCCCATTTTCTGGAGGTGGAAACTGATGTTCAACAGTGTGGACCGACTTGCCTTGTGTCTCCCAGCTACTGGGTCTGTAGATGCTGAGTCTTCTGGCTTCTGTTCCTGTGGTATTTCTGGGAGTCAAGGAAGGATAGGAAGAAAAGGTAAAGGAACAAGTAGGGAGGTGAGGAAAACACACCAGAGAACAGTGTGGAGAAGGAAGAATCCGACTCCTGGGGCTCATGGCCTGGCGTAAGAGCAGGTTGCTTCTGGGGCTGCCACCAGTTTACCCATGTGAAGGCAGACTTTGCTCCTAAGTCCTGGATCTCACTCACTGCAGGGTGGCTTCTGGGCAGCAGAGGCCAATGAGCTGGGCACAGAGACCAGGTCGGAGGCAAGTCTTGGCCCAGATCTTCACAAAATCCTGCCCTAACTCTACCTATGGACTTCAAAATTACAACTGCGTTTAAAAGTGTCCCAAACCAAGCAAGCTTTATTGTTTAACAGTATTGAGAGTAGGGTAATTCAGGATGTAATGGAACAGCTGTCTTATCAGGAAAAAGGGGGTGTACTCTCTCCCCCAATTTCTCCCTCCTACCTCTGTAAACCCTCATTTCCTCCTTACCGTCTACCAACCAGCATAGCTGCTTCCCAGCAAAGCCCGTGGAAGGCCAGGCTGGGTGCTGGATTCTGGGTCCCTACATGCTTAGTAAATCATCATGCACCTGCCATGTGAGCCCTGGCTTAGAGCCAGGCTTTCTCATCAAAGCAAACTGCTTGTGTTGTGTCCATAAGCGGCAAGCACTGCCAGACACTCACAGCCATCTGGAAGAGCAAGCTGGATGCTCCCAGCAAGGCCCAACCAGAATCTTCACGGGGTGCCTTCGTGGCCTTGGTTCCTCGTTTATTAAGTATGAGTGTGGCCCTCATGAGTTCTAAGGTTTTTACCTTCCTCCTTTGGAATCTACGATCCAGAATGGGATCAGCTCCCTCCAGGAGAGTTTCATGCAGCCTGGAAACCTTCCTCACCTCCTGGCTTGGGTTATGGGACTAGGCTGCACCCTACAGCATGGCAGACCTGCAGACTCAGGAGGCTAAAACCCCGGTTACCCACTGTGAGGAACTGGGTGGTGTTAGGGGAGTTACCTAATGCTCTGTGCCTCAGTTTCCCCATTTGTGAGGTGGTGAGAATAACCAGTATCTACTGCAAAATATTGTTGCAAGGATTAAATGTTGTTATGAAATCAGGATAGTGCCTGTCACCCAGCCAGCGATGGTGGGCCTTACTGTTTTTGCTGTTTTTGTAGGCACCTGGAGGCTCACACTCCTTGAAGGTGGGCACTTCATCTCAATCATCTTTGGATTCCTACTCCCTGTACTTGTGTGGGCCACCCTGGGCTCCCAGCAATGTCCCTGAGCTGGGGTCGACTGCCCTTCCACCTATTCTAGGCCTGCTGTGTACCCCTGGTTGAGTATTTATCCCATGCTCAGAGCACTGGAGCTGCTGTGAATCATAGGACTTGTTGGATACCACCCTGGGCTAGGATATCTGTCATTCTCATCATACAACAAACATGTTTATATATCAAATGCAAATACCAGGTGTAGATATTTTCATTTGTGTGATCGTGGAATTTGCTAACATTCATATATTAAACAGTGACTCCACTAGCCAGTGATGCAGTGAAATGAAGGCACTGGATGGAGCAGTTGCGCTGCTGCGTCTTGGAGGGATAGGATAGCAAGTGTGCTGCTGTGGTGAGACCTCCGTTTCCTCCTGGAGATGGCAGCTGAGCTAGGCCTTCACCTGGGATGCCAGGTGTTTTGGTGTCAGGGACTGAGGGAATGCTCTTGGTAGGGGTTGCTCAATGCTTTCAAATTTTCACAGGTTCCCAGGTTTGTCTCTAGACACACAACCAGCAGTTTGGTTTCTGTCATAGAGAGAAAGGACTTGTGAGCCAGTGGTACCCCTGGCTGTACTCTACAGCCATGACTCCAACCCTCCCCGAAACCATCTCCACTGCACCTTCCGGGTGGTCTGCTCAGGACACTGGAGAGATGACAGGCTTTGAACAAAGGCTCAGGTTTCAGGCTTGAAAACAGCCTTGCTGGAAAGCAGCAGCACCCTCACTGGGGCAAGAAACTCCATGGGCCCAATCTTTCCAGTTGTGGCATCACCATCACTCTTGACTTCTGTAAGCTTTTCTTAAGATCTGACCCTCACAAGCAGACAAATAAAAGCAAACATTTATTTCTTGTGCCATATACTTTTTTCTGGTAATATACATATATATATATGTATATGTATATATACACACATATATATGTATATATACACATATATAACATATATCATATATGTATATATGTACACATACACATACATACACACATATATGATATATATCACATATGTTACATATTATATTACATGTATGTATATATTATATATTATATATTATATATATTATATTATATATTATATATATTATATTATATATTATATATATTATATTATATATTATATATATTATATTATATATATTATATATATTATATTATGTATTATATGTATTATATATGTATATTTAGAATTGGCCAGCTTTTTAGATGATCTCAATTTTGTTGGCAACACCCAAAGCATTGTAATCAGGATCCAGTCAAACATATGCCTTCTTCTCTCCATCAGGCCGAATCAGGGAGTTGACCTTGGCCACATCCATGTCATAGAGCTTCTTCACAGCCTGTTTGATCTGGTGCTTGTTGGCTTTAACATCCACAATAAACAGAAGTGTGTTGTTGTCTTCTGTCTTCTTCACGGCCGACTCAGTGGTCAGCGGCAACTCGATGATAGCATAGTGGTCAAGCTTGTTCTCCAGGAGACGCTCTCCCGAGGATATTTTGGCGCTTGTTCTCCCGGTGGGGAGCTCTCTCGAGGATATCTGGGTGCTTGTTCTTCGGGGGGCGCTCTCTCGAGGATATTTGGGCTGCCTCCGGAGTCGCAGTGTTATCGGAAAGTGGGTGACGTGCGGATCTTCTTTTTTTTTTGTGGCTGTGGACGCCTTTCAACACTACCTTCTTGGCCTTCAAAGCCTTCACTTTGGCTTCCGCTTCAGGAGGGGCAGGAGCTTCCATCTTTGCTTTCGGCGCCATCTTGTGAAAAGGCTACGTTGTTTTTTTTTTTTAATTATGGAAAAATCTATATAACATAAAATTCACCATTATAACCATTTTTAAGTGTGCAGTTCTGTGGCACTAACTATATTTGTATTGTTATGCAACCACCACCACTATCCATCTCTAGATATTTTAAAATCTCTCCCAGTGGAAACTCTGTACCCATGAAACACCAACTCTCCATTTCCCTGGTAACCCCCATTCTACTTTCCATCTGTATGAATTCAGCTACTCTAGGTACCTCATATGAGTGGAATCATACAGTATTTGTCCTTTTGTGACTGGACTTATTTCACCTAGCGTAATGTTTTCAAGGTTCATTCATGGAGTAGCACGTGTCAGAATTTCCTTCCTTTCTAAGGCTGAATAATGTTCCATTGCCTGTGGACGACCCATTCTGTTCATCCATTCTGCAGTCCATGGACACTTGGGTTGCTTCCACCCTCTGGCCATTGCGAATAATGTTGCTGTAGACATGAATGTACAAATATCTGTTTGTATCTCTGCTTTCACTTGTTTTGGGTATGGATATGGTTTGGCTGTGTGTCCCCACCCAAATCTCATGTTGAATTGTAATCCCCTGTGTTGGGGCAGAAACCTGCTGGGAGGTGATTGGATCATGGGGGCGGATTTCCCCCATGCTGTTCTCATGATAGTGAGTGAGTTCTCACAATATCCGGTTGTTTAAAAATGCATGGCCTCTCCCTTCTTCTGCTCTCTCTTGCTCCTGCTCTGGCATGTGAGATGTGCCTGCTTCCCCTTGGCCTTCTGCCATGATTGTAAGTTTTCTGAGGCCTCCCCAGCCATGCTTCCCGTACAGCCTGTGGAACAGTGAGTCAATTAAACCTCTTTCTTTATAAATTACCCAGTCTCAGTCTCAGGTATTTCTTCATTGCAATGTGAGAATGGACTGGATCATATAGTAAATCTATGTTTAATTTTTAAGGAACCACCATGATGTTTTCCATAGCAGCTGCACCATTTTATATTCTCACCCATAGTGTGCAAGGGTTCTGATTTCTCTACATCCTCATCAATAAATGCTATAACATATAGTTTGCAGGCATCATATTTCATTCTTACAACAACCCAGCAAAGCAGACCGTAATGCCCAAATATAGACAGGCAGTTTGGAGATATTAGTGAAATACAAAACAACCTTTCCAGGGCCAGCTAGGAAAAGAGTGAAGTCAGGATCCAGACTTGGCTTTGGATTCCAAAGCCCATGCCCTTCCCAGCCTATCAGACTATATCTCTAATAGATGAATGCATTCTTAATTCACCTAAAATGTTAGTATAAATTATTACCTTTTAAACTGGGTACCTGCTCAATAGAGTATTTTGGGCACTGGGTTGTCAACAAATCATCTCTGCACCATGGTATGCCTTGGTTCCGGGAGAGCATATTCTAATGCATAATTAGTAGAAATAATGGAGTCTATCATAGATTTGCTCTGATCTGAGCTGGTTAGTAACAGGGCACACGGTGCACAGATTCCTTTCCTTTTCCTCATTTGGCAAACAGTCACGGAGCCTATCCTCTGTGCCGGGATGTGCATGGGGCTGGGATTTTAGGGATTCAAAGGTTTGGTTCCTGCCTACGAGCCACTGAAGCCACAGGTGGCAGGGACAGTAAACAAGGTCTGCCCACAGCCGGATGAGATAAAAGCTGGTGGAGGTTAAGTGAAAGCCATCCCTGCTCTACTTTTGAAGGTAGGAACCACAGCCAGGTTTCACAAATAAAACTGATGACAGAACCCATGTGTCTCATTGCGCTGGCTGCTGAGAAATTGCGCAAACCGTGGCAACAATGAGCTTTTGTTTTGTGAACCCAAAGTATTTGAGATGGGTCTCAATCAATTTAGAAAGTTTATTTTGCCAAGGTTAAAGACTTGCCCGTGACACGGCCTCAGGAGGTCCTGATGACATGTGCCCAAGGTGGTCAGGGGACGCCTTGCTTTTTATACATTTTAGGGAGATATGAGACAAATCAGTATGTGTAAGCTGTACATTGGTTGGGTCTGTAAAGTTGGGACAACTCAAGGCGGGGGCTTCCACGTCATAGGTAGATAGGAGCCCAAAGTTTGTGTTCTTTTGAGTTTTTGCTCAGCCTTTCAGTGAATATACAATATATATGTGAGAGTGGGATAGGGGAATAGTCACTTATGTCTTAGTCTGGCTCAGTGAATCTGCATTCTCCATCAACAAAAGGGCAGAGGAAGCAATCAGATGTGCATTTGCCTCAGGTGAGCAGAGGGATGACTTTCTGTCCCACACCTGGGAAGGTAAGCTATCAGTTTACACTGTCAGGGTAAAATTCAGCAGAACTGTTCTAGGGGAAAAATCTTGAGGCCCACAAGGAATTTCCTTGTGGGAAAATTGTGAGGGAGGTGTGTAGCTTTTTAAATCTTTGCAGCTATCTTATCTAGGAATAAAATGGGAGGCAGGTTTGCCTATCGCAGTTCCCTGCTTGAATTTTCCCCTTGGCTTAGTGATTTGGTGGTCCCGAGATTGATTTTCCTTTCACAGGTTAAATAAATATGCCGTGCAATATTCTTAAATAGATGAACAAGATTATTAGTTGTTGAAAATCAGAGTCTTGAAATTTTTTAATGCATTCTTTTTTGTTTGAGACCAAGTCTCACTCTGTTGCCCAGGCTGGAGTGCAGTGGCATGATCTTGGCTCACGGCAACTTCTGCCCTCTGGGGTCAAGCGATTCTGGTGCCTCAGCCTCCTGAGTAGCTGGGACTACAGGCATGCGCCCCCACAGCTGATTAATTTTTGCATTTGTAGTAGAGATGGGGTTTCACCATGTTGGCCAGGCTGGTCTCGAACTCCTGACCTCAAATGATCAGCCTACCTTGGCCTCCCAAAGTGCTGGGATTACAGGCGTGAGCCACTGCGCCTGGCCCTTTCTAGTGCATTTGAATCAGTCTAAATATCAATGGGTTCCTTATTAGTTTGCCCATTTATTCATGGATGTTGATTGACTGCTTGCTGTGCATCTGGGAGCCTCCTGTCTCCCAGCTGGCTGTGCCCTCAGCAGCAACACTCTTGTCCCTCCCACGTGTGGGCCTGAGTCAGGGTTCACTACTGTGGGGAACTCGTGCGGGATTTGGACAGTTTTGGTGAAGTGTAGGCCACCATTCTTGGAGATTGGTGGAGGTTTCTTAGCCTTCTCGGCAACAGGCCTCAGCCATGGGTGGGGAGGCTTCTGTGACCTTGGTCTGCAGCCTGGAGGACGACACTTCCCCTGCGCCCGCCCTCCCTGTTTCCTGGCTCCACTTGCAGGGGCTCTGTCCTGATGCCAATCACATGGAGTCACAGGACAAGCAAGGTTCCTTTCCTCCTAGAACTTCTGTTTTACTAGAATAGGTTAACCCAGTGGAAAAGACGGACAACAGACCCATAAACTCTGTGTGTGTGTGTGTGTGTGTGTGTGTAAAATATGGTGTCAGGCAGGGGAAAGTGTGTAAAAAATTAATCAGGATAAGTGGATGAAGAGGTTAGTTTAAGAGGAGGCAGTCTGAGAAGGCCTCTCTAGAGGGGGAGCCACCAATATTGTATACACGCACGCGCACAGACACACACAGCCACACATACACACACACACACGTAGACACACTCACACATACAGACGCACCCACACATACACACACAGACACACACACACAGACACATACGCACACAGACACACACACATACAGACACACACAGACACACATGCACAGACACACATGCAGACACACACACACAGGCACACACAGATACATAGGCACACACATGCACAGACACATACACACAGATACACACAGACACACAGAGACACACAGACACACACGCACAGACACACACACAGACACACAGAGACACACACATACAGACACACACATGCACATGCTGACCCACGGGTGCACATACACACACAGGCTGAGCCGGCTGGTATTTCCTCTCTTCCCCTGTTTTGCCCAGACACGCAGGCATCGCGGTGTCTGCTGGCCACATCCTCCACCCAAACGCAAAAGCTGGGAGAGGAGCCTAGAGGGTAGGTAACAATAAGGTCAAGGGCAGTTGCTGCCTCAGAGGACACATCCCAGATGAGGCACAGGCTGGGAAGGAGCCCAGGGGCAGCAGGGACCCAGGGGGAAGAGAAAGGACAGGGGGAAGAGAAAGGATGGGGGAAGAGAAAGGACAGGCTGGATGAAGCCCCCCCACGATTCTTTCTGACCCAGCATGCCCTCCATCCACCATCCCTCAGCCCCAGTCACCAGCGTAGGCGCTCCAAGGACTGGTGTGAACTGAGGGCATGAGTGCAGCCTGGGGCACAGAGATGACTGTTCTCACTGCAAGCCTATCAAGCCCTCCTGGCTTCCACTCTGTGCTGCCTGAAATGTCTATAAATGGTGTCTGTAAGTCTGTGGCGTGTAAAGGCTGCCTTCCTCCTCCCTGATGTGCACAAGGGCAGAGCTGTAAGGTGAATTCTAGCCCAGTGGCGTATGCGAGCTGGACAGGTAGAGTGCGAGTACTTGCCTCCCTGAGTCTCTGTCTCATCCTGGGAGGTAGGGTGACAGTGGCCTTATAGGACTGTTGCTGTGGAGGTCAAATGGGCTAAGGCCCAGTGCCTTCTGTGTGGCTAGGCTCATGGCTGTAGCATTGCAAGAATCCCAGGCTTTAGTGTCTGCGACTGTGAATTCCAGCATGGCTAATTATTAGACAAGTAACTGGGAGTATATAACCAAAGTGCCCGGGTCACATTTTCTGTAGCTGCAAAACAACACCTGTTTTGCATAAGACCAGATGGCAAAATGTGGGAAAATGCTGCACTGAATACAAGTTTGGGGTGACTGGCTCCACCGGGCCCAGGCGTGTGGCAGTTGTGATGGAATCCACTTCACGTCTTCCTCTGACAGGGTGTGTGTACTCAGCCCAGGAGCTGGGGAGACCTCATGTTCATATTAGTTTGGTGCAAAAGCAATTGCGGTTTCAGACTGTGAATTTTAAAAAATTATAACTAGGCTCAAATACATTTTTATTAGTCAAAATAGGAACCATTACAATCAACACATTTTTGCCAACAAGAAATAAGTTTGTTTATTCCTGTAGTGTAAAAATTTGTGTTTCAGGATTTGAGTAACTGTTGGAAAGCATTTTTCTGCATCCTGCTGGTTGCGGAAGTGTATTCCCTGCAAAAAGTTGTCCAGATGCTTGAAGATGTAGTTGGTTGGCAAGAGGTTCAGGTGAATATGGTGCATGAGGCAAAACGTCATAGCCCAATTCGTTCAAGTTTTGAAGCATGGATCGTGCAACTTGGGGTCGGGCATTGTCGAGGAGAGAATCGGGCCCTTTCTGTTGACCAGTGCCAGCTACAGGCATTGCTGTGTTCGATGCATCTCGCGGATTTGCTGAGCATACTTCTCAGATGTAATGGTTTCTCAGGGATTCAGAAAGCTATAATGGATCAGACCTGCGCAGACCAGACCACCAAACAGTGACTATGACCTATTTTTGGTGCGAGTTTGGCTTTGGGAAATGCTTTGGAGCTTCTTCTCAGTCCAGCCACTCAGTTGGTCTCCACCGCTTATCGTATAAAATCCACTTTTCGTCGCATGTCACAATCTGATCAAGAAATGGATTGTCGTTGTTGTGCAGAATAAGAGAAGATGACACTTCAAAATGATGATTTTGTTTTTTAAATTTGTGTTTGGCTCATGAGGCACCCACTTATTGAGCTTTTTCACCTTTCCAATTTGCTTCAGATGCCGAATGACCGTAGAATGGTCGACGTTGAGTTGTTTGGCAACTTCTTGGGTAGTTGTAAGAGGATCAGCCTCGATGATTGCTCTGAACTGGTCGTGGTCAATTTCCCGTGGCCGGCCACTACGCTTCTCATCTGAACCCCCACTGTACTGTGTGTTCATTAGCAGTTCCTGGACCAAATGCGTTGTTGATGTTGCAAGTTGTCTCTGCTGCTTTATGACCCATTTTGAACTCAAATACGAAAATTGCTCAAATTTGCTTTTTGTCTAACATCATTTCCATAGTCCAAAATAAATATAAAATAAATAGCAAGTAACAAGCTGTTAGCCAAAAAAAGTGAGAAATGTGCATTGAAATGTATAATATAACCACATTTATTTAGGAAGCTATTCCAATATCAATCAGCAAATTTCCACAATACAAAAACTGCAATTATGTTTGCACCAACTAATAGAAAGCTTTCTATGCAGATGCATGGAAAAGTGGGAGCTCCTAAACAGCAGGGACCAGGCCATATTTCTTATAGTTCTTGCACTCTGGCCACTTTTCGCATAGTAGCTGCTCAGTAAATAAGCACAGAATGAGTGTGGCTGTAGTTCCATGTTCAGCTTAACGGTACAACTAAAGTAATTCTTGACCCACAGCTGGGTTGAGCTATGCATGCCGCTGGAGCCCACTCACTGTGTGGTCCTGTTCGATTCCAGTCATCCACCCACCCATGAGCACAGAAGAGAGGGGTCCTGTAGAAGTCTAATACCCCTTCTTCTCAGGCCTCTGTTATCACAACATCACCAATTCCCTGCAAACCCTCCCAGAGCTTGCAAAATGCCAAATCCCAAAGGTGCCATGAAAGGATCCATGGCGCCCTGGATCCCTGGCAGAATCTTTTCCACGGCAGGATCTTTTAAGGGAGTGGTGGAGAGGGTGAACATTTGACTTCAGTTATCTTTTTCAGTGAAGAAGCCACTAAAAGTGATTCTACCATGGGAGGGACACCAGTGGAGGAGAGAAGTGGGGAGCACCAGGGGTCACTAGGATTCTGGGTGCTTTGACTGTATTTTCTCATTTAATTTCAGAACCCCAAATCTGAATAGCACCATGTCAAAATAACTAAAGAGATAAATTTCATGAGAGCTAGAAATAATATTGTCATGACGGTTATTATTTAAATATTTTTGGTACAATTTGGGATTTTTTTTCTAAATTCTCATGGCACACCTGAGAGGTCTCACAGAGCACCAGTGTTTCAAGGAATAGGAAGACATGACCAAGAGTGCAACTCGTGGATGGCTGAGTTCTTGCTTCTGCCTCTGGAACAATGTTTGGTCAGGTCAAAACAATTTCTTAAGGTGCTTACAAATCTTGACAGCAAAAACATCCATTTTTAAAAAAATTTTAAAAAAGAATGGAAATCTGAGAAGTAATCAAATTCAAAGAAAAAATGTTATTTTGACGCTCACAAACTGTTGGCAGTTTGGGAATACTATAACATGTACACACCCTTACTATTATTTTTGAAAAATGAGATAATTAAAAGTATTTTATATATGTTTGTTTTATGTTATAAACATAAAATATTTTTAAATTGCTTATAAACATACATAAAATACATATTAAATATAATGGTTGCAGTTAAACACAGGTTTCTGTGGCCACTATATCTATATTATATGGAAACTTCAACTTCATCTCTCCCTACCAAAAAGACTTCTGGGAACTTGAAATGTAGTTTAAAAACCACTTTGTTTTTCTTTTCTTTTTCTTTTTTTTGTTAGACGGAGTCTTGCTCTGTCACCAGACCAGAGTGCAGCGGCATAATCTCGGCTGACTGCAACCTCTGCCTCCCCAGTTCAAGTGATTCTCCTGCCTCAGCCTCCCAAGGAGCTGAGACTACAGGCGCCTGCCACCACTTGGGCTCTACTAATTTTTGTATTTTTAGTAGAGATGGGGTTTCACCATGTTGGCCAGGATGGTGTTGATCTCTTGACCTCATGAACCACCCGCCTCAGCCTCCTGAAGTGCTGGGATTACAGGCACACGCCACTATGCCCAGGTAATTTTTTTTGTATTTTTAGTAGAGATGGGGTTTCACCATGTTGGCCAGACTGGTCTCGAACTCCTGACCTCAGGTGATCTGCCCCCCCTTGTCCTCCCAAAGTGCTGGGATTATAAGCGTGAGCTACCGTGCCTGGCCTAAAAGCCACTTTCTTAGCCAACCTCTTTAACAAAACTAATTTGCAAGAAACAGAATCTGGAAACTTAGCGTTTGGTTATTATTCATTGTACCACTCAACCAAAGCTTTACAAATTTTGACTTTGGCATATGACTTCAAAATTTTTAGAAAGACACACTCTAGCTAGAATTCCCGACTGTCTCCTCTGTCTATCCTTCCATTTGAGTAAACATTTTATGCAGCTCTCTGTGGTGGACTCCAACTTTCAGAGACTCAGAAACACGGCTGCCTGTGCAATGCTGATATCATAGAGCAATAGAAGCAGCGCCATGAAAGAGGTCCTCTCCTCTACCTGATCATTTTGCAGAGGAGGCCCGGAGAGGGGGAGGGACGGCATTAATTCATTCCTTTATTCATTCATTTGGCATTTATTGAGCAAGTGTGCTGCAAGTATGCCATTAGGGTGTGGAATTACAACCATAAATAAAATACTGTTTCGACCATTTCAGAACATAGTTTAATTGAGGAAAAAGACACACCAACAACCAAAGCGTGATGAGTTATCATAGGAGCACCTTTCCTTCAGGAAACAGCTGTTGGTCGTTTGTTGTATGCCAGGTTCTGTGCTAGGCTCGGAGAATATAGGGGATAAGTCAGAGAGGTCCCTGGTCCTGATGGAATTTAAACACACATCAGGAAGTAGATTTGAACAAGATCATGAGAAATGTTGAGTGGCTGGTTGTGGCAGCTCATGCCTCTAATCCCAGCACTTTGGGAGGCCAAGGCAGGAGGATTGCTTGAGCCCAGGAGTTCGAGACCAGCCTGGGCAGCATAGCACGACCCTGTCTCAAAAAGAAAAGTTAACAAATAAATAAAAATGAAATAGCGTTGAGCAAAAATGTTGCAGGTGCTCACCACGTTCTCCACAGGCACACGTCGGGGAGAGAAGAGAGGGCATCAGAGGTCGTGGACTTACGAACAGCCGTGGTGGAGCCCGTTGGCTCCCTGGAACTCTCGGGACTGCGTGGTGTGGGTCAGCATAGGTGGCCTGCGAGGATCTTGGTAGGCAGTCCACAGAGAGAGGCCTTGTCCTCCGTAGTGATCACTATTTCAGGGATGGACTAGAGGTTAGGTCAAGGAACAACTAAATGTCATAGAGAGTGATGCTCCCTGCTCAGAGAAGTGGCTCTCTTAGAAAGGGGACATCTCGGTGGCAGGGACTGGCACACCCTGATCTCCCACCGAGCTGACTCAGGTGTGCAGGGCCAGCCCTCTCTAAGCTGCATAATGGGGAGGAAATGGGCTCCCAGGTGTCTGCATTTGCCTTTCCTTCAATACTGAAGGCCATGTGCATAGGGCTGTGTGATTATTTCAGCAGCACTTGGCTGGGTAAAGGTGGCAGAATAAATGGAACAGACAGGATGATCCAGACCTAGGTCCGCCTAGACGCATGCATGTGGCACAACGTGTGACGGAGCCACTTCACAGCTGCCTTTTTGATAAGCCGTTTACAGGACTTCAGGATGCTTCCTGAGGACAATGGGATGTCATCGAAGGTATTGAAAACGATGTGAAGAAATTGTTTTCATTTTTCTTTTTTTTTCTAGAGACAAGGTCTTGCTCTGTTGCCCATACTGGTATGCAGTGGCACAGTCATAGCTCACTGCAGTCTAGACCTCTCTAGTTCAAGCAATCCTCCTACCTCAGCCTCCTGAGCAGGTGGGACTCCAGGCATGTGCCACCACACCCAGCCATTTTTTTTTTTTTTTTTTTTTTTTGAGACAGAATCTTGCTGTGTCACCCAGGCTGCAGTGCAGTGGTGCAATCACAGCACACTCCAGTCTTGACCTCCCACCTCAGCCCCTAGAGTAGCTGGGACTATATCCAGCTGTTTGTTTATTTTTTTTGTTGAGATGAGGTCTCACTCTGTTGCGCAGGCTGGTCTTGAACTCTTGAACTCAAGTGATCCTCCCACCTTAGCCTCCCAAAGTGCTGGGATTATAGGCATGAGACACTGCACCTGGTCTAATTCCTTTTCATTTTAAAAAGATGTGGAGGAAGTAGATTGGAACGAGGGCAAGGAAGATCCAATGAGACAAGCTGAGTGGCTGTTGTAATGATCTAGGTTGCTGGAGATTTTTAAAAATGTATTTTGTTCACTGTTTTATTCCCAGAACCTAGAAGAGTGCTTGTTTCCAAATAGACACCCAGTAATAGTTAATCAACAAAATTCAGTTGCTGGTTTGAGGGTCAGTGGAACGTGGGTCCCTTTTACTGACACGTGGAATTGCTGATCAAATCTCCTCTTAGCATTATTATTTCCAGTGACTCTGGAGAGGGAGGGCCCTTTTCCAGGCTTTAGGGCCAACTGACAGAGAAAAATGAAAACCCAGGTACCACAAGGCTGAAAGGTGAAGACGGAGTCATCTCAAATTCTTCCCAACCAGCTCATCAAGATCTACTGGTTGATATAAATGTGTTACCTGGAAGGATGACTTCATGTGTTTGTTTTCTGTTTTGAAGAAAGGAAGTGTATTTGGCAAGGGAACTTCTTCCTTTGTTCAGCTCTGGGAATCCTTAAAGTCAACAGATTTCCAGCAGGTTATACTCAAACAAGGTTGTGTCTCATGGCAAACAAGGCCTTAGAAACAGACAGGCCCAGTTTTGAACACCAGCTCAACCATTCTCAAGACATGCGATCATGGGCAATTAACCTATTTAATATCCATGACTCAGCTTTTTCCATCTATAAAATGAAATAATCCTGGTGCCTATATCATAGAATTGTTCTGAAAAATAAATGAGATAATATGTGTAGTGCATTAATTAAAACATGGAAGCAATAAGCACTTGCTGGATGTCAGGGGTCATTACTTCCACTACAGTTAAAGTGGAAAATGGAAAGAGGCCTGCTGGAGCCAGATGTCCCCTGGCGGACGCTCTGGTCTGGGGACAGGCGACACACCTGAGTGGCCTATTGCCTTGTGCTGATGGCTTAGCCTGGTATGTCTGCTGATCACGAGCCAGGAGGAGTGGGAACTGAGCCATAGCCACGTTGGAGGAAAATCCAGGAGCAAACTCCATGAGAGAGTCATGAAATCTGGCAGTGGAAGGGCTGCCGCCTGGAAGCTAGTGCTTGGTATATCTGCATGAGAAATTAAGGGATCAGGATGGGAATGTCTTTACGTTAAGCCTTTTCTGCTTGAGGTGACTGCATATGACAGGGGACCCAGAGTGACAGCATAAGCTGTGGTCTCCCTGCAGACTTACATGTGTCGTGGAGTCTGCGTAGGTGGCAGAGAGCTTGAGTTGCTCCGCGGCCAAAGAACCCATGCTCAGTTAAGAGAATGTGAAGACCACACGCTTGGGCCAACCATGCTGGGCCGGTGTTGGATTTGCAGGCAGGTTCTGAACACAGAGTGTCAGCCGCTACTTAGATTGTTCTTTTTCACATGGGGTCGCCAGTCTGAATGCCTCCCTGATGGGATCCGTGCTAAAACCCTAGGCAGGGGAAGTGTAAGTTCCCAAATGAAAAGGGTGAGTCACTGAAGTAGGGTCAGAGGGAGGAGGCAGCTCCTGGGGTAAAACCTGCATCAGAGGTAAAAGGGAAGAGCCTCTTAGCAGGGAGCCGGCTGGCCTTGCTGCCTGGGCAGATGCATCTTTTACTTTCTTATATGTTTATCAGTCCAGGAAAATGTAAGCCCAGCGCATTCAGGGGGCTTAACGCCTTTGTTTTCCTGCTGTGTCCCCAGCTTGGAGAAACAGGCCTAGCACAGCAGAGATGCTCAAGACATATTTGTTGAAGAAATGAATGAATGAATGAATGGATGCAGATTCACTTACGCAGCAATCCCCTGTCAGGTGAGAAGGTAGAGAGTGCTGCTCTAATCACTTCTCTCTTTACCTCTCTGCCTTACCAAATTCCTCCTATCTTATGAGGTTTAGTAAAAATATCACCATTACCAGCTGTTTTATTTTCCCCTAAAATGGCTTTTTATCTGTTGTTGACATGTACCTCGGCCCTGGATGGTTTATGGTTTTGCCTTATTTTGCCTTTGTTCGGTTTGGTATGAATTTGATATGAGATTGTAAGTTTTTTGAGGGAGAGGCCATGCCTTAGAATCACAGACCTCTCCAGTCACAGCGTCCCGAGGAAAGGAACTGAGGCTCAGAGAAGCAAAGCCACACAAACACTACACAGCCCTTTGTGTGTTAAAGTGGCTCCACCATTTCTTTCTGGGGAGACTTGTGACCTTGTCCATAAATGCATTCTTAGCACTCCTCCAAATGGTAGTGTGCTGGCCTTCTGTGGAGGGATGTGGCCTCCTAAGATGCCTCAACTTTCTCCAGAGGATGACAGCCTTTCACAAAAGCACGTCATTTCCAGTTGAACTGTGGTAAAAAGAAACCAGGCGGCATTTCAATGAGAACATAGAGCGTCTGTATCCCAGGCATCTGCTGGGATGTTCCTGTCAATGCCCTCCCCACAGCACTTACCACAGTTGCAGCAGGAGACACGTTCTGTGTAGAGGATGCTTCGTTCTTTTGGTGCTTTAAAAATTACGCCTGGGTTCAGAGCCCAGGGTGCCCACCTTTACACGATGGAACCACCAGGAGAGATTAACTGAGGGTCTGACACCTTCTTAGGTCTGATTAGAGACATTTACCGTCTAATCTCCCTGAAGCCTCCCTGGAGGCTTCATCTGTACAATTAGAACCTTGGTCTCTACAACGCATTATCTTAATCCAGACACTCTTTTCTTTGATTCCAGGTCTTTAGATAATAACTCTTTCAACCAATTGCCAATCAGAAAATCTTTCAATCAGCCTGTGACCTGGAAGCCCCCAGTTCGAGCTGTCCCCCCTTTCTGGTCCAAACCAATATACATCTTACATGTATTGATGAATGTCTGCCTGTAACTTCTGTTCCCTTAAAATGTATAAGATAAAGATGTAACCCAACCACTTCTGGCACATGTTCTAAGGATCTCCTGGGGCTGTGTCGGGGGCCTTGGCCACTCATATCTGGCTCAGAATAAACCTCTTTAAATATTTTTTTAAAATCCCCCGATTAAGCCAGATTGACAGGGGAACCTACAGGGAGACATTAAGACATTCGTTTTTTGTTTTGTTTTGCTTTGTTTTGTTTTGTTTTGTTTTGTTGAGACAGGGTCTTGCTGTGTCAGCCAGGCTGGACTGCAGTGGCACGATCATGGCTCACTGTAACCTCAATCTCCTGGGCTCAAGCCATTCTTCTACCTCAGCCTCCTGAGTAGTGAGAGTACAGGTGTGTGTTACCACACTTAGCTAATTTTTGTTTTTTTTTTTTTTTTTGGAGAGACAGGTTTCACCATGCTGCCTGGGCTGGTCTTGAGCTCCTGAGCTCAAGCAATCTGCCCGCCTTGGCCTCCCAAAGTGCTGGGATTACAGGCATGAGCCACCACATGTGCTGACAACATGAGTTTTCTTCTTTGATATATGTATATGTTTTTAATGAACTGAACTGTGAGTCTACATTGAGTGACATGATGACAACCAGCCTTCGAAACTCGCTGTGTGGACATTGGTGAGGACATCGTACCCAGCATTACACATTGAACAAGTGGGCTTAGAGAAAATGAAGGAAGTTTCCATTCAGGAAGGAGCTAAACCAAACCCCAGTTGTAGGGGACACTATTGTTCTAACTGAATAGTTAATTTCTTTGGAGCAGGCCAACATGAAAGTTATAGGAATGAAATGTCCATGTGAGGTTCTCAGCAAAACATAAGTAGGAAAAGCAACTATTTTCTTTTGGCGTCATGTGCCAACCTGCCCTGTGAATGCTTGGAGGGAGGACAGACTTTTGCTCTGGAGCATTTTCTATCCTCGTGTGTAGCCGACATCCTTAATCAATCCCAGCATGACTGATTTCCTGATTTCTCCACAGCCAAGGTGAATGGGATAAAATGACTTGGACCACGTTTGCATGCGATGGAAGCCTGGCCACCAGCCTTCCTTTAGGAGTAGCAACCTAGCTTGTCCTAGGGTGCAATAATCTCAAGACCTGGGGTCTAGACAGGAAGAATTCCTCCAAGGAATCAAATGGGCCTCAAGTTAATGATTTGGGCTTTGCCTCAACCAGAGGCTGGACTACAGAGCAGATCTGGTTTTTCAAACCATCTCTTATGTTCATAGGATTCGATTTCAAAGAATTGAGATAGTATCTCAATTCTTCCTTGTAACAACACCCAGAGATAAGAACTACCTTAAATTTTACAGATAAAGATAATGAGACTGAGAAAGTTTTAAGTGACTTTTTCTACACTAAGTAGCTGAGTGTGGATCTGCGCATGGGCCACTGAACATCAGCCACTGAATGTGGGTCACTTGCCCAAGCCTACTGGCCCTGAGGCAAAGGCCAGAGAAAGGAAGCCTTGGAAGAGATAGTGTAATAGGAGCCGTGGAGTGGGGATCTGCACACTGGGCCATGCTGCTTGCAGATGTGAGCTTGTTGTGATTTCCCTACTCTTGGGATGCCGCCTTCCTTTCCCCAGGATGTTCTGTACGCGTGCATCCTCCTTCCCTGCTCACTGTGGTGCCCCGCAGTCGGTCACCCCACTTCTGTCCTTTCTCCTCTTTAACCCTTTCGCCACTCAGCAACCAAAGTGATTTTTCTTTAAAAAATTATTTTAGTTTGGATTCAGAGGGTACACGTGCATGTTTGTTACATGGGAATATTGTGTGCTGGTGGGGATTGGGCTTCTACTGTTCCCATTATCCAAAAGGTGCACATTGTACCTGATAGATACATTTTCAACCCTCACTCCCTCGCTTCCCAGTCTCCCCTGCTCTTCAGAGCCCCCAGTGTCTTCTATTTCTATCAAGGTGAGTTTTCTGAGATGTAAATCAGAGATTACGCCATTTCCTTGCTCATTACTCCCTCGTGACATTTCGTGGTACACAGACAAGGAGCACGTCCTCTCCCTTGCACTCACCTTCTCCTCTGCAGGTGGTTGTTGCCCGCAGCTCCCTGCGCCCGGCTCCTCCTTGCCACTCAGACCTCATCAACACCTTTCCTGATCATCTGGGATGAACGCATCGCCCCCATGCTACTTTACTTTCTGGAGCTCTCATCCTCCTCCCTCTTTGTTTCCTTGGCCAGCTTTGTTTTTCTTGGCAGCATGGGTGGCTACCTAACATTGGATGCTGTGTTTAATTGCTTATAGTAGACACTTGTTTAATTGTTCACTCTTCACCCATAAAGGCAGAGACTCCTTTGTCGGTTGGTTGCTGCTCTCTCTCACCAAAATGTAAGCTCCCTGAGGGCAGGGGCCCTGACTTTCTTGGCCATTCCTGAATTCCACATGGCTAAGGCAATTGCTGATACATGATAGACCTCAAAAAAATGTTTGTTTTTTTTCAATCAATGAGAAAAAAAGGCAGCGTTTTGAATTGCAATGGAGAGAATAGGGAAATAAAAGCTTCAACCCAGACCTCATCCCTGGACAGAGAAAATCCCATGTACTGCATATATGGACACCAAGATGGGAACACATACCCCACCCTTCAGTGCATTAGTCCCTCATTCTGTTTCCAAACCTCACCCCTCCCTCGGCCCCACATCCCTCAGAATGTAGCTCAGTGTCACTTCTACGGCCCACCCTGATCAACTTGTTCATATCCCTTTAAGCACCTACCTGGCAATTTGGTAACTGTAGATTTCTCTGTCACCCCAACCCTGGAAGGCAGGGGTGGGCTTCTCCATCCCAGGGTCCCTTGCATCGTCCCTGCACATCACAGGGGCTTGGGGAACACCTGATAAATGATGAGGAGAGTGGATGAGTGACTAGCAAAGCCTGGAGTCAACTTTTGATGCCCTGAAGTCAATAAAATGACACAGGATGAAAAGGTCAAAAAGTTTCTTCAACGGCTCCTGCAGGAAGCATTTGAGGAGAGGAAATGATATTACTCAAACAGCATTGACTGTATTTTCTACTGTATTTTCTATATTCTTGATGCTGTGGTGTTTGGTGCCTTGATCCTGTAGGGACTGCCCATCAGGATCAGTGAGGAAAAAAAGACAGTGTTTTGAATTGCAGTTGAGAGAATAGGGAAATACAGGCTTCAACTCAGGCCCTGCCCCTGAACAGAGAACATTCCCATCTACATAGAGGGACACCAAGATGAGGACACATGTCCTGTCCTTCAGTGTATCGTCCCCCTCATTCTGCTAGAGCTAGCAAGCAGCTCCCTGTGAGCACACTCACCGAACCAGAGCCCATACCCTAACTACCTTCTCTATCAAACTTGCGCATACCAAGTAATATTTCCCCGGCCTGCCCTAAGTCACCCTAGAGCCATGTACCAAAAAATCAGGGGTCACCCCTACAGCTCAGAGCCTGTCAAAATTATCCCAAGTATCCAATTCTAAGCGTGGGGACCTAGGAGACCTGCCCTGCTTCATCCATTCCTTGCTGTGAGAACCCAAGGAAGGCTCTGGGCCATGCTCTCCCCTCTTCCTGCTGCTGCCTCCTGACGCATCGTGGTGATTCCCTCATGGCCTGGTGTGGCGGCCACACCCCCTGCTTCTGGGAATCTGTGAGCTTCAGCTTCTTCCTTCATAATATCACTTCATGCGTGTGTGAGTTTACCATGACTAATTAAAACAAACTCAAGCATTTTTAGAACACAGATCCTGTTCCGATGCTTTTTTGCATCCCCCAAAAAATAAATCCAATGAGGTCATGCATTCGATATACCTAAGAGACAGTGATCAACTTGCTAGACATCTTTCTATGCAAATAAAGCATAAAAATGATGTACAAATCTTTACTTAGCCAAAAAAATGTTTCTGGTGGATTTTATGCAAGAAGATGGAAAAAGAAAATGATGATCATGGTTCAAAATGTTCTAGTTTCTTAGGGTTCAAAGTACAGGGAAAAAAAGAAAGAGAAAAAAAGTATTTAAAACAGAAAGAAAAAAATTTAAAAAAAGAAACAAAAAGAAAATAACAAAATGTTCTTGCTAGCTTCTTGGGGTTCAAAGTAGAAGACAAAAAGAGAGAGAAAAACATAGTTAAAACAAAAAGAAAAAAATTAAAAAAAGAAACAAAAAGAAAATAACAAAATTTTCTTGCTACAAAAGGAAAAAAGACAGTCAAGGGGCCTGACAATATCCAGGGAAGAGAGAGACACAATCTGCTCCTACTCTGCAGTCCTGTGTGTGTTTGTCCATGTGAGTCCTCATAGCAGACCAGTCAGAGAAAAAAGTCATCTTGGCATCACTTTCTAGAGTTAATCATTTCATTTTTCTTAAGTTAATTAAACTATTTTTTTCTTAATGGGAGAGCGTCATAGTTTTCCCCTTTCATTCTTTGAGAGGTAACCATGTCCTCCCTGAAGTGGCAGAAACCTCTGTTGACTGCTCCTATCTGAAAGGAAATACAGTCCCTCTCCCCTTCAGGAGAATTTATGCTTTTTCCACTAAAGATGCGGATATTACTTACATTCCTACAGTGCTTTAAAATTTTGATGATCTTTCAAGTCCATTTTGTCATCTAATTCCTCCAATAAGCAGTGATATAGGCAGAGTAGAGAATGTTTTTACCCATTTTACAGATGGAGCTCGAAGATGAGGTAAAAGACTGAGGCTTGGAGATAAGGCCACTTTTTCCCCGTTAACTTGACCAAGATCAGCTGCCTAGAAAGTGGTAGAGAGGAGACAAGAAACACAAGGCAGCAGGGTTCAGCCCCTCATCAGTAGCTAGTTTCAACATGTAATAGTTTCATTTTGGCTGGGCGCGGTGGCTCACGCCTGTAATTCGGCACTTTGGGAGGCTGAGGCGGGCAGATTGCTTGAGGTCAGGAGTTCGAGACCAAACTGGCCAACATGGTGAAACCTCGTCTCTACTAAAATTACAAAAAATTATCCGGGCATGGTGGCACATGCCTGTAGTCCTAGCTACTCAGAAGGCTGGAGCAGGAGAATTGCTTGAACCTGGGAGGCGGAGGTTGCAGTGAGCTGAGGTCGTGCCATTGTTCTCCAGCCTGGGCAAGACAGCGAGACTCCCTCTCAAAAAAAATAATTTTATTTGAATTATCTTTCTGTGAAAGAAATAGGTTCTGGCTCCCGCACTTCCTGTGCACTGATCTTATTTGATGGAACAAAATTTGAATGTGCTACCTATATCATAGGCTGTTCAGGGATACCAAGAAAGATAGATAAATAGACAGATAGATTACGAATATAGATAGATAGACATAGAGCTAGAGATAGAGATATCTTCCACCTATCTGCTCACTATGCCAGGGTATCCTTGAAGCATTTGTTAACTCGACACAGCCACAGCATAGAAGAAACTTGGGTCTTGAATGACTGCATGGAGCAGAGTCTGCTCTTGCATAGGAGCCCCAATACCCTGTATTCTGGACCCTGCTGCATCCACTCGGGCTGAAGAATTCAAGAAAAAGCCACCTATCTGTTATAGCCCTTCCCTCCAGAGAGATCAGTGTATTAGTAATCGCCTTATTTATTTTGACTTTGATAGTATTTTTTGTTATAAAACAACTCTTGATGTTATTAATGTGAGATAGTCCGAAGATTGTTTCTTCTCACTGTATAATGAAAGCAACTAGGGCAGAAATAACAAAAATCAAAAAGTGCATTAAAAACAGATGGCTGCAGGTGTCCTATTATCTTTCATTTGTGTTAATTAAATTTAGTGTTGGCAGATAATATAAAGAGATACTCAGTTCAATCTGACTTTTGGAGAAATTACAATTTTTATTAGTACAGTTATTTCCAAATATTGCAAATATGAGAACAAATAACCCCCAACTCATAGTGATTCAATGCAATAGAGGTTTATTTATGACTCATGGAATAGGCTGCAGGATGGGGGGCATTGGGGCACTCATGTGGGGGCAGCCTTTGCTCCTTGCAGTCATTCAAGACCCAGGTTTCTTGTAAGCTGTGGCTCTTTTAAGTTCAATAAATGCTTTGAGAATACCCTGGCATAGTGAGCAAACAGGAGGAGGATATCTGTATCTCTATCTCTGTCTCTATCAGACCTGTATCTAAAATCTCTGTCTCTCTCTCTCTCTCACTCTCTCTATCTTTGTATCACTGAACAGCCTATGACATAGGTAGTACATTGAAATTTTGTTTCGTCGAATAAGATTGATGCACAGGAAATCCAGGAACCAGAATCTATTACTTTTATTGAAACATAATTGAAATGAAACCACTACTTGTTGAAACTGGCTGCTGATGAGGGGTTAAAGATGAAATCTAAAAATACAGTGTCATTTTATTTTGTATAAAAGTTAAAGAATATTCTGAGTTTGCTGTAGGTTTTTACTTCTTCTTTTATTTCTGCAGATAACTCTGAGATTATTTTGTTTCGATGTGTTGTTGAAACAAAGCATAGAAATTATTCAGATACATAGTATTTCCTGCCAGTAGCTTTGTCATCAATCTGACTGAGACACATCACCAAGGAAAAGCAAACTTTAAATATGAAATAGGCAGTCTTCATTCAAAATATTTATAGGCATTTAATATGGATAACCACTGTTTCACGTATAACTTTTGCTTAATTATAATTGAGAAAGAACAGTAAGTTACGAAGAGGACGGTGATTCTCTCTGTTTCATGCCTCCCAGCACACTAGCATTAAACAACAGGCACAGAGATTTTTTTTTCTCTGTACCATGTTTTGTTCTGGTTATATTTATTGGCATGTAATTTTGTGTTTATGGAAACAAATAATAAAAATAGAACTAATTATATATATGCCTTAAAAAATGTACAGCTTGGCACAAGAAAAAATGGAAAGAAAGAGAAAAGGGTCTTTCACTAGAGAATATTTGGGAGGGAAGATGGAGTGGGTGCTGCCAGGTGGATGTGTGGCGGAACCTTTTTGCCAGCTTGTTTCCCTTGGGCCTTGGGCCACTTTGTTTTCTCTGAAAGTGCTTTCTCTTTAGCAGGGACTTTGGTAGCATGAGCGGAACCCCTAGGTGTTCATGGAAACCTGGCTGTCCAGGGGCTTGGGGACACCATGGGACACGCTGCCACCCTCTAGTGGTAGAATAGAGACGCACTTCACCACCAGGGGGTCTCCTCTCTGTCGTTGTTTTCCAGCCTCAAAAAGTCACATCCTAGCCCTGCGCTCATGGTGGCTCAGGCCTGTAATCTCAGCACTTTGGGAGGCCGAGGCGGTTGGATCACTTGAGGTCAGGAGTTTGAGACCAGCCTGAACAATGTGGTGAAACCCCATCTCTATTAAAAACAGAAAAACTAGCCAGGCGTGGTGGCAGGCACCTGTAATCCCAGCTACTCCAGAGGCTGAGGCAGGAGAATTGCTTGAACCTGGGAGACGGAGATTGCAGTGAACTGAGATCACGCCACTGTACTGCAGCCTTGGCAATGGAGTGAGATGCTGTCTCAAAAAACAAACAAACAAACAACAACAACAAAACCTCACATCTTTTTTGGATAACATGAAAACCCTATACTTAAACCCCCTTCCCTGACCCAGAGATTCTTAGCGGTGTCTGTTTGAGAATCACTGAATTTGTTGCACAATTTTGACAGCTGAGATTTGGTGTAATCATTGTTGAGGCTTGTAATACAAAAAGCAAAATTTCTTTTTGTCTCTTTCACTTGTCAAATACAGATAATACTGTAACCCTGAATATGCGTACGTCTATTCAATAGTTACCCTCACCCTAGTGTTCCCTCAGAGGGGCACACAGAATCCTGGTTGCTAAGCATTGCTTTGGTGCATGCTGAAGATCCCAGTAACTTCAAGCTCTCTTTATTTTGAATTGTATGTCTACTAAGGGGAGTGACCTGGGTTCCAGTGAAATGGTTTCCACTGCACCTGCTCCTTTCACTTCCTCCCCTGCTCTGTCCTCCCCTTGCTCACCTCTCTTTCAATTTCTCCTTAGCCTGCCTTGCCTTTAGCAGGAGAAGAATGGTGAGAATAGAGAGAATCTAGTCCTGAGCATGGTCGACCTGGGTTCTGGGCAAGTTACCTGTGCCATGCCCTTATTCTACCCGTTGGCCTGTGCAGGGAGGTGAGCACTGAGGAAAGACAGGTGTGTTCACTCTGCCCAGGTGAGCTCCGGGATGGGACTCCCTAGGAGGGATCGTGGGGAGGGACGTCCAGGCTACCATTCAGGGCTGGCCATCTGGGCTTCAGGGACATCCTGACGTCTTTGCCTTGTCCTGTGGTCTCCACAGAGACAGTGTTGGGGCTCCCCTGAGTTGCTGTAATTCCACAAGTGGGGAGCTCCCCTCACATCTCTCTGCTTCCTCGGCCAACCCTCCTCTCCAGCTGCCAGGGCCCTGTCTACCTGACACTTGGACCTTGCTGCATATTTCTCAGCTTCCGTCCACCTCTCCCATCTGGCTGTCTTTGTGTGTGTGTGTGTGTGGCTTTGTCAGTTACGGCGGGGTTTCTGGGCCACGTGGTCCGTGCTGTTTGAGCCATCCTGAGCTAGAGGCTGTACCATGTCTCTAGGGGAAGGGGTGGGTATGAGGCCTGGAGAACTTTCAGGGCTGTCTTGCGTGGAGGACTGTCTACAAGGTTTAGGAGCCGGGATAAAGGTAGTCCCTGCAAAGCCCGGACAGCCACAGCCCACCTCGGGGGCCATCGAGCGCTACCTGGGAGGTCTCCTCCCCATCATTTGCTCAGGCTACGTGTTAGTCAGGTTCTCCAGAGAAGCAGAACCAATTCCTTCACTGTGTGGTGTGGTGAGCCACAGGCCAGCAGGCTGGAGACCCGGGGAGGAGCTGCAGGCCAGTCCCGAGGCCACCTGCTGCCAGAACTCCCTCTTGCTCTGGGGAGGTCAGTCTTTGTTCCATTCATGTCCCCTCCTCATTATGGAAGACCATCTGCTTTACCAATTTAAATATTTATCTCATAGTCCACCAACTTAAATATTTATCTCATCTGAAAACAACCTTACATAAACATCCAGAGTACTGTTTGTCCAACTGTCCAGGAACCATGGCCCAGGCATAACATCAACCATCAAAAGGCATTTCTCGGGTTTGCGTGTTCTCTGGCGTCTGACCCCCAAAGCCACATTCTCCTTGTCCTCAAGGATGGGTTTCTGGCCCTTGGCAGCTTTGAGACAGATTTGAGGTATTTGAGGTTCCTTGGAAGCACCAGTCATGCCCTGGTACTCTGTGTCCCGGGGGCCCCGATGCTGAGCATGGACATCAGGCTGGTTCACAGTCGGTGACTGCAGCACCCTCACCAGCCTCGCATAAAGCAGGAATGTTTAGCCCTGTCTTAAGGGTTTGCTTGGGGAAGGAAATGATGGTGAGCAAGGTAGGACTTTTCACATGGGGAGTCATTGTGCTTACATTGTGGATTACGATGATCCCATCCGTTTTCAGAGAGTGTTTTCTCTATTTGCTTATTGCCAGGGTCTGGTCCTGGGGAAAGAAGCAATTGGGGGCTCTGGTGAGAAGGCACAGGGGCTCCCCCAGAAGCAAGGACAGAGAGAGCACGGCTGTGCTTGCTCAGGTGTGCTCAGCAGGCTGCGACGTCTGCAGCCTGGGGCTCCTGCGCCTGTCTCTTTGATGTGAGCTCTACCTCTCCTTCACCATCCAGGCTGTCCTGGGGCAAACTCCAGGTGGTCACTTTTAGCTGTGTCTCTGGGCAGACAAGTCTAGACAAGACACCACTTTCTTCTCCACTCCTGTTTCCTGAGTGTACCTAGGGAACTACACCAGGTCCTCCCCCAGGCACCTGCTCCATTAGTGACTGGTGGCCATCTTCACACTCCCGGTGAGCAAGGAAGTGGCACCAGCTGGGATCCTTCTTCTCAAGCCACACCCAGCTGAGAAGGCTGAAGTAGGCACCGCAGCCTGTCCTGTGGACTTGAACTGCTCCGCTGCTGCAGGCGTGTCCTGCCAGGTGGAACAAAAGGAAGAACACACTTCACATGCACAGTGCACACTAGAATGCTATTTAATTCTGAGGGGAATTGGGTGACCCTTGACTCCCTCCTCCCTCTGACTTGTTAATTTTCATTTTCTAGATCTCATGGACTTTTTCATAAAGCTTACGTTTTATATTTTACAATTTGTATTGAAGCATAATGTGCAGAGTGAAAAGCACCAATCTTGGGAGTTCAGCCAGGTATGTTTTGGCGAATGTGTTCACCTGTATGACGCCGGTCCCCATTGTGACATGGAGCATTCCCATCCAGCCCCAGACTACACCTTCCCCTTCCCTGCCTCCTCTCATGATCTGCTGCACTGCATTCCCTACACAGCAGACAGAGCAGGAGTCATGCCTTTCTTCTAAGGAACATCCTCCAGTGACTTCATTGCACTGAGAAGCCCCTCCTGGCCCTTGCAGGCCGCTGTGCTCTGGGCCCTACTACAGCTCTGACTGGTCCTGCAGCCCCCAATCCCTGGCCTTCTTCTTGGCTCCGAGCACAAACCCCGTCTTAGCACCTCAGGGCCTTTGCCTTTGCTCCCCTGCCTCCATTTCTGGAATTCTGCCCCTGAGATCTGCACGAATTGAGCCCTTTCATCATCTGGGTCTCAGGTCAGGAACGCTAACCAAGACTCTGCCCTTGACCAAACTTTAGTCAGGCTCCTCTGAGCCATCTTTTCAAGTAGGTCCTGTCTGTCTTTGGTCTGTCCAGCCCCATCTTAGCAAAGAATCCTGCTAGGTCACCCCTCGACTTTCTAGGCCATCCCCCCACTTGCTAGGCCACCCCCTCACTTGCTAGGCCACCCCCCCACTTGCTAGGTCACGTCTCCCCTTGCCAGTTCACCCCCCACTTACTGGGTCACCCCCATTTGCTAGGTCACCCCCTCACTCACTAGGTCACCCCCACTTGCTAGGTCACCCCCCCACTTACTAGGTCACCCCCACTTACTAGGTCACCCTCCACTTGCTAGGTCACCCCGTCACTTGCTAGGCCACCCCCCTTACTAGGTCAAGTCACCCCCCCCGCTTGCTAGGTCACCCCCCATTTGCTAGGTCACCCCCTCACTCACTAGGTCACCCCCACTTGCTAGGTCACCCCCCCACCCTTCCTATCTGACTGTGTTATTTATTCCCCACCTTTGATGTCTAAGTCTCTGACCACCGTTATGAAGAATCCTGTTAGGTCCCATAGTCAAGTTTTGAGACAGCTGCCACAAGGTTATGGAGGAGGAAATGAAGCCTCCATTTTCGTGCTGGGTTTGTCAAGTCCATTCAGGTAGAAAGTGGCAAAGTCAGGCTTGGAAATGGGTTTTGTGACTCCATGTTTCTCCTCGTTCAGACCTGCCTTGGAGAACCTTTCCCTCCACGTCTTCTGTCTGTGTTTTAGAGAACTGGAAAATAGGCCACTTTAACATGGTCTCTCCTACAAAGAGGTAAGAAGACCCAGCAGAAGGGCAGAAGAACTGGGAGTCTGGCCAGACCTCTGGATGAATGTCAGGGTTGTTGTTATACCCAGGACTGTTGTCACCCTCTTGTCTCTGGACATAGTGACAAGGGACAAGGCAAAGAGAGAGGGCCTGTGTTCTTGTGGACATGTGGTTGGCAAGGTTCTGGCCAGAGTCGGAAGGGCCAGGACCCCACGTTCCTTCCTCCTATGTTTGTATCCCATTCAAACCAAGATTAAAATTCTAAGCCCTCCAGCCAACTGAATGGACGCCTCCTCTCAGCCCAAGGCATTCTAGTGTTAACCTCAAACACTGGTTCAGGCCATGATGGGACGTGGGGATCAGGAATACCTCATGATATCCTCCTCCCATTGGAATTCAGGCACAGCTGGCCAGCATTAACATTAAAACAGAGTGCCTAAGGCCACGTGCGGTGGCTCATGCCTGTAATCCCAGCACTTTGGGAGGCCGAGGTGGGCGGATCACTTGAGGTCAGGAGTTCGAGACCAGCCTGGTCAACATAGTGAAACCCTGTCTCTACTAAAAATACAAAAATTACTTGGCGTGGTGGTGGATACCTGTAATCCCAGCTACTTGGGAGGCTGAGGCAGGAGAATCACTTGAACCCAGGAGGTAGAGGTTTCAGTGAGCCAAGATTGTGCCACTGCACTGCAGCCTGGGCAACAGAGCGAGACTCCATCTCAGAAAGCAAAAAACAAAAAAACAAAAAACCCAAATCCTCTCTTCTCTCAACATCCTCTCTACCACTTCTCTGGTCTACATAGAAAACTCTTTCGAAGAGCTAGTGTTCTGAGATACGACTTGGGTTTTTGTTTTTGCATCTGAAGAATCCTGAATTATCAAACACCAGAAAAGCACAAACACAAAAGAACTTGCTGAAAGGACTTTATTTGAGATGAGGAAACAAAGTTGATGGCAATGTATAGGACACACGACAGTTTCCTTCTAGGTCATAAAGTAAATTATGAATATATTTCTCTCTGTTCTCATCCCTCAGAGGCAGCAGAATCTGTGGTTAATACCCATGACAGTGCAGGTCCCATAGGAATATTCTGTTGAATAACAGGACCTTCTGCAATGGCAAGTGAAAGCCCTTGTTGAGCCTGGGGACAGAGAGAGAGAGCATCAGAAATTGAGCACCAGGGTCAGCAGCGGGCAGTAAAGAGAATCTTCAGGAAGTTGCATGCTTGCTGACATGTAATGCTGGCTGCATTACAGCCAATAGCATGATCACACCATCAATAGGAATAAATACGCAGAGCAGTGTTGGTCACACACAGGATTAGAGAGCCATTCTGATATGCTGTACTTATCTGCTCCTTCCCTGTCACACACACATCTGAATGCACCCATATGACTGTCTCCAGTTTGCAACGGTTCCTATAAAAGTCAGATTAAAAAACATTCCTTTAGCAGCTGGATGTGGTGGCTTACGCCTGTAATCCCAGCACTTTGGGAGGCCAAGGTGGGTTTATCACAAGGTCAGGAGTTCAAGACTAGCCTGGCCAAGATGGTGAAACCCCGTCTCTACTGAAAAAAAAAAAATACAAAATTTAGCCAGGCTTGGTGTCTGGTGCCTGTAATCCTAGTGACTTGGGAGGCTGAGGGAGAGAATTGCGTGAACCCAGGAGGCAGAGGTTGCAGTGATCTGAGATAGTGCCACTGCACTCCAGCCTGGGTGACAGAGCGAGACTCCATCAAACAAAACAAAACAAAACAAAGCAAAACAAAACATTCCTTTAAAATTAGGCTCTCTTCCTTGAAGTAGAGACTCCTCAATACATTTCTACATGGCAAAAAATTAGAAAATTTCATAGACTTATCATAGAATTAAAAAATCTTTAGAGAAAAGTCATGCCTTGAATATCACTGATTCTTCCTTTTCAGTACAAACATAAAGTAATTGAGGCCTGGGGAGGTGATCACCTAAGAGAAAGAGCCAGCTGTTGGATCTAATTCTAGAAGTGCTTGGTTTTCCTCTCTACACTCCTAGCTCTGCAATGCTGGTGTCTCTTACCCAAAGCTCTAAGACTTGAGCTTGCATCCTCTGCAAAGGAGACGGCAAAGTCCTGGTCATTTGCCCCACGCTGCTCCTGGGCATCAGCCTCATAAGCTTTTGCCTGCAGTGGATCATCCTCAGCTTGGAGTGGCTCAGCCTTGGCCTGGAGGGCCACGAGGAGAACAGCAGTGAGGATGGTGAGGGTTCTCATGGCTAGGGTCGCTGGAGGAGAGAGAGCAGGAGCAGATGTGTGGGGAGTGAGGAGCCAGCCTGGATTTATAGGTCTGCTGGGAGAAGGCTCAGGGACAGATGTTGCGGTGAGACGGGGAGTGCATGTGATTGGGGAGCAGAAGAGCTACCCTTGCCCTCCATGTCCCTTTGATGCTCCTTTGTTCTCCAAGCTTCATTGTAGTGTGAGGCTGTTTATTGAGTGTCTGTTCTGGTCCCAGCTGATAGTGATGATAAGAACAGTGTTACATTGTCCTGTTTTCCATCTGCTGGAATATTTACTTGTTAATATTCAAAAAAGAAAAGAACAGTGCTTTCAATGAATAATTTCAGGAATCAAATGCCTCTTATTTTCTGAAGGTGGGGCTGGCCACTCTCTGGAGGTCTAGACCTTGAGGCCAGAGCTGGATCCCGCTAGAGTAGAGAGTTAATTCATTGCAGGATTCAGGGGGCATTTCTGCCCTCATGAAGGAGGCTTTGAGATTATGGGGTGAATAGGCTCTTGTGGGGCACAGTGTGGAGAAGATAATGACCTTATCAGCCTATAAGGGAAAAGAACTCAGTGGGATACTAGGTAAAGAGTTAGTAAAACTAAAGCCAAAAGATTTATTTCAAGAAACCCATGTGATCTGAATGTATCAACTAAAATATGTACTAGGTATTTCTCTCCACTTTGAGAAACATCGAAACAATTGACATGCCCACAATCCCCCTCTGAAATTTTATTTTATTTTTAATTTTAGAAAATGTTGAATTGCCCACAAGGACCATTCAAAGGGTAAAAGGAGTAATGAGCCTCCATCCTTGCCCCAGCCCTGCAGCTCTGCTCCAGGAAATCTCCACTTAAAAATTAAACATTGGTTTGTGCTTTGTTTTTTCTCCCTAATGCTGTAATTTGAATACTTTGTAGCTCAAAACATATAGAACTCTACCATTATTTTCATAGTCTCTTGTTTCTGGTCTTCTATTCAGGTATTTTATCCATTTTGAGTTAAGTTTTGTATATGCCAAAAGAGAAGGGTCCAGTTTTATTGTTTTGCATATGGAAATAGTATTCCCACCACCATTTATTGAAGAGACTCTCCTGTCCCTATTGTGTCTTCTTCATGCCATTGTCAAAAGTTACTTGACCATATGTGTTTCGATGTGTTTCTGGACTCTCAATTTTATTTCACTGGTATGTGTCTGGTTTTATGCCAATACCATATTGTTTTGATTACCGTAGCTTTGTAATATAATTTAAAACCAGGAATTGTGATGTCTTCAACTTTGTTTTTTTTTCTCAGAATTGTTTTGTCTATTTGGGTTCTTTCACCATTTCATACAAATTTTAGGATTTTTTTTTTTATTTCTGTAAAGAATGCCATGGGGATTTTGATAGGAATTGTGCTGAATCGGTATATTGTTTTGTTTGGGATAGACATTTTAACAATCTTAATTCTTCCAATTTTCAGCCCAGGATATCTTTCCATTTATTTTTACATTCTTTAATTTCTTTCACTATTTTTTTTTTTTTCATTTTCAGTGTGTAGATCCTTCACCTCCTTGTTTCTTCCTAGGTGTTTTATTTTTTGATGCTATTGTACATGGAATTGTTTTCTTGATTTTTGTTTCAGTTTTGTTAGGGAATCTATGGGCATTTAAAAATGCATTTGTTCTGTATTTATTTGAATTTTGCCTTCATTTACCCAGCAGGAGATGACCATTTAACTAACATCTAAATTTCGAATTAAACTTTCCCTCTCCAACCCAAACTGTAATTGTCCATTGTGACTTATAGCTGTCTATGCCTCTTTCCCCAGTAGTTCATGGGACAGGCAATAATTACTCTATCACCTGGAAATCCTACCCTGGAGCTGTTACTCAGATACCCTGATCTAGCTAACAGGACAAGATACTTCTGTAAATAAGTGATCTAATTTGTCTTGACTTAAAGGAGCATTTTGGAATTGTATGCTCTATCTTTGGAAACTAAGAAGTGTTCCCAGCCTATTTTAATTGAAATAGAAGATAATGCAGACCAATCCCCATGGGCATTGGTAAATGTTTAGACAGATGGGGTGCAGGAAGGCTTATCAGGATCCATATCGCAGCTTGTAAAGTCACCACAATCACCACGCCAACAGACGGAACGCCTGGAAGTAAACAGAACTTCTAGAACAGTAGAACATCAAAGGGTGTCAGGGACAAGGGAACTTCACGTAGTTCCTTTCCCTCTCTCTACTTACCTTCCTGCCCCTAGAGTCACATACATGCAAATACTGAAGCACAAGCTCTATTTTGAAGAGCCCATTTACTCTAGGATCCAGCTTTCAATGATCATGCACAAAATCGAGGCAGGTATATCTCCCCCTTGTTTAGCCATCAGGCTCCTGCAAGAGAAGTAACCTCCCTACCGTGACCCGCAGTCACGAGGACCTCATCTCTGTTAACTGCCTTTCTTGAGTTAACCCCACCCCACTCCCACATGGAAGCCCTAATAAGAACCGAGCATCTTGGAGATGCCACCGAGATGAAGTTGACTTAGGCCAAGGGCTGTCTCTGTTGTCCTCAGTGGCTCCAGCATACCTCCACCCTGAGATGTCCTCACACATCAGACGCTGACCTAGCAGAGCCCACACTATCTTCCAGTAAAGAAGAACCTGCCCTTACAGAGAACTGGGCGCGCAGCACTGCAGTAGCACCTTAAGGACAGCAGGTGGCCCTCCTGCCCTTAAACAGGAGTTGACCCAAGAGGGACTTCAAATGGGAGCGCTGTAAAGTGCTGTTCAGCAAACACATTGCTTTCTTCTGCACCCCAAAGTGTACATATTACAACATTAGTTCAGGGGGCACAGAATACACTGCTGCTGGTTCCGTGTCAGCGGTAGCTGCTGGCCCTGGAAGGCTGGCCTGCCCCGTCTCTAACCTAGTGTCATGATGTCGTTCCCCCTTGTGCTGGCTGCGGGGCTGAGGACCTGAGTCTGGGGGCCTCTGCTCTTTCTCCTGGGTGGCAATGCTCCTGTCCCTGCCTCCTTCCCAGTCTGTGGTGGGGACTCGACAGCCAGGGCAGGTCAGGTTCTCAGTCTGTGCTGAGGTCTCACCTGGGCCTTGCCTCTGTCTCCCCCAGGTGGCTCCCAAACCCCAATTAGAACAGAGTGAGTCTGTATCTCGTGGTCCCTTTCACCTTTCTTTCTGGGCTGCACCAGAACCTTGGCAGAAATCAGTGGTTTAAGCAAAAAATGGTGCTACATGTAAAAGTCTTTGCAACACTTTCACTTCCACCCCCACCCACCCTGCCCCCAGCACAGTGTCCTGGACTTGCCACCAGTGTCAACTCTGAGTGTAGACACAACTGAAACTGTTCCTTCATACACATGCAGTTCAGCTTTCAGACACTCAACAAGAGCCTTGACACCCTCAAGCTGGGGTAAATATCCTGGGGAAGCTACAGGTGGGGGTGCAGGTGTGGGTGTGAGAGGAGAAAGGCCTTCAGCAGCAGCAAGGATATTCCCACACTCTCTGAGGCTGTCTGGTGACCCCAGCAGACACAGTGAGTGTGGACCTTGGGCAGGGCCCTGGGACATGGTTTTGACCCAGTGTGGAAGGGCAGTTTTGGAACAGAGTGTGTGTGTTAGCGTGGGGTAGAGCGGGGGCTGCGTGGGGGTGAGCTCTGAGAACTGTCCATCTCCCAGCCCCTGAGAGTGCACCGCCCTGTCCCTCCCCTCAGCCTTTTGTCCACCTCCCTGCAGGGAGGGTCCTGGTGCTGCCTGTGCCACACAGCAACTCCCGGGCCTGCAGATCCAGCTGGGACAGGCAGGAGCTCCAAGTCCCCTGCCCTTTGTCTGCCTTTCCCAGCCGCCTCTCACATGCTGTCTATGTGTCTGGTGTTGTTGCCTGCAGCAATTTTTACAAATGACTATGAAAGAATAACTCTCTTGGGCTGTTTTAAAATGTGGTCCCAATTCTTGGACTCTTCTCCCACAGAAAGGGAGGTTTACTTCTTTCCTGTTGGATCTAGGTCGGGTGACATCTTCACCAATAGAATGCACCTGACTTAGTACCATGCCGTTTGCTGGGCCCAGGTGCTAAGACACTGGTATTTTTCACTTTCACCGTCTTGGATGGCGCTGCAGTTGGAATATTTTTGTCCCTCTGAAATTCATATATTGAAATATTAAACCACCAGGTGATAGCATTAACAGGTGGTGCCTCTGGGGAGGTGAGTAGGTCCGGAGGGCACCTCATGAATAGGATTAGTGTCCTTATAGAAGAGATCCCAAGGAGCTCCTTCATTCCTTCCATCAGGTGAGGACACAGTGAGGAGGTGCCATCTATGAACGAAAAAGCTGGTTCTCAGCAGACACCAAATCTGCTGCCACCTTGATTTGGACTTCTCAACCTCTAGAACACTGAAAAATATATCTGTTGTTCATAAGCAACTCAGTTTATGGTATTTTTTTTTAAATAGTGGCTCAAACGGACTAAGAGGGCTGGTCACTTGGGGGCCCAGACACCGTGTTTTGAGGAAGCCTGAGCCTCGCACAGGAAGATGAACTGAGGGCACCTGCGAGGGTGAGCTAGAGAACACAGAACAGCCAGCTTTCTGGGAAAAACCAAAACTCTGATTTACAGTGTTTGTAAATTTCTGTGGTTAGAATCCTCCCAGCTCTGGACCGTTTAAAAAATGTCACACAAACCACCTTTCTCATGAGCCGGCATGATCTGGCCCCAGCGCATCACAAGGTCCCATCCCTCAGCCCTGTGAGAGCTCCCAGCTGAGCCAGCACTGCCTGCCACCTGTGCGCGAGTGTCTCAGCCCTGAGCTCCTCAGATCCCAGCAGAACCTCTCCTCTGAGCCAGGCCCAAATTGCCAAGGTATGAGTGAAGACCTGATGGTGCTGTTTCAGTCCACTATGTTTGGGATATCTTTCCACACAGCAGTAGATGAACAGAGGGCATTGTCACAGTCTTGGCGAGAAGTTGGACTTGTGCATTTCTGCGTGTGTAAACTTCTGCTTCTCCAAAATATTGGCGAAGTAGGACTGAATCCTCTTACCTTATTCCCAAAGTGTCACAAAGAGCCCATGATGGTGGGAGCATGAGATTGTGGACTGTTTGGAGTGACCGAAGAACCCTCTCACCCATTCCTAGTTTAAATTCTTCCCGCTGGGAGCAGGGGTGGTGTGGGAGCCAGGTGGGGTCTCAACCTCTGCCCTCAGTAACAGACTCAGAAGAGGCCATAGGACTCAGGAGTTGGCTGAAACAACAGGGAAAGAAGTAGGGATTTTCTCTAGGAGATTAGCTGCGAAGGGCACAGAGAGATGACCATGAATGACATGGCTGTCACCTGGGGAGAGATCCCAAAGTAAGATCAAGAGAAACAAAGGGGAAAAAAGGTAAAGACGACAAAGTAACTCATGCTTTGAGTCCTTGGACCAAGCATTTCCTAAAGCCAGAATTCCTTGGTATGGGAGTGAAAATGTTGACTCAGGGCTGGACAAGGTAGCTCAGCTTGTAATCCTAGCACTTTGGGAGGCTGAGGAGGAAGAATTGCTTAAGGCCAGGAGTTTGAGACCAGCTTGAGCAACATAGCAAGCCCCCTGCCTCTTAAAAAAAAATGGTGACTCAGCTTGACCTGATTTCTAATGTTTTACTCCAAGACTCCACTAAGATGCCTGAAAAAGATCAAAAATACCAAACTCGGAGAGCCTGAGGCAAAGACAGTGCCGTGCACAAGGACAGGAGATGAGAGCAGATGACAAGTGTCCCAATGCAGCTTGAGGGCAGATGACAGGTGTCCCAAGAGCAGCTTGGGTATCAGGCTCCCTGGTGATTCCCATGCACAGCCCCCGGGAGAACAGCCTTATTGATGCTGATCAGCAGGGAAGGAGGGACGGCTACATTAGAGGCTGGAAGGACAGCGGGTGAGTCAGGGATGGGGAGCTTCATAGTTGATGTTCAGAAATGGAGGAATTCCAGGTGGTGGCAGGAGCTAGTGGGTGGCCATGGGTTGGAGGGCTGGGACAAAGAGGGAGTGGGGTCACTGTCATCCAGGCGGACAAAGCACTGAGAGGCTGGGAGGGTGACCGGCCAGGTAACATTACAGTGAAAGACCGTTTCCCGTAATCTTAAGTTTCTGAGTGAGTTGAGTGGCTTTGAGCAGCAAAAGGGAAAAATACATAGGTTTAGAAAAGAGAATAGGTAGTTGTCTGATGTCTTCCATTCTGGTTCTGCTTGTAAGAAGAGTTCAAGTTCTCAAACAGAGAAACAGAAAAGAAAAAAATGGCTGTCTTTTATTAAAAAAAATCAGAAGGCTTTTAAGAAATGTCAAGGAAGTATTTATTGAACACTGTTGAAATAAGAGTCAAAACGCTGCAATAGGGTGAGCCGTTGAACTCAACTGTCCTGAAGCCCAAGGCAGGAATATGTAGGCCCTGGGTTAAGCTAGTGGAAAAGTTCTGGTGGTTGTTGGTGGGGAAGTTGAGCAGTGTGATTGGGCAATCTTTGTTTGCTAATTTATTAGGAGATAGGCTCCTGTCTTCCCACAGAGACAAGGCTGCTATCCCCTTGAGTAATTACATTTATAGGGATGAGGCATCTGACTTACTCTTTATTGTTCTACCACTCAAGTGATTCAAGGTAGAAAATGTCTTGTATGTCATCAGTAAACATAGAGTGCATCCACATGAACGTTTCTGGGTCTCACTTGAGGCTGAGCAACTTGCCCTGGTTGTTTGGAGACCCTCACACCTCTCCCTGCATTCTCTGTCCCCAGAGTTTGCAGCTGTCATAGCCCACCCTAGACTGCAGTAGCAGAAGCCACATGTGGTGCTCCCAGTGTGTCTATCCACACAGAGGAGCAGGGAGGCTCCTTCCTCGTCTGGCCCTTTCCTTTGGATTGATGGATGCTTCTCAGCACATCAACCTGAATTCTACTCCATCCTTCTGTGTTGCAACAGCAATTCCTCTTAATTCAATGGAGGTTGACCTCCTCCTGCATAGCTCTTGCCCTGATTCTACATTCTCTACCTAATTTTCTGCTTTAATCATTCTTTTATTCTATTGAAAGTTTAAACATCTTTATGTTTCAGTTTAAGATTCACCATGAAATCTATCCTTGGCATTCCATGACAGAATGGTCTTTTCCTACTTCCAAAAGTCCTAATGCTTCATTAAACCACATTTTACCCATCATAGTCTCCTATATTTTAGTCTTTTTAATTAGTTTTAATTAGTCTTTTTTAAGGAATGTTGTCACATGGACTAGACACACGGGCTGCTTTACCTCTGTAGGCTTCAGTATTTTTTTCGTAAACTCACATACTTTGGAGCACAGAAGTATCCCTAAGCCCATGAACGTGTTTGAATGCTTTCTCTGCATGTGAGGCTCCAACCTTTCCGGCCACAGACTGAGTTTGTGCTGAGGCATCATTAGCTGGTTTGTATTCATGCCTGGTCATGGGGAGGGCCACCTGCCTCTGATTGTGGGGGTTGCTGGTGTTTAAGCTTTAGTGCCATGGGTCCCATTCAATATCTAAGGATCGGGTTTCCTGGCTTGGATCCAGGTCAGGTGGCATTTGGGGTTTTGCCCCTCTAGCACATTGCCTCAACATGCCACAGTTTTCCAGCCTGGGGTTCAATTTTGTGTCAATATAAATTTTGAGTACAATTAATTAATTTAGTTGAAATTAATTTATTGATCATGTGCAACGTATTAGGTGGTCATCTATGCACTGTGGTAAGATGATGAGGAAAACATGCAGCTTCCCTCCCAGTGTTGGGAGACAAATGTTCCAGAGAGTAAATGAAATGCACAGATGTGAGATAGCTTACAATTCTACAGTTAAAAATAAAGAGAAGAGGGGGATAGAGGTCACCAGGGGGAACTAGTTGCAATTTGAAATTAAGAAATCAGCAAAGTCCTCAGTGACAAAGGGAAGTTCTAGCAGAGACCCCAGGATCTAGGGCGCAAGCCAGGTGGACTTCTGGGAAGTGCAGAAACCGCGTGATGGAGTCAGCCGGACTCAGTGGACGGTTAGGAGCAATATGCAGAGTTACAGCAAGAACCGCGTGACTTCAAGTCAGTGGCGGTTACAGGAACCCAAGGAAGACTGTCCCCCTTTCACATCCTGAAACCCAAAATGTCACCTTCACCTTCAATACAAGGGGAAGACCTTGGACCATTTCTTTGTCAATCACAGACCCACTGTGTCTTCCCTGGGACCTGTATTGGGTTCCCCAGCTGTGAAGTGTCTCAGTGGGGTGCCTGGACCCCTGAGCTGCCTCTTCAGACAGGCAGAGCCTCAGTCTGGGGCTGAGACCTGCTCAGAATCTGCATGGGTAGATGTGGAGAACACCTGCTTCCTTCTCCTGGGCTCTGGGCATTGTGGGTGGTTGGTGTTGGTGGTCACAGCTGTGTCTTGGCCCATCAGATTGTTTTGGTCAAGAATGGGGAATAATCCTACTAGAATCACTGTCCCTTTATTTGCAAACTGTAGTTTCTCTGTCACTCTTGGAAGTTGTGGGGGCATTCTATGAATGACCCTCCAGATAAGAGGAGCCATGGCTTGAACAGAGAAGGTATTTTTCCAAGCATGTGTAGTGGATTCATAAACTGGAACTGCTAGATCCAAAATATAAGAAATCTGTGGGCCAAGCTGGACTTGTCCCTGGAGCTTTGTGATCATGTCCTCATAGGCCGTTGACAAGACATCCTCAACTATTGTTAAAGGTACAGTGGGTTTCTAGGGTAGGGACAGAGAGGAGAGACAGGAAGAGAGGTCACATCACACCCCAGCAAGATGTCAGCCTGGCCCTCAGGGACACCCGGGTTAGGCAGTGACCCTGTTCTCTTGGAGGGGAGGAGGAAGACAAGCTCAGGAAGGTACAGACCCCACGTGTGCTGTGCCTGATGGGGAGGCTGCAGTTGAAGGTAGGACAGCAGGGGACGCTGTGGCCTTTCCGGGAAATGCTCTGAGCATCTCAGAGAGCGCTCCTGGTTCATTCCCTTTCCCTAGACCTGGTTTCTTGCTCACTCACTGATGTGCAGGATGTTGTGGTTATCAGAGCCGCAGCCTGCAGCAACAACAGGAATGTAAGGTTTCTGGTGAAGCTGTATTTTCCCAGCAGAATCAGGTTCTCAGCAGCTTTAAGGCAACCCAAGAGAGTGCGCGTTGCAAAGTGTAGTGGAGCATTTGTGTGTGTGCGTTTTCTGGGTGTGAAGACGACTTTATGGGTGTGAAATCCAGGTCTTCATAGACGTGGCTGAAGGGTGCTCTTAATGAGGACATCCCATTGTGGGCTGCTGTGTTTTGTGTTCCATGCACCCCGCCTTTGCTAACAACCCATTTCCCTCTTAATTAAAGTTGTTTCAGTGGATCTCCTATAACCCTATGTCTTAAAAGGCAAATGTGTGACCTGGACATGTTCAATAAAACTCCAATATTTTGACGCAGAGGATGGTGGTTTTTCCCGAGAAGTAGTGAGGTTGTGAGTAGCTAAACTGGAAGCTGACGTTGATTCTTTTGCCTAGTATATGAGAGTTGTCTTTGAGAGTGAATCCATTCAAAATGAGGCAGAATGAAAAGACAGAGCAGTGGATGGTGAGATCAGTGGCATCATTTGTGCCTTCGTTTCAGTTTGTGTCTGAAGCCATGGCTCCTCCTTAAAAATTCTAGATTTTGAAACTTTAATTTGTTCCAAAATATTCATGTAGGATTCTGGCAGTTGCTTTCTAGTGTCTTGACACAGACACATATCAAATTTTAAAGAGGTGTAAACAAAGACATCTTGTTACGAGATATATATTTAGGATCAAGAAAGATGTTAAGGACAAAGTATAGGAGAAACAACCATTTCCTGTAGCTCTCAAAGCAAATTATGAGCTCATTTTTCTCTATTCTGCAAGCTCAGCTGCAGAAGCATGTGAAGCTAACACCACCGATGATGGCGTTCCCAGCATGACATTCTCTTGGACAGCAGAACGTTAATCGACACGCGTGCAGCAGTATGTGAAACTCACACCACCAATGAGGCAGTTCCCAACACGAAGTTCTGTTCGCCGGCAGAATACTAATCTGCAAGAGCAGACCATGCCCCTTGTTGAGCCTGGGAACACAGAGGAAGCATGAGAAATTAAGCACCAAGGTCAGCGGTGGGTGGTAAAGGGAATCTTGGAGAAGTCACATGCTGGCTGACCGGTGATGCTGGCTGCATTAGTGCCGGTAGCACAAACAACCTTAGTCAATAGGAATAAATACACAGAGCAATGCTGCTCATACAGGATTTGAGACTCATTCTCTTTTGCTCTGATTTGTGTGCTTTTGCCCCATCAGACACACACCTGAACATACTCTTAAGCCCATCTCCAGTTTTTAAAATTTCCTTTGTTGGCAGAATGAAATATTTTCCCTATAATATCTACTTGTTTAGATCCAGAAAGAACTGGTCAATCTGTCTCTCCGTATCTTAACCCTAGCGAATTTTATAGACATACCTTGGAATCAAGTCTTTGGAGAAAGAAGACTACTTACATTTGTTTGTCTCTCTATTCAGTTTGGAGATAAGAAAATCGAGGCCCAGAGATGGTAAGTAAAGCCACCTAAGTGACATCCACCATTGAGATGTGATTCCAGAGCCCATCTCCCATCCGTCTCTCTAGACTCGGTAGCTTTTTTATGCTGGCCTCTCTCACCTGAAACCTGAAGAGCAGAGCTTTTATCCCATGCAAAGGAAATAGATATGTCCTGGTCTTCTGGCCCACGCTGCTCCTGGCCTGGAGCCTCATCACCTCTTGCCTGGAGTGGGCCTGCCCGGACCTGGAGGGCTACCAAGAGAATAGCAGCGAGGAGGGCGATAATCCTCATGGCTGGGGTGACCTGGAGGAGGGAGAGCAGGAGCAGCTGTGTGGGGAGGGAGAAGCCAGCTTGGATTTATAGCTTTGCTGGGAGAAGGCACAGAGATAAGAAACCTTTGGCCTTCTGAGTGAGAGGAGGTGTGCATTTTGTTAGAGAGGATGCCGACTCCTATTGGCCTTGACATCCCTGGAATGCTCCTCTGCTCTCCCAGCTTTCTTCACAGGAAGCTCTATGTTTAGTGTCTGTGCTAGGTTGAAGTTGATGGTGATGATGAGGACCCTGGCATTTTTTCCTGTTTTCAGGAAATACCTAATATTTCCTGGTTAAATCTTTAATATTCTAAAAAGAATGGAAACAGTGCTTTCATTCAATAATTTAAGAGAGCAAATGCCTCTTATTTCCTGATAATGGGCCCTACTATTCTCTTCAGGTCTAAACACTGGTGCCAGACCTGTATTCCGGTGGAGTAGAGAGTAACTCATTGCAGGCTTCTAGGTCATTATACCCTCATGAAGGGGCGACTGAGGTAATGGGGTGAGTAGTCTCCTGTAGGGGCCAGAGTGAAGAGGACAATGACCTTATCAGGGTACAGGTGAAATGAGCTCAGTGAGAGAGATAAAGAGTTGTGTAAGGTTCATGAGTTGCTAGGTGCATACACGTGGTCCTTTCTCTCACAGCATGTAAAAAATCAGCTCAACATGGATTGAAGACTCAACATAGACTTGAAAAGACCTGAAACCATACAACTACGAGAAGCACATACAAAGATAAAGCTTTGGACATTGACGTGAGTAATGATTTCTTGGCTATGACACCAAAGGCACAGGCAATAAACAAATGGGAAAATAGACAAGCGGGGCTGCATTGAACGCTAAAGCATCTTCATAGCAAAGGAAACAATCAACTGAGGGAAACGGCAACCCAGAAAATGAGAGAAAATGTTTGCAAAGCCTACGTGGTAGAAGGGGTAAATATCTGAATACATAAGGAAGTCAAACAACTCAATAGCAAAAAACAAACAACCTGATTGAAAAACAGACCTAGGACCTGCAGAGGCTTCTCTCACAATAAAATAATGTTTTAAGAAGCTGTGATCGTCTTTATTGGACATGTCAAGTAGGACACGTGTGTTTGGAAGGAAACTTTTTGAGTTTCTCTATTGACTTAGCTAGTAGCCATTACCCCCAGCAGCCGCCAGACACCCAGATAGAAGTTCACAGCAGGGGCTTCACCCGCTGGGTCCCTCTGGGGTGGCCCCACAGTGAGAGGTCAGACTGGGGACACAGCTTCAATATTGAAACCTCAATGTGAAAGTTTAAGTTTTGTGTTACTTACAGATCCTCAAGCTAGGCAGGGCGAGCAGAGAGGGCAGACAGCAGTCCTGTGTTCCAGGTCTTATGTAGCAAGAGCAGCCATGCACACAGAGGAGAGGACTTCCTTATTTAAGGGTCTTTTGGTATCAGGTGTCCTAATTTTTCAGGGTTACTTTCTATTGGGTACTTTAAATAACTGTTAACAAGGGCAGTTGAGAAATTGGCAGAAAGCTGGAGTTCAAGCAGGAGTCCACGGAGGTACCGACCCCTCGTCTACTTTGGTCAGCCCTGGCCAGGCCCAGGCAGCAATCAACTATGGATTCCTCATGACTCCTAAGACAATTGACCCCATGATACCTATGCTGGTGGCTGAGGCTGAACTACCTGGACCGAGGGAATATTTAAAGCCACCAGGAGAGCCTGGCCTGCATATTGTTGTATACACCTTGCGAGGAGACTAGGATCAAAATGCCACCCACACACAGATGAGGATTTGGAATGTGGTCTGAACTGACCTCCCCAGGCCCTGGGGTCTAACCATAAAAACAAATCCAAGCCATTCAGACAAGTAAGGTTGGAGAATACCTGGATGAGACTGAATACCGCCTGGGCTTGTGTTGCTGGATAGGGCAGGTTGCAGGCTCCCGAGTAAAGGATGTGCATATAGCATGTGGTTCCCTAGAGGGGACAGTCACCTTTTTGCTTGGCCTTAGATAGTTCAAGCCTAAATGACTGTCTAGGTCATCCAGGCCAAGGACTCATCAAATGATTGCGTGACACCTAATGTCTGTCAGAAGTCCCTTAGGATGGTGGCCAAAGCTGCAGCGAGATTGGTGTTAGCTTGCATCACCTTGTGTTGTGAGCTCAAATACCCTGTTCCCAAACCAATCCCGTAGGCTTACGAGTCTCCCTACACCCAGAGTTAGGAAGATGGTCACTGGGTGGGGGGGATGCATAAGCTTTCCCTTGTGTGGTCCCTCCTGGGTTATTTGAAGGGGAGTCCCAGGGAGACTAGTGCACATTTTAAAATGTACCACTCTCCACCATCCTCCTCCTTGTAGTGAGGTAAACGGGATGAGGTTTCTGGAAATGAGAAAAGAATGCAGTTGTTCCTGAGGGAATGAATACCTATAGTGAGGTTGCTGAACCCAGTATGCAGTCCAGGCAGCCCCTGCCGCCATGGGAGGGCCGTGCACAGCGCTGGTCCAGCAGGCTGGGTGCTCAGGGCCTCCCCTGCAGCTCTGCGTGAAGGCAGCAGGCACTGGGCTATGGAGGACTGGGGGCAGCGGCGCTCTCAGTCTTAAGGAGGGAAGAGGCATCTCAAGCCTCGCTAGGGGTGGTCGCTGTTCCAGAGCAGTGAAGTCGGCTGCCCCTATGAGGAAGCAGTGAGTTCCTGATCTGTTGCAGGCCCAGCAATTTCACCTTTGGAGGAAGTGGGCACTGGACTCATTCCAGCAGAGGAAGAAATTAGGGCTATTTGGGGAACTGGGCCCCAGATGATGGTTTTAGGTTCTAGGGCATTAGTAGGTGCCTGAAGGGCCCAGTGGATATGGATGTAGAGGCAAAATGAGAAGGGGTGTGTGTGCACGTGGGGAAGGTCTGGTGGTTGTGGGGATGTCCAGTGTCCTGCAGAAGTGAAACCTGGACCAGCCTCCTGCACACAGAACACACTCCAATCCATAGGCATTTTCCTAGTAACATAGGAGAGAGCTGTTATTGGCAGAGCTGGTTAGATTTGGGTGTGATATTATAACAGACAGGTCTTCCAAGTCCATATTTTTTGGCATAACTTGTAGGGCAGCCTCCTGATCTGATCCAAGCCTTGTGGTTTCCTTGCAGTAGGCGGTTTAACTAATGGGTTACACTGAAGACAAATGGGGATCCCAGCAAAATACCATTCTAAGGGGTCATCTGCAGGGTCCTCAGGAAAGCATGAGCTAAGAAAGCACGGGTCCAGGTACTGGACGTGAGCCAACTCCATGTCCTGGGGGTGGTGAGATCCATACCTTGCGGCAGGAAGGAGAGTAAGGTGAGTCTGGTTTGGGGATGACCCCACAGTCAAGATGAGATTCCTTGGTGTCTCTGGTTCTGGTGAGGCCACTGTTTCCCAGGACAAACCCTTGGATCAGAGCACTGTCTTCTGAGGTGATGGCCTTTCGGGTAGGGGTGGCCTTTCCAGCTGGTCACTCAAGAAGAGAGAGGGTATGGGCTGGTGTTGCACAGGCCTCTGGCCTCTGTGGGACTCCATGGAAGCGTTTAGTGAAAGCTTGAGTGGTGCTTTCCTTGGTCGGGGGATAGGACATTTCCATCCACAACTCACATACTTTGGAGCACAGAAGTATCCCTAAGCCCATGAACGTGTTTGAATGCTTTCTCTGCATGTGAGGCTCCAACCTTTCCGGCCACAGACTGAGTTTGTGCTGAGGCATCATTAGCTGGTTTGTATTCATGCCTGGTCATGGGGAGGGCCACCTGCCTCTGATTGTGGGGGTTGCTGGTGTTTAAGCTTTAGTGCCATGGGTCCCATTCAATATCTAAGGATCGGGTTTCCTGGCTTGGATCCAGGTCAGGTGGCATTTGGGGTTTTGCCCCTCTAGCACATTGCCTCAACATGCCACAGTTTTCCAGCCTGGGGTTCAATTTCTCACAGTGGCTGTCCTGTTCCAGCAGCTCTCTGGGATGCCAGGCCCCAGGCCTAAGAGCAGCCGTACAACATTTACATACATAAGATACCCAGCAAGGCCAAAGATAGAGAGCACTGACAGCTTATAACTCAGGGATTTCCTCAAGGTACTTTTACGTCGATATTGATTATGGGGTGGGCTTTCACCAACATTTCTTCAGAGCATTTTTCTGCAATCGACACAGGACATGGTGATGGTAGTTCCATGTGGTCTTTGTCTGATGTAGTTGGCGTCCTCTAGTTTGATGGCTTTTTCTCCTCATTTAGTGACCCAGACTGTACCCTCTTTGGGCTGCAGAGAAACAATCCCCACTTCCTTCAGGGAGGAGTGAGTGGGAGATATTAGCTACCTTTCAAAGCAGGAAGAACTGGAGCTTCTGCTGGAGGCTGTATGTCAAGAGGTGAGGTCTGGTGTAGCAGAAGCATCTTAGGGCTGCTCTGTGGCAGCTGCCTGGACCATCAGTCCCCAGAGGATCACAGCTCACTATGTGTATTAGTCCATTTTCATGCTGCTCATAAAGACCTACCCGAGACTGGGTGATTTATGCAGGAAAGAGATTTCATGGACTCACAGTTCCACATGGCTGGGGAGGCCTCACAATCATGGTAGAAGACAAAAGGAGCAAGTCAAGTCTTACGTGGGTGGCAGCAGGCAAAGAGAGAGCTTCTGCAGGGAAACTCCCTATATAAAACCATCAGATCTTGTGAAACTTATTCACTACCATGAGAACAGCATGGGAAAGACCTGCCTCCATGATTCAATTACCTCCCACCAGGTCCCTCCAACACATAGGAATTCAAGATGACATTTGGGTGGGAACACAGCCAAACCCTATCACTGTCCATCCTCGATCGAGTCTTTAGTAAATGTTTGATGCTGAGACAGTGGACATCTTGTGATGGTATGAGGGGGTCTCATTATTGCAGAAAATGTGGGTGATGGTATCCATAAGGGAAAAAGAGCTCAACTCTTCTGTGATCACCAGGGTGGGTGCCATGGTTGGTCTGGTCCAATTGTAGAAGAGCTGGTGGCCATGGTGTTGAGAATTAAGATAGTTAAGGCTCTCAAAGGAGCTTGGTTCCCTTGATGAACCACTTGTAGGGGGACTGGAGCCTTTCCTAATTTGACTTAGTCTGTGCTCATGCCACAACTTTAATAAGCATGACTTTAGGAGGCCACTGTGTTGCTTGAGGAGGCCAGTGGCTAAGTGAGGGTCCCCTAACCCCCATGCTGAGTTGCCCAGCACCACCCTGAAGTGGGAGCCCTGATCTGCATCAGTGATATCTGGTGGTTCACAAGAGGTAATAGAGCAAATGTCACAGAAAGAGAGCACCTTTCTCTACCAAGAGCCTTGGGTTGGAAGAGTCAATGGAAGTGCGGTGGATGTGTGTCTGCTCCTGCACAGCAGAAGGTGGTGGCTGTGATGGGAGAGGCCCAGTGAAGTCCATTTGCCACCAGCTGAAAGGGTGATGGCCCAGGAACAAGGGATTGCTGGCCACAGTTTTGCTTGCCTGAAGCTATGGTGGGAGACAGCTGTGGTGTGGGTTGCCCTCTAATGTGGCTGTAGCTCTCATGATCTGGGGCTGTAGGACTCCACTCTGTCAGCACCTGAGGAATACAGAACTTGAGATTCTGGAGTCTGTAAAAATAAGAGGATCTCACCCAAGCCCTGGGAGGTGCATCTGACCGCTAACCTCCTGGGGACAGGACATCAGGGGCTGTCAGCAGGCTCAGTCTGGAGGCCAAAGATGGCAGTCGTCTCACTGTGGATGCCTCACCCTTCGAGTGGTGGAAAGTAGCCTGGGCATGTTTGTTCTGAATGCATGAGGCATGAATCACCTATAGGAGGACTGGAGTGTCCCCTAATTTGACCCAAACAGGTCCACGCCACAGAGGCCATTCCAGAGGCATTGGATCCAGGGCACTCACAATATGTTGGGCACAGCCCAGGAATCTGTAAAAACTGTCCCCGAGTGGGGGTTATGGCCACAGCAACCTCCCCTGCAACCGGCACCACCAGCTGTATGGCTGGGCTCAGCATACCCTCCCCTCCTATGCAGGCCCTGCTGTGATAAATGTGGGAGGTGGTTGCCGGCCAGTGGGCTCCCGGCCTGCAGGGCAGTGCTGCCTTCCCTGAGGTATGTGGACTCCCCATGTCCAACTCTTCCCATGGCCTCATCAGGTCACCAATTGTTCGGGCAATAGGGTCGCTGCTGCTATTTCTCTCTGCTTGTAGGCAGGAGCTGAATAACAGGGAAACCATGGCCTCAGCTTCCTGTCACTTGAAAGGACTTAAGTGCCAGGTTTGCCTTGTCCTACAAGTGCTGTTCCCATTTTCCCAGGGAGACATGAATGGCTGAGCCTCTGTCAGGAGGAGTCAGACATGGGGCATGGCTGGAGTCTGGGGACACAGCAGCACCGGAACCTGTCCTGTAGTGCCTATGTCTATACGGGCATTGTGTGTAGTGGTAGCCAGCTTTTTAACGGGGGATAATGAGCTGCAGCTGCCAGGAAGTTTATGCCTGCAGAAGCCCATAGCCAGGATGGACGTGCTTTCTCCAGAGGCTCTGGGAGTCATGATTGGTGGTACTGAGGGCCTCTATATGAAACTCAGAACCCGGGACCTGGGCATGGCCTGAGAGACCACCTGCTGAGCCAGCTGCATGCTGTATCCTGCTGTGGCCCCAGTTAAGACATGGAGGGCTTCTGGGTGACAGTGTCTGTGGGCCTCTGCAGAATGGACAAGTGAGGTGTAGGTGCAGGCGGAATGTCCCAGTATGCGCAGGGCCTGCCACAAAGTGGCTGGCACCCTAATGGTGAAGACTTTGGTTTTAACTGCAAGGTGAATTTGGTGGCCCACTGAGGACCAGGTTATCTCTAGAATCTTTACAGCAGTGCGGGGCCTGAACTTTGTGTGGGTTGTGGCCCAGCCATGGTCTTGGAGGAAGCCACTAAAATGACCAGCATGGTTTTCACTTCCTTCTTCTAGGGGCTTCTGAGGAAAATGCTATCAATGTAATGCCACAAGGTACAGGGGTTCACACTGAATCACAGGAAGTCCCGGGGGCACGAGTTATGGGCAGTAGCTGGCTTACTGAGACAGCCTGAGTGCAATTTGGTAAATGTGCACTGGGTCCCTTCCAAAGTCAAAGCAAACACAGACTGCGACCCGTCTGTGATGGGAATGGGCAGAATGCATTGGCCAAGTCTCCTGCTGTGAAATGTTGTGCCCTGGGCCTTTGTATGCCCTCTGTTAACTTGACTGTATCTGGAATCAGGGCCTTAATGGTCCTGGAGGACAGTCTGGTGGCTGCTCTACTTGGATTCCAGCGCCACAGAGTGGCAAGCACTGTTTCCGTCTTATATTTTAGTGGAGGAGACAAACAATAGGCAAAGTTATGATGGGTATGATACACTACGCAGCCAGTGGTTATTATACAGAATAAAAGGATAACATTGAGGTGACCTGGAGTGCCCAGGTGACACGGTGTTGGGGGCAGGGTGCTGCTCAATAGTGTCACCATGGCAGCCTCATTGTGGAGAGAACATCAGAGCAGAGGCCAGGAGGGGCTGGGTGAGTGCTGCAGAAACCTGGATGGGTCCAGGAAAAGGGAGAGCAGGTGTAGCAGCCCTGCAGCAGGAGTGTGGCCTGGCCCATGTGGTGGCCTCACCAGCAGCACCCGGAGTGGTTTCAGGAGGTCAAAGAGAACACATGCCCTGCAGGTTGCTCGAGTCAGTGGTGGCTGCTGGTGCTGCCTTTTCCATCCCCAACCCATTGTCCTGAGGTCATTCCCTCCCATGCATGGCTGGAGGGGTGGTAACTGTAGGCTGGGGGGCGCTACTCTGTGGCAGGGGCGGACTCAGCAGCCCAGGGCCCGTCAGGTTCTCAGTCTGTGCTGAGGTTGCACCTGTGCTTTACCTCCTTCTCGCCCACGTGACTCTCAAACTCCAACCCAAATTAGAAGAGAGGGATTCATCTCTTGTGGTCTCTTTCACTTTTCTTTCTGGGCTGCACCAGAACCTTGGCAGAACTCTAAGGTTTAAGCAAAAAACAAAAAAAGCTGTTTTGTCTAAAAATCTTTGCAACACTTTCGCTTCCGTGTCCATCCATGATCTCCCCAGCCTGAGTTTCCCATTCTTTTCACCAGTATCGACTCCCAGGCACAGTAGACGTGGCTGAAACTCTTCTCTCATCCACATCGTCTTGAATTTCCAGGGAATATTTAAACGAGTCTGGACACTTAATAAGAGCCTCGACACCATCAGCCTGGACACCGTCAGAACCTTGACACCACGTTCTGGTGAAGCTGTGGGTGGGGGTGCAGGTGTGGGTGTGAGAGGAGAGAGAACTCCAGGAGCAGCAAGGATATTCCCACACATGCTGAGGGTGTCCAGGGGCCCCAGCAGACCCAGGGTGTGTGGACCTTGCGCGGGGTTCTGGTACGTGATTTCGTCCTGGTAGGGAAGGGCAGTCGTGGAACCCAGTGTGCACGTTAGCATGGGGCAGGGTGGGGGCTGTGTGGGGGTGAGCTCTGAGGACCGGCCACCTCCCAGCTCTTCAGAGTGCACCACCCTGCCCCTCCCCTCAGCCCTTTGTCCACTGTCCTGCAGGGAGGGTCCTGGTGCTGCCTGTGCCACACAGCAACTCCTGGACCTGTAGATCCAGCTGGGACAGGCAGGAGCTCCGAGTCCCTGCCCTTTGTCCGTCTTTCCCAGCACCTATCAGGCTGTCTGTGTGTCTGGTGTTGTTGCATTTTACAATATACTATGAGAGAATAAGTCCATTGAACAGCTTTAAAAATATGGGCCCTACATCCTGCATCCGTGGCTCTTCCCAAAGAAAGGAATGTTTATCTCCTCTCCTCTTGAATCTAGTCTGGGTGATATTTTGACAAGTAAAATAATCCTGACTTAGTGCTATGTTCTCTTCTGGGATCAGATACTAATTAACTGGTATCTTTCACTTCTTCAGTATGGGATGGTGTTGTGGCCTGAATATTTTTGTCCCTATGAAATCCATATGTTTACATCTTAAACCCCAAGGTGATAGCATCAAGAGGTTTGGGCTTTTACCCAGTGATGAGATCAGGAGGGCACGGTCCTCATGAATGGGATTTGTGCCCTTGTAGAGGCGACCCCAGAGCACTACGTCATTCCTTCCACCAAGTGAGGACATGTCACTGAACACAGGTCCCGCTGCTCGCCACGTGCAGCAGTGATAACTGGACGGAGGTGGGGTAGAAAGAGAGCGACTTTATTAACCAAAACTACTAAGGGGGAAATGGCTGGATTCACATCAAAGCAACCACTTCAAGTTTTTGGGGAGAAGACAAGAGTTTAAAAAGGGGGACTTCACATGGGAGGCATGCAGGGGTTAAGCTGGGCGTGAGGTCTTTGTGTCTTGTTTCGGTGGCTACCTTGGGTCTCTGTCCACCTGGCCCATGGGCTGGTGTCCTCTCCACAATGGCTGCGCTGTTGACTAGAGGCCTTGAGGTAATCTGTGGAATATTCCAAGATATAGTAGTCAAAATGTTAACTTAGCTCATCATGCTTTCTGACACTCGAATTCAAGACCCAACTAAGATGACTGAAAAACATCACAACTACCAAACTCAGAGAACCTGATGGAAACACGGTGCAGTGCACAAGGACAGGAGATGAGAGCAGAGGACAGGTGTGCCGGGTGCAGCCTAGGCATCAGGCTCCCAGGTAAATTATTTGATGCACATCCCCGTGGGAGAACAGCCTTTTTTTTTTTTTTTTGACAGAGTCTTGCTCTGTCGCCCAGGCTAAAGTGCAATGGTGTGATCTCGGCTCGCTGCAACCTCTGTCTCCTTGGTTCAAGCCATTCTTGTACCTCAGCCTCCCAAGTAGCTGGGAGTACAGGCTCCTGCCACCATGCCTGGATAATTTTTGCATATATATATATATATATATATATATATATATATATATATATATATGTATATTTAGTAGAGATGAGGTTTTACCATTTTGGCCAGTCTTGTCTTGAACTCTTGACCTCAGGTGATCCACCCGCCTTGGCCTCCCAAAGTGCTGGGATTACAGGCATGAGCCATTGTGCCCAGCCGAGAACAGCCTTATTGATGCTTATCAGCAGTGAGGGAGGGACAGCTACATGAGAGGCTGGAAGTACAGTTGATGAGATCAGGGTTGGGGAGCTTCTTGGTTGATGTTCAGAGCTAGAGGAATTCCAGGTGCTGGCAGGAATTAGTGGGTGTCCAGTGGGTGAAACAAAGATTATTGGAAAAAAGATTGTTGAGGGTCACTGTCATTCAAAGGTAAAAATAGTGAGAGATTGGGAGGGTGACCTGCCAGGTAATAGCAGAGTGAACTCTTTTTCCAGGATTCTTAATGAGTTATTTGGCTTTCAGCAGCAAAGAAAAAAAATACACATATTCAGAAAAGGGAACAAATCATTTTCCCATCCATTACATTCTGCTTTTTCTTGTAAGCAGAGTTCAGAAAAATCAAACAGAGAAACAGAAAAAATAGCCTATGTCTTTTATTGTAAAATACAATTTCACCCATACGTTTCAGAAATGCAAGGAAGCATTTATTGAAGACTGTTGCAAAAAAGTCAAAATGTTGCAATAGGGAAAACGGTTGTCCTACACTCTCCTAAAGCCAAAGGCAGAAGAATGTAAGCCCTGCTCGGAGTTAGGGGGATAGTTCTGGAGGTCGTTAGGAGGGAAGTTGACCGGTGTGATTGGGCCATCTGTGTTGGCTAATTTGTGCTTATTGGAGTTAGGCTTTTATCCTCCTACAGAGACATGGCTGCTCTACCCTTGCATAATTACATTTATAGGGATGAGGCATCTGACTTACTCTTTTGTTGTCCTACCATACGAGTGGCTCAAGGTAGAAAATCTCTTATACATCATCAGTGAACCTAGACTCTATCTGCATCCCGGGGAACAGTTCTGGATCTCATCCAAGGCTGAGCGAGTTGCTCAGGTTGTTTGGAGACCCTCACATCTCTCCCTGCATTCTCTGTCCCTAGAGTTTGCAGCTGTCATTGCTCACCATAGACTGCAGTAGCAGAAGCCACATGTGGTGCTCCCAGTGTGCCTTTATCCACACAGAGGAGCAGGGAGGCTCTGTCCTCATCTGCCCCTTTCCCTTGGATTGATGGATGCTTCTAAGCAAATAGGCCCGAATTCTACTCCATCCTTCTCTGTTGCAACAGTAATTTCTCTCATTTCAGTGGAGATTGACCTCCTCTTGCATATCTCTTGCCCTGATGCTATTCTCTCCATTGAACATGCTGCTCTACTCCTTTGTTAAGTGTCTCCAGGTTTTAAATATCTTTATGCTTAACCATACAATTTTTTACTGCCACTGCAAGCCAAAATAATCTCTTTTTTCTTCTAAAGTCCTAATGCTTCATTAAGCCACATATTGCCCAAGATATTTTTCTGTATTTCTGCCTTTAATGTTTTGAATTTGATTCTTAAAGGTATGCTATTACAGGAACTAGAAACAAGGACAGTCTTAACTGTGTAGTTTTCAGGTTTATTCGACAGTTTTGTAATAACAATGTGATTTTGTAATGATACGTGATGTTAGAGATTATTAATTAGTTTATTCATAATGAATGTATTGATCCCCTATGATGTGTTAGGCAATCATCTATGCACTGTGGTACGATGAGCCAAACATGCAGTTTCCCTTCTAGCATAAGAAGGCAAATGTTACAGAGAGTCAGTGAAGTGTACAGAAGGTGAGATGGTTATAATTCTAGAGTTAGCAATAAAGAGAACCAGTGGGATAGAGGTCACCAGGGGGAACTTGTTGCAATTTAAAATTGAGAAATTGAGGAAGAACACAGTGACAAAGTGAAATTTCAGCTGAGACCCCAGAGCTGGGGAGCAAGCCATGCAGAATTTTTGGTGAAGTGCAGATGCCCTGAGATGGAGTCAGCCTGGCCCACATGACAGTTTAGGAGCACATACAGAGTTAGTTCATGACCAGAGGACTTTGAATCAGCGGTAGTGAACCAGAAACCAAAGAAGGGTGCACAGCCTTCACACCCTGAATCCTATTGGGTCCATCACCGTCACTGTCTAAACAACGGGGAGAGCTGGGACCATTGTGTCTATCAGACCCACTGTGTCCTCCCTGGGATCTGTATTGGGTTCCCCAGCTGTGCAGCATCTCAGTGGGGTGTGTGGACCCCTGAACTGCCTCTTCAGACAGGCAGAGCCTCAGTCTGGGGCTGACAGCTGCTTAGAATCTGCATGGGGTGGATGTGGGCAACACCTGCTCCCTTCTCCTGGGCTCTGGGCATTTGTGGTTGGTGTTGGTGGTCACAGCAGTGTCTGGGCCATGAGAGGTCTTAGCCTGGAATGGTGAATAACCCACTAGAGACACCTTCCTTTCTTTGAAGCCTGTAATCTCTGTCCCACTCAAACTCCTTGCATCATCTTACCAGTGACCACCCGCTACGAGTAGCCATGGCTTGAATATAGTTTCTTTTTCAAACGTGTTTTAAATTGGCCAACTGCAACTACCAGATCCAGAGTAAATACGAGGGGCTCATGCTGGACTCCTGAAAATGGTCATGTCCTGAAAGGCCATTTGTAGGACATATTGGACAAGGATTCAAGGGTCAGTGGGAATCAGGGGAGGGAAAGGGAGGACAGACAGGAGGAAAGGTCATGTCACGCCCCAGCAAGATGTCAGTCTGGCCCTCAGGGACACCGGGGTTACGCAGTGACCCTGTCCTCTCGGAGGGGAGGAGGAAGACAGGATCAGGAAGGCGCAGACCCCTCGTGTGCTGTGCCTGGTGGGGAGGCTGCAGTTGGAGGCAGGACATCAGGGGGCGCTGTGGCCTTCCCGACAAATGCTCTGAGCATCTCAGAGGGCTCTCCTGGTTCATTCCCTTTCCCCAGGCCTGGTTTCTTGCTCACTCACTGATGTGCAGGATGTTTTGAGTATCAGAGCCTCAGTGCCCTGCAACAACAACAGGGCCGCCAAGCTCCTGATGAAATTTATTTCCTCTCTTCTCTTTTCCCCTGCGAAGCTGTATTTTCCAAACAGAATCAGGGTCTCAGTGGCTTTAAGGCAACTCAAGAGAGTGCGTGTTGCAAAGTGCAGTGGAGCATTTGTGTGTGTGTGTGTTTTCTGGGTGTGAAGACAACTTTGTGGGTGTGAAATCCAGGTCTTAGTAGACGTGGCTGTAGGGTGCTCTTAATGAGGATATCTCGGTGTGGGCTGCTGTGCTTTCTGTTCCATGCATCCCACCTTTGCTAACAACCCATTTCTCTCTTAATTTAAGTTGTTTCAGTGGATCTCCTGTAACCCTACGTCTTAAAAGGCAAATGTGTGACCTGAAGATGTTCAATAAAACTCCCATTCTTTAGCACAGAGGATACTGATTTTCCTGGAGAAGTAACGATTTTGTGACTGCATAAACTTTAAGCTGACACTGAGTGTTTGCCCAGCACACAATGGATCCGAAGAAAATGAGGCCGAGTGAAAAGCCAGAACAGTGAACAGTGAGATTGGTGGTGACACTGGACCTTCATTTCAACTTAGGTTTGAAGCTCAAATTCCTGCTTGAAATTCCTAGAATTATGAATTATAGTTTGTTCAAAAATTTGATTTAGGTTTCACGTACATGTATCCCAAATGTGTTGACACAGACACATACCACACGTTAAAGAGGTGTAAACACAAAAGTCTTGTTAGAAGACATTTATTTGGGATGAGGAAAGGAAACTGAGGACAGGGTATAGGAGTAACAGCAATTCTCTGTAGCTCTGAAGACAAATTATGAGCTCGTTTTTCTCTCTTCCGGAAGCTCAGCTGAAGCAGTATGGGTAGCGTACTCCAGGAGCACTGCAAGTCCCTCTACGGTGTTCTCCAGGACTGTAGGAATCTCATCTGCAGGTGCAGGTCAAGCCCCTCCTTGAGCCTACAGACACAGAGACAGCATCCAAAATTGAGCACCAAGGTCAGCAGTGGGTGGTAAAGGGAATCTTGGAGAAGTCACATGCTGAGTGATAGGTGACGTTGGCTGTATTAGGGCCGGTAGCACAAACAGCCTCAGTCAATAGGAATAAAAACACAGTGGAGTGCTGGTGTCACAGGATTTGAGACTCACTCTCATTTGCTTTCATTTTTGTGCTCCGGCCCCATCACATACACACCTGAACACACTGTTAGGCCCATCCCGAGTCTTTAAAAGAGATTCTCTATCGACAGAGAAAAATATTCTCCTAATAATTAAGTCTACTTGTTTAGATCCAGAACGAACTAGTTAGTATGTCTCTCTGTATTTTAAACATAGTGAATTTCACAGACATATCTTGGAATGAAGTTTTGGGAGAAGAAAATCTCTTAGATTTCTTTGGCTCTCTACTCAATTTATAGATGAGAAAATCAAGGCTTAGAGATGCTAAGTGGAGCCACCTAAGTGACATGGACCATTGAGACTCGATTCCAGACTCTGTCTCCTGTCTGTCCCTCTAGACACTGCAGCTCTGCATGCCGGCTTGTCTTACCTGAAACCTGAAGAGGAGCTCTTTCATCCCATGCAAAGGAATCAACCACTTCCTGATCATCTGCTCCAGGCTGCTCCTGGGCTGTAGCCTCATCAGCAATTGCCTGGAGTGGCTCCGCCCGAGCCTGCAGGGCCACCAGGAGAATGGCAGCAAGGAGGGCAAGGCTCCTTATGGCTGGGGTCACCTGGAGGAGAGAGAGCAGGAGCGGATGTGTGGGGAGGGAGGAGTCTGCCTAGATTTATAGCTGGGAGAAGGCTCAGAGACAAACCTTCTTGAACCTTCTCAGTGAGAGGAGGTGGAGATTCGTTGGAGAGGGTGTGGATATCCATTGGCTTCAATGTTCCTCCTTTCCTTCTCTGCTCTCCCAGCTTTCATTCTAGCATGCATCTCTATGTTGAGTGTCTTGGCTGGGTTGGAGCTGATGGTGATGATGAGGACCCTGCCATGATGATGTGCTTTCATTCAGTGAATTCAGGGAATAAAGGCCTCTTACTTTCTGAAGATGGGCTCTACTGTTCTCTGGAAGTCTAGACCTGGACCCAGTGGAGTAGAGAATTAATTCATTGCAGGCTTTGAAGGCATTACCACCCTCATGAAGGGGTTTTTGAGGTTACGCGGTGAGGAATCTGCTGTAGGGGCCAGGGTGGAGAGGACAATGACCTCATCAGGCTACAGGTAAAACAAGCTCAGTGACATAAAGAGTTGTCTAAGGCTAAAAATGTCTATGATTTCCATCTCTATTTAGGTGTGAGTGACAAAAATTATATATGTGTAATGTATACTACCTTATGAGTTGATATATGTATATATTTGGACCTTTATCTTATACCATGTAGAAAAATCAAGTCCAAATGATTAGAAGACCTAAACATAGACCCGAAACCATAAAATGATGAGAGGAACAGATGAAGATAAAGCTTTGACGTTGATGTGGGTAATGATTTCTTGGCTATGACACCAACGACACAGGCAATAAAGGGGAAAAGACACAAGTGGAGATGCACTGAATGCTAAAGGATCTGCACGTCAGAAAACAACCAAACAATCAACTGAGTGAAAAGGCAAGCCAGAAAATGAGAGAAAATATTTGCAAACCCTACATGATAGAAAGGGTAAATATCTGAAGACATAAGGAAATCAAACAACTCAATAGCAAAAAACAAATAATCTGATTGGAAAACAGACCAATGACCTGAATAGACTTCTCTCAAAAGAATGCTCTAAAGAGCTATGATCATGTCTACTGGACATGTCAATTAGGACACGTGTGTTTAGAAGGAAACTGCTTGAGTTTCTCTGTTAACTTAGCTGGTAGCCAATGCCCCCAGCAGCCACCAGAGGTTCAGACAGATGTTCACAGCAGGGGATTCACCTGCTGGGCCCCTCTGGGGTGGCCTGGGAGTCACAGTTCAGATTGGGGGCACAGCCTCAATGTTGAAACCTCAATGTGAAAGTTTAAATTTTGTGTTACTTACAGATCCTCAAGCTAGGCAGGGTGAGCAGAGAGGGCAGACAGCAGTCCTGTGTTCCAGGTCTTATGTAGCAAGAGCATCTGTGCACATCCCAGAGAGGACTTCCCCTATTTAAAGGTCTTTGGGGATCAGGTGTCCTAATTTCCAGGGTTATTTTCTGTTGGGTACATTAAATAACTCTGGTGACAAGGACAGTTGAAAAACTTGGTGTGAAGCTTGGGTTCAAACAGGCATCGACAGAGGGACCCCTCACCTACCTTGGTCAGCCCTGGCCAGACCCAGACAGCAACCACCTATGGATTCTCCATGACTCCTAAGACAATTGAGCCCACAATGCCTATGCTCGTGGCTGAGGCTGAACTACCTGGACCGAGGGAATATTTAAAGCCACCAGGAAAGGCCAGCGTGCATAGCGTAGTATACACTCTGTAAGGAGACTAGGAAAAAAGCACCAACCTACACACTGAGGAGGGTTTAGGATTTTGTTCTCTATCAGCCTCTGCAGGCCGTGGGGTCTAACCGTAAAAACACATCAAAGCCATTCAGCCAAGCCCGTAGATGTTGGTGAACACCTGGGTGAGACTGAATACCACTTCGGCTTGTCTTGCTAAGCAGCTCAGGTTTTGCTGGACTCTCCTGAGTTAAGCAAGTACACGTAGCACGTGGTGCCCTAGAGGAGATAGTTATCTCCTTGCTTGGCAGTTAGATACTTTAAGGCTAAAGAATTTTCTAGGAGTAAGAGTTAAAGTGTTTTCAGTAATCTTAAGGTGGTATGAGGCATCTCAGGTCTCTAGGTGTGATTGCTGTTCTAGAGCACTGGGGTCGCTGTCACTCTGAGGAAGCAGTGAGTTTCTGATCTCTAGCAGGCCCAGGAATTTCACCATTTGAGGAAGTGGCCGTGGTTTCATCCCAGCAGAGGAACAAATTAGAGCTCTTTGAGGAACTGGGACCAGGAGATGGTTTTAGGTTCTAGGGCATTAGTAGGTGCCCTGTGAGGGCCCAGTGGATGTGGGTATAGACAGAAAATCTGCAGGGGTGGGCGTGTATGTGGGGAAGGTCCAGTGGTTGTGGGAACATCCAGTGACCTGCAGAAGTCAAACCTGGACCAGCCTCCTGCACACAGAACACTCCAATCCACAGGCATTTTCTCAGTAACACATGAGAGAACTATTATTGGGAGAGCTGGTTAGATTTGGGTGTGGAGTTGTTACACACAGGTCTCAGAAGCCCATATTTTTTGCCTAACTTGTAGGGCAGCTCCACGATCTGGCCTAGTCCTTTGGTTTTTTGCTGTTGGAGATATAGCTAATGGGGTTACTCTGAAGGCAAATGGTGATCTCACAAAATACCATCGTATTGGGTTATCTGCAGAGTACTCAACAAAGCCTGAGCTAAGGAAGCGGTATGGCAAGGGTCGGGGTATGTGCCATAAACCAGCGTCATGTGCTGGGATAGGGAGTGCAGCAGTAAGGAGTAAGGAGTATCCTGTACTAGTAAGGAGAGGCTGCTTTGCTGGTGACCCCACAGTCAAGGCAAGTTTCCTTGGTGTCTCCAATTCCAGCAAGGCCATTGCCTCCCTTGACGACCCCTTGGGCAGGGGCGATGTTGTCTGAAGCCATGGCCATTCCCATGGGGATGGCCTTCCCAGGTGGCCACCCACGACGGGAAGTGGGGGTCTGGGCATTCGCTTTACTGCTGCTGTTGCACAGGCTGTTAGCCCTGTGGGTCTTCAGGGAAGCATTCAGCGAAAGCTTGAGCCGTGTTTTCCTTAGTGGTATAGGACGTTTCCATCCACAACTCTTATACATCAGAGCACATGCATATCCTGGAGCCTGTGATCATTTTGGAAGCTGTCTTTGCATGTGAGGTTCCAATGTGCAAGCTGCAGTCTGGGTTTGTGCTGTGGCATTGTTAGCCGGTTTGAATTCACACCTGGCATTGGCAGGGCCACCTGCTGGTTTTTTTTTTTTTTTTTTTTTTTAGACGGAGTTTCACTCTTGTTGCCCAGGCTGGAGTGCAATGGCGCGATCTTGGGTCGCCGCCATCTCTGCCTCCTGGGTTCAAGCGATTCTGCTGCTTCAGCATACTGAGTAGCTGAGATTACAGGCATACACCACCATGCCCGGCTTATTTTGTATTTTTAGTAGAGATTGGGTTTCTCCATGTTGGTCAGGCTGGTCTTGAACTCCTGACCTCAGGTGATCCGCCAACCTTGGCCTCCCAAAGTGCTGGGAATACAGGCGTGAGCCACCTGCCGGTCTTTAAAATGTTATTTGTGATTGTGAAGGCTGCTGGTGTTTAAGCTCAATGCCAATGGACCCACTCAATATCTAAGAATTGAGTTGCCTGCCTTGGACGGAGGTCAGGTGGCATTTGAGGCACAGCCCCCCTAGCATGGGATTCCAGCACTTCCCAGCTTTCCAGTGTGGGACACAAGTTCTGACCAGGGCAGTCCTGTTCTAGCAGCTTTTGGACTTTGGATCCTGAGTCTGACAGTAGCTCCACAAGCCATGGGAACATAAGATACCAAGCAAGACCAACCATAAAGAGCACTGAGATTTTATCACTCAGGGCTTTGATATTGACATCGATTATGGTGTGAGCTTTCACCAATGTTTCTTCAGAGTCTTTCTCCACCATTGACACAGGCTACATTTGGGAATGATACTTCCATGTGATCATCAGCTAATGTAGTCTATGTCCACTAGTCTGAAGGCTTCTGTTTGTTTAGTGACTCATTCTGTGCCCTTTTTGGGTCTTGGAGCAATAATCCCTACTACCTCCAGGAAGGGGTGAGTGGGAGACATTAGCTAAATTTCAAAGTAGTAAGAACTGGAGCTTCTGCTGGAAGCTGCACGTCAAGATGGGAGGTGTGGTATAGCAGAATCACTGTGGCCCTGCTGGGTACCAGTGGGCCTGGGCTGCCAGTCCTTAGGGACTCACAGCTTACTATCCATCCACAATCTGTTTTCCAGTAAATGTATGATGTTGAGACAATGGACCTCTTATCACAGTATGAGGAGTTATCATTATTGGAGCAAATGTGAATGATGTTATCTGTAAGGGAAAATGAACCTTACTCTTCTGTGATTACCAAAGTGTTCACCATGGTGGGCCTGGCCTAATTATAATGAGGCACTGGTGGCCACAGGGTAGAGAGTTAAGAAAGTTAGGACTCTCAGAAGGGGCTTGGTCCCCTTGGGGTTTCATGCCACAACTTCAATAAGAATGACTTTAGGAGGCCACTGTGCTGCTTGGGGAGGCTGGTGGCTTGGGGGCAATGGGCCAAGTGAGAGTCCCCTAAACCCTCATGCTGTGATGCCCATTCCTATGTCACCACCACTGCCTTGAAGTGGGAGCCTAGGTCTTGATCAATGATATTGGGTGGTTTCCGAGAGGGAAATGTCACAGAGCAAATGTCACAGCAAGAGAGCACCTGCTACACCAAGGGTCTTGGGTTGGAAGAGTTGATGGAAGTGCAGGGTTGTGTGTCTGCTTCTGCACGCAAAGGTGCTGGCTGTGTGGTAGGGGCCCAGTGAAGTCAATGTGCTGAAAGGTTGATGGCCCAGGAACAAGGGAGTGCCGGCCACAGCCTGTGTTAACCACGGCACGGCATCTGCAGTTGAGCATCCCTTGCTTGGTTGGAGATCTGGTGAGAGGCACCAGTGGCCTAGGGTACCCTCTAAAGTGGCCACAGCCTCCAGTGTCTAAAGTTCGGGGGCGCCACTTTGGTTTGAGGGCCAGGATGCCATTCTCTCCACTGCAGATGCTGCTCTACACCTTCTTCTAATCTATTCACATTTTCAATATCTCATGTTTCACCATGAAATTAACCACTGAAAATTCACATTTTCAATATCTCATGTTTCACCATGAAATCCTTTATTGCCACTCTAAGACAAAATGATCTCTGTCTTTCTCCTGAAGTCCTAATGCTTCATGAAGCCACATTTTACCCAGGATATTGTTCTACATTTCAGACTTCAGTGTTTTTGATTTGTTTCTTAAAGGTTTGCTATCACAGGCACTAGACACATGGACTGCCTTACCTCAGTAGGTTTCAGTTTTTTCCTATATAGTTTAGTGATGATAATAGAATTCTATATAATTACATGATATTGGTTATAATTAATTTATCCATAATGAATTTGTTGATCCCCTACTATGTATTAGGCAGTTATCTACGCACTGTGGTATAACGATAAGCAAAACATGCTGCTCACCTTCTATTGTAGGGAGAGAAATGTTACAGATGGTAAGTGAAACGTACAGAAGGTGAGATAGTTACAATTCCACAGTTAGGAATAAAGAGAACAAGAGGGATGGAGGCCACTAGGGGAACTTGTTGCAATTTAAAATTGAGAAATCGAGAAAGACCTCAGTGACAAGGTGAAATTTTAGCTGAGACTTCAGGTCTGGGCAACCAGCTGGTGCCCTTCGGGGTGCAGTGCAGATGCCCCGAGATGGAGTCAGCTCGGCCCCCATGGCAGTTTGGAACAATATGGAAAGTAACTTATGATCGCATGATTTTGAATCAGTGGCAGTTCTTAGAAACTAAGGAAGGCTCCTGCACTTCAAACGGTGAATCCCAATATGTTTCCGTCACTGTCTCAACAAGAGGAAGAGCTCAGACCATTTCTCTGTCACACACAGACTTACTGTGTCTTCCCTGGGACCTGTATTGAGTTCCCCAGCTGTGCGGTGTCTCAGAGGGGTGCCTGGACTCCTGAGCTGCCTCTTCAGATAGGCAGAGCCTCAGTCTGGAGCCACGATCTGCTCAGAATCTGCATGGGGTGTGCGTAAAAACACCTGCATTCTTCTCCTGGGCTCTGGGCATTTGTCGTTAGTGTTGGTGGTCACGGCAGTGTCTGGGCCATGAGACGATTTAGTCAGAAATGGTGAATAACCCACTTGAGACACCTTCCTTTCTTTGAAGCCTGTAATTTTTCTATCCCAGTCAAACTCCTTAGGACCTCTTAACAGTGACCACCTGCTAAGAGTAGGCATGGTTTGAATATAGTTTTTTTTTTTTTTCCCAAACATGTGTTTTGAAATCACTGACTGCAACTACACGATCCAGAGTAAATATGAGGGGCTCACACTGGACTCCCCCTCTGGGCCGGGGGGTCATGTCCTGAAAGGACATCTGCAGGACCTATTGGACAAGGATTCTAGGGTCTGTGGGAATCAGGGGAGCGAAAGAGAGAACAGACAGGTGGAAGGGTCACGTCTCATCCCAGCAAGATGTCAGCCTGGCCTCAGGTACACCAGGGTTAGGCAGTGACCCTGTCCTCTTGAAGGGAGGAGGAAGACAGGCTCAGGAAGGTAGACCCCACGTGTGCTGTGCCTGGTGGGGAGGCTGCAGCTGGAGGCAGGACAGCAGGGGGCGCTGTGGCCTTCCCGACAAATGCTCTGAGCATCTCAGAGGGCTCTCCTGGTTCATTCCCTTTTCCCCAGACCTGGTTTCTTGCTCACTCACTGAAGTGCAGGATGCTTTGGGAATTAGAACCTCAGCGCCCTGCAGCACCAGCAGGGACTCAGGTTACTTGGAGAACTCTCGTCCCTCTCTTCATTTTTCCTGATGCCTTAGAAGCAGTATTTTCCAGGCAGAACCAGATTTTCTGCAGCTTTAAGGTAACCCAAGAGAGTGCCTGTCACCCAGTGCAGTGGAGCAATTGTGTGTGCGCATTTTCTATGTGTGCAGACAACTTTGTGTGTATGAAATCTAGATTCTGGTGGATATGGCTGGAAAATACTCTTAATGAGGACATCCCAGAGGGGTGCCTCTGTGCTTTCTGTTCTACTCATCACGTCTTTGTAACAGCCAGTTCCACTTTAATTGAATTCTTTTTTTCCCATGGAGCTGATTCCATGTCAGGTCTAAAAAGCAGATGTACGATCCAGAACTGCTCAGGGAAACTCAAACACTTCTGGAAAGAACGTGCTGGCTTTTCCTGAGGAGTAGCAGTGTTATGGCTGTATAAGCTTGAAGCTGACAATGATGGTTTATGGAACACGTAAGCATTATCTTTGCATGAATCCAATCAAAATGAGGCAGAGTGAAAAGGCAGAGCAGTAGATGGGGAGATGAGCAGCATCATTTGAGCTTTCCTAACAATGTGTGTCTGAAGCCTTTGTTCATCTCCAATATTCCTAGAATTGGAACTGGCTTTTGTTTAACATGTAGAATTTAGTGTTCTGGTACTTGCATCCCATGGTCTTGACTAAGACACATATCAAACATTAAAGAGGTGCAAACACAAAACTTGCTACAAGGACTTTACGAGAGATGAGGAAAGGAAGCTGGAGACCAAGTACAGTAGTAATGAAAGTTATCTTCTATGTCTGAAAGCTAGTTATGAACTTACTTTCTTCTGTTCCACAAGCTCAGAGGAAGCAGAATTTGTAGTGAATCTCACCGGAGGTGCAGGTTCCATAGTTGCGTTCTTGAAGATGATAATCTCTTATTCTGCAAGAGCATCTCAAGAGGGTTCTTGGGCCTGGGGATACAGAGAGCATCAGGCATTAGGACTGGGGTCAGATGTGGGTGGTAGACAGAATCCCCGTGCAGTTACCTGCTGGGCTGATTGCGTTAATCACAGTGGCCACATCAGAGCAGCAGCAAGATCAGCTGAATCAGTAGGAATCAATGTACACAGCAGTGCTGCTCACAGGCAGGATTAGAGACGCATTCTCATTTGCTCACCTTTTTGTAGTCCTGCTCCATCACCAAGGCATCTGATCACACTCATAGGCCTCTTGCTAGTTTCTAAAACTCTTCTAATAGACAAAGTGAAACATGTTTCTTCAAGAGTGGGCTCTCATCAATGATGCAGGGAAGATGGCCCAGTATGTTTCTGCAGAGCATAAAATAAGTGTGCTTCTCAGAATTGTCATAGACTCAAAAATCTTCGGAGAAAAGTCATCCCTGGAGTATCATCTGGTTCTTTCCTTTTAGTCTACACATGAGGAAATTGAGGCCTAGGGAGGTGATCACCTAAGAGAAAGAGCCAGCTGTTGGGTCTGATTCTAGAGGTGCCTGGTTTTCCTCTCTAGACTCCTAGCTCTGCAATGCTGGCGGCTCTCACCTGAAGCTCTAAAACCTGAGCTTGTGTCCCCAGTGAAGGAGATGGTAAAGTCCTGGTCGTCTGCCCCAAGCTGTTCCTGGGCTGCAGCCTAGTCAGCTCTTGCCTGGAGTGGCTCAGACAGGGCCTGGAGGGGCACCAGGAGAATGGCAGTGAGGAGGGTGAGGGTCCTCATGGCTGGGGTCATCTGGAGGAGGGATAGCAGGAGGGGATGTGTGGGGAGTGAGGAGCAAGCCTGGATTTATAGCTCTACTGGGAGAAGGCCTGAGACAGATGCTGCAGTGACAGGAGGTGGAGCTTGTGATTGGTTGTGGCAGGGCTACCCTTGCCCTCCAGGTCCCTTTTGTGTTCTGGTGTTTTCCCAGCTTTCATCATAGCTTGAGGCTTTATGTTTAGTGTCTGGACTGGATCCAAGCTGATAGTGAGGCTGAGTACCCTTATTTATTTTTCTGTTTACAATCTACTTGAATATTTTCTTTTTGATATTGAAAAATGTAAAGAAACCGTGATTTCATTCATTAAGTTGGGGAACAAATGCCTCTTATTTTCTGAAGATGGGCCCTGCCACTGTCTGGAGCCCCAGATCTGAACCCAGTGGCATAGAAAATTAAAGCAGTGGAGAATTCAGGGACATTTCCACCCTCATGAAGAGGTTATAGGGTGTGTAGCCTCCTCCTGGGGCTGGTGTGAGGACAAAAAGACTTAATCAGGCTACAGGTGAAATGAGCTCATTAGGATACTAGGTCAAGAATAAGTAAAACTAAAGCCAAATGGTGGGTTAATTTTAAGAAACAAATGTCATTTGGACAGATCAGGTAAAATTTCTATCATTAACATATCTGTACTTTAAGAAATATCGAAACAATTGACATGCCTATAGCCCTCTTCTAGGATCTTTGTGATTGTTTTAATTATAAAATCTTAAATCATGCAGACGGAACAACAGGTAGAAAGGGTAATAGGCTCCCGTCTGTTCCCCCAGCCCTGCAGCTCTGCTCTTGGAAACCACCACTTCCCAATTTTACACATTCTTCCACACTTGCTTTTTCCCTCTAATGCTGTGTCTTGTACACTTTGTATATCAAACACATCGAGCTTCAACGTTACAATTATTCCCTATACTTTTCCAGCGTTCGCACATGCCATCACTTTACTATTTTTATACTGGGAAAATATTGTCAAGTTGTCATAATTTGTATATTTCTAAGCTTTGCCATGACAATTTTAAACAGCAATGAATATAATTTTATAGACATCAGTTTGCCCATAAGTGACAATATCTTTTGAATATGTCTTTAGAAGTAGAATTCTGGGTTAAAGAACATGTCTTAAATATTTTGAGTTTATTGTTACATTGTCCTCACTAAAGATTGTTCAATACACTAAAAACAAAAATCACTCCAACCATCACTGAGCCCAGTGGAATTTCTTTTAGAAGGCCCTGTTTTGTGCAAACGTAGTTCCAGTTTTTGCATTGTTGAAATTTGCCGTTTGATATTGGAATACATTCTTAAATAAATGTGGTTATATTATAGACCATTTTAATGCACATTGCTCACTTTATTTTTTTTTGCTAATGACTTATTAGTTTCTGTCTATTTTATATTTATTTTACACTATGGAAATGATGTTAGACAAAAAGCAAATTCCAGCAATTTTCTTAGTTGAATTCAAAATAAGTCGTAAGGCAGTGGAGACAACTCTCAACATCAACAATGCCTTTGGTCCAGGACATTGCATTTTGGCCCACTGCACTAGCCAACTTACAGTGCAGTGGTGGTTCTGGAAGTTCTGCAAAGGAGACGAGACCCTTGAAGATGAGGAGCATAGTGGCCTGCCATTGGAAGTTGACGACAACCAATTGAGAACAATCATTGAAGCTGATCTGCTTACAACTACATAAAAAGTTGCCAAAGAATTCGACATCAACCATTCTGCAGTTGTGCAGCATTTGAAGCAAATTGGAAAGGTGAAAAAGCTAAATAAGTGGGTGCCTCACGAGCTGACAGAAAATAAAAAAAACGTCGCTTTGAAGTGTCGTCTTCTCTTATTCTACGAAACAACAACGAACCATTTCTTGATCAGATTGTGATGTGCAACAAAAAGTGGATTTCATATGATAACCAGCGGAGACCAGCTCAATGGTTGGACCAAGAAGAAGTTCCAAAGTACTTCCCAAAGCCAAACTTGCGCCATAAAAAGGTCATGGTCACTGTTTGGTAGTCTGCTGCCTGTCTGATCCACTACTGATTCAGCTTTCTGAATCCCCGAGAAACCATTACATCTGAGAAATATGCTCAGCAAATCCATGATATGCATCAAAAACTACAAAAACTACAATGCCTGCAGCCGGCATTGCTGAACAGAAAGGGCCCAATTCTTATCAATGCAACACCCAACAGCATGTCACACAACTAATGCTTCAAAAGCTGAACAAATTGGGCTACGAAGCTTTACCTCATCTGCCATATTCACCTGACCTCTCGCCAACCGACTACCACTTCTTTCAGCATCTGGACAACTTTTTTTGCAAGGAAAATGCTTCCACAACCAGCGGGATGCAGAAAATGTTTTCCAAGAGTTCATTGAATCCAGAAGCACGGATTTTTATGCCACAGGAATAAACAAACTTATTTCTTGTTGGCAAAAATGTGTTGATTGTAATGGTTTCTATTTTGATTAACAAAGCTGTGTTGGAGCCTAGTTATAATGATTTAAAATTCATGATCCGAAACTGCAATTACTTTTGCACCAACCTAATTTTTACCAATTGTCATTGCCTTTTCTTCCTGCCTATGTTTAGGGCAGCAATATGTTCCTCTAGGAATACTTGACGTCTTAGACTCTCTTGCAGCTCAGTGACAGCTCTGTTCTGAGCAATAAAAGATAATCCCTAAGAGGGGTAGTCTTTAAAATAATGAAATAAATTTCTGTTTTCCTGTTATAATTTTCCATTATTGTTTTATGTGGTCTTCCTTTTTTCTTCTTGGATCGTGGAAGCACTTGGACTTGCAGAAACAGCTGTCTTTTTACCATGAAGAAGACAATTCCTCCATATGGATGGAGGAGCAGAAAGATACAAGACTGTTTGGTTCTTGAGGCCATGGTTGAGATACTGCACCCACTCCTGTTTGCCCACCTCTGGTTGTGTCACGACTTAGGAGAAACATGATCTGGCCTTTGAAATCCACTGTTTATTTGGGTTTCCTGGTCTTTGTGGCTGAAAGCAGCTGGTACTTGCATTATAGAGCTTTTTAAATCTTTTCTAAAGTGATAAGCAAAATTTGATATCACAGTGGAGTCTTGGTTTGCATTTTTCATGTAAATTAGGCTCAAGAGGATTTAATGCCCAAGAAGCACTTGTATTTATTTTCACTGAAGTGCTTTTTTTTTTTTAAACCTTCTTGGCCTATTTATTTTTATTGACTGGTAGCATCTGTTTATATAGTTTGAAATTAACACTTTGTCATGGGTATTAGAAATATTTTTAGAGTTTGTCATTCTCTATAGGGTTTCTTTTGATGTGTAGTTATTTTTATGTAGATTTAAAATTTATTTGTTGCTTTCTGAGTTTTGTGTCTTTCCCACTTAACCTTGTAAAACTCAGTCTTGCATGTGTTCGTTCATGCTCTGTGCTATGAGTCAGGGTTGCCTTTCCATCTGCTGCCACCCTCCCTGAGGAGGCTGTGCTGTCCCAGGTAGGGCTATCAGGATCCATACCAACTGGACATATGAATGGCACATACAGAGGCCCAACAAGTGTGTAGGAAACATGGCCGTAGATGAAGCTGCTAGATCAGAGAAACATCAAAGCGACATTGTAGCAACAAAGGTGCTCTGTGTGGTCTGTTTCACCTCTTCTGTCCCACTGTGCTGTGCCTCAGTCTTCCCCAAAGTACACACATTTCATTGTAAGCACAGAATTCCATTTCTGAAGGCCCTTATCTCTGATCTTGCACCTGACTGACTTATACACACAGGAAGCCCATGTCTCTTCCCTCCTCAGAGACATTCAGATCCTGCTTCTGCACAGGAGGGGCTGGACCCCAAGATGAATTGCAGTCTTGCGGACCTGTTCTTGCTACAATCTCATGCACCTGTAGACCCTGATGGGTGCATCCAGCTGGCCATATCATTATCTCCAGTCTGTGGAGAGGTCAACAGTACTCCTAGCTACCATTTTCTGAGAGAAATAAGTCTCTTTACTCAGTAATGATGATCAATGGGAATTCTGACTGGTGGCGTCTGGTAATAAACTTGACTTCAGCTACTTAAAGGATGTGGACCAAAATATCAGATCCCAGATGCTTCACATGAAATCCCAAAGGAGGGGCTTTACAAAGGCTTGAGCTGAGGAGAGCCTGTGATGCTCATGTAAGACTCTCAGTCAGCAAATATCCCTTGAGCATCAGCAGCTGTCAGGTTCTAGGCTCAGAACACAAATAACCCAGCAGCTTACAGAAGCCAGCACTGCAGAATTCAGAGGATAGAGAGTATAGGGTATGAATGAAGTATATGGAATTTGGCATCGGTCTTGTTGCTCAATAATTTTTGACTTTGATTAAGGTAAATAATCTGTCTAATGTTCATTTTCTCCTTAATGTATATTTCTGGAAAAAATATTTAATGGTAATTGAGAGTTAGTAGGATTAATGTGAGTATTAGTTATTATAATGGATGGATATTTCTTAGTAATCAATTCATATTAGCTAATATTAGTATATTAAATCTTTTTGTGTTTTGAGAATACTGTCTGGCCTATAGGAGTTATCCAATTAATAGCACTTTTATGATGTCAGACAATGCTGCCTTCAACCCATCATAAATGGGAAGAACATATTAGTGTTCTCATTTTACAGAATACTATAGTTTGATCCATAGGATTAAAGTGTTGCCTCCAAGGATAAAGGTCCAGCATCGTCAAAGCTAGGTTGGAATCCCAGGCCCCTTTTTCCAAATCCCTTCATCTGCTTATGGCATGGGTTCCCAACCCCTGTGCTGAGGACCAGTACCGGTCCATGGCCTGTTAGGAACCGGGGCACACAGAAGGAGGTGAGCGAACATTACCGCCTGAGCTCTACCTCCTGTCAGATTAACGGTGACATTCGATTCTTATAGGAATGTGGACCCTATTGTGAACTGTGCACTCGAGGGATCTAGGCTGTGTGCTCCTTATCAGAATCTAACTAATGCCTGATGATACGAGGTAGAATAGTTTCATCCAGAAACAATCCCTCAGCCCCCCCACCCATGGAAAAATTGTCTTACAACTGTCATTGGTGCCAAAAAACGTGTCCCCAGTAAGTGCCTAACTAAAGTCAAGTGACACTGTGGAGCAGTAGAGGCTTCATGTCCTTCTTGAAGCAGGACAGGACTGGGGCAAGGAGAGAGGTGAGAGATTAAGTTCCAAGTGTGGAGAACAGTGTGTAGAGGAAATGTATGAAGACGTTCAGTAGGACGCTGTGTAGACTGTGCTCACTGAAGGAAGGTTGTAAACATGGGGAATGGCAAGTGAGTTTAGACTGGAAATTGTGGATGAGAAGATTCCTGGAGATTTTCTAGACACAGCTTCACATCTTAAGGATGAGGGCTTAAGAATAGAAGGGGGTGAGTGGAAATGAAACTGCCAAGCACACTTTTCTTTGTGCTTCCATGCCCTGTAGGGATTCAGAGCCTCACAGGGGAAGCCCTACAATGAGACAGGGATGCTATGTCTTGGGATAATCACATTGTGAAAACATGGCCCACCTCTGACTTATTCTTTATCGTTCGATCACATGAGTGGATTCTTTAAAATGCCTAGTAGGTCTTCAGTGTACATACAGAGTTTGTGTTTTCAATAATCATTTCGTGGTCTTATTTGAGGCTGCGAAAATTACCCTGGTTGTCTGGAGACCCTCACATCTCTCCCTGCATTCTCCGTCCCTAGAGTTTGCTGCTTTCATTGGCCACCCTGGACTGCAGTAGCAGAAGCCACATGTGGTGCCCCAGTTGAGGACGATGGGATGCTCCGTCCTCATCTGCCCCCTTCCCTTGGATTGATGGATACTTCTCAGCATGTCGGCCGGAATTCTGCTCTACTCTTCTCTGTTGCAAAAGCAATTCCTCTAAATTCACTGGAGGTCTATCTGACCCTTCATACTTCTTGTCCCAATGCCATTTTCTTTACCTAGAATACTGCTCTACCTCTTCTTTTTAATGTATTGAATTTTTCAATATCTTGTATGTTTCAGTTAAAGATATATCATAAACTCTTGTCTTGCCACTACAGGCCAAAATGGCTAGTTCTTCATTAGAAGGTAGTGATGCTTCACAAAGCCATTTTCTACTCATGATATTCTCCTGTTGGTTTAAATGATTTTTATTGATTTTTAAAGCAATGCTGTCACATGGACTAGGCACATGGGTGCTTTATCCCCATAGGTGTCAGGTTTATTCTACGAAGTTTTGTAATAACAATGTAATTTTGTAATAATATGTGATGTTAGATATGACTAATTAATGTAATCATAATGAATTTGCTGATCCTCTACTATTTATTAGGGAGTCGTCTGTGTACTGTGGCCCAACAATGAGTAAAACTTGCAGCTCACCTTCTAGAGTAGGGAGGCAAACATTACAGAAAGCAGGTGAAATGTACAGAATGTAAGATGGTGTGAAACTCTACAGTTTAAAATAAGAGAAGAAGGGGATTGAGGTTTCCAGGGGGAACTAGTTGCAATTTAAAATTGAGAAATCAGCAAAGCCCTCAGTGACAAAGGGAAGTTTTAGCAGAGACTCCAGGATCTGGGGTGCAAGAAAGGTGGACTTCTGGGTGAAGTGCAAAAGCCGTGTGAGGGAGTCAGCCCAGCCCAGCGGACAGTTAGGAGCAGTATGCAGAGTTAAAGCAAGCACCATGTGACTTCAAGTCAGTGGCAGTTATAGGAACCCAAGGAATGTTGTCTGGCCATTGCATTCTCAATCTTAATGTGTGTCCTTCCTTCTCTAAAGAAGAGGTAGAGCTGGGACCATTTATGTGTCAGTCATAGGCTCATCTATAGTCCCTAAGATCTGTATTGAGTTCCCCAGCCATGCAGCATCTCAGTGGGGTGCCTGGATCCCTGAGCTGCCACTTCAGACAGGCAGAGCCTCAGTCTGGGGCCGAGACCTGCTCAGAATCTGCATGAGGTGGACGTGGGGAATGCCTACTCCTTCCTCCTGGGGTCTGGGCATTTGTGGTTGGTGTTGGTGGCTTCCCCATCCATGCAGTGTCTCAGTGGGGTGCCTGGACCTCTGAGCTGCCTCAGCACCCTGCAACAACAAGAAGGCTACGATTTTCCCGGTGAAATGCTTTCCCTCCCTCATCACTTATCCCCTATGAAGCTGTATTTTCCAGGCAGATTCAGTTCTCAGAAGCTTTAAGGCAACACAAGAGAGTGCCTGTTGCAAAGTGCAGTGGAGCATTTGTGTGTGTGCATTTTCTGGGTGTGAAGAAGAGTTTATGGATGTGAAATCCAGGTCTTAGTAGACATGGCTGGAGGGTGCTCTTAATGAGGACATGCCAGTGTAAGCTGCTGTGCTTTCTGTTCCATGCATCCCACCTTTGCTAACAACACATTTCCCTCTTACAGAAAGTTTTTTCCGTGGATCTCATGTAACCCTATGTCTTAAAAGGAAAATGTACAATCTGACATTGTTCAATGAAACTCCAATTCTTTAGCACAGAGGATGGTGGTTTTCCCGGAGAAGTAATGATTTTGTGACTGCATGAACTTTAAGCTGACACCGATTGTTTGCCCAGTACACGGGAGGGAGCTCTTTGAGTGGATCCAGAGAAAATGAGACAGAGTGAAAAGACAGAGCAGTGGATGGGGAGATTGGTGGTGTCATATGGGCCTTCTTTTCAATTAGAGTCTGAAGCCAAAACTCCTGCTTGAAATTCCTAGAATTTGGAATTTTGTTTTGTTTAAAAACTTAGGATTCTGGTAGGTGCATGCCAAGTGTCTTGAGACACAAAGACACATCAAATGTGAAAGAGATGTAAAGACAGAAATCTTGCGATAAGGTATTTATTTAGGATGAGAAAATGAAATTAAGGACAAGGTACAGGAATAACAAGAATTTCTTTTACTCTCAAAGTAAATAATGAGCTTATTTTTCTTGATTCTGCAAGCTCAGCAGCAGCAGATCCGGTATAATCTACCAGGAAGGGCACAGGACCCAAAGCGACGTTGAAAGAAATGGCAAATTCCTCGTCTGCAAATGCACCTCAAGCCTCTCCCTGAGCCTGGGGACACAGGGACAGCATCAGAAATGGATCACCAAGGTCAACAGTGGGTTGTAAAGGGAATCTTGGAGAAGTCACGTGCCAGCTGATGAGTGATGTTGTCTGCATTAGGGCCGGTAGCATGAACAACCTCAGTCAATAGGAATAAATACACAGAGCAGTGCTGGTCACACAGGATTTGAGACTCATTCTCATTTGCTCTCATTTTTGTGCTTCTGCCCCATCACACACACACCTGAACACACTCTTAGGCTTGGCTCTACTTTTAAAAAACCATTCTATAGATACAGTAAAATATTCTCCTTATAATGAAATCTACTTGTTTAGATCCAGAAAGAAGTAGTCAGACTGTCTCTTCATATCTTAAACCTACTGAGTTTCACAGGCATATCTTGGAATCAAGTCTTTCCTTTTTATTTATTTTTTCTAAAGTGAAAGGATTATTAAGAAAGTAAAAGAGTAAAATAATGGCTGCTCTCCATGCAGAGCAGCCTTAAGTCTTTAAAGACAGAAAACCTGTTAGATTTATTGGGCTCTCTCTTCAATTTATAGATGAGAATACCAAGGACCAGAGATGCTAAATGAAGCCACCTAAGTGACATGGACCATTGAGACTCGATTCCAGACTCTCTCTCCCGTCCAACCCTCTAGACTGTGCAGCTCTCTGCATGCCGGCCTGTCTCACCTGAAAGTGGAAGTGCAGCGCTTTCATCCCATGTAAAGGAAACAGACACTTCCTGATCATGTGCTCCAGGCTACTCCTGGGCTGCAGCTTCATCAGCTCTTGCCCGAAGTGGCTCCGCCTGAGCCTGCAGGGCCACAAAGAGAACGGTGGCAGTGAGGAGGGCAAGGGTCCTCATGGCTACAGAGACTTGGAGGAGGGAGAGCAGGAGCAGATGTGTGGGGAGAGAGGAGTTAGCCTGGGTTTATAGGTCTGCAGAGAGAAGGCTCAGAGACCAGAAACTTTGAAACTTCTCAGTGAGAGGAGGTGTGCATTTCATCGGGGATTGTGTGGGATCCCTTTGGTCTCAGTGTCCCTCTTTTCCTCCTTTGATCTCTCAGCTTTTATTGTAGTGTGAATCTCTATTCACACTAGAAAGTGTGAGTAGATGGATCAGGTGTTTGGAGAAGATGGTGAAGATGAGGATCCTGGCATGTTTTTCCTGTTTCTCACTTCATTCCATATTTACTTTTTAATAACCAAAAGATAACAGCAGTGCTTTTGTTCAGTAAGTTCAGGGAGCAAATGTGTCATTTTCTGCAGATGGCCCCACTACTTCCTGGAGGTCTACACTCTGGCAGCAGGCATAAATTCCTATCAAGTGAAGAGTCATTTGTTGCAGGCATCAAGAGCGTGACCACCCTCATGAAGTCATGGGGTTAGTAGTCTCTTGTAGGAGCCAGTGTGAAGAGGACCATGACCCTATCACGTGATAGGTGAAATGAACACAGTGACATCGAGGTAAAAAGTTCATCTACATCCAAAAGAAATTTTTCCAGCTCTACTGAGATATGAATAAGAATTAAAAATGGTACAGATCTACTGTATACTGCGTTAGGATTTGATGTTCATATACATGTGGTTTTTTATCATATACTAGGTACACAAATCAACTCAAAATGTTTTGAAGACCCAAACATAGACCTGAAACCATAAAATGATGAGAGGAACATATGAAGATAATGCTTTGACGTTGATGTTGGTAATGATATCTTTGCTATGGCAGCAAAGACACAGGCAATGAAAAGAAAAATAGACAAGTGGGGCTGCATTGAACATTAAAGCATCTGAATGGCAAAAATCAAAAAGACAAACAACTGAGTGAAAAAGTGACCCAGAACATGAGAGAAAATATTTGCAAACCCTAAGTGGTAGAAGGGGTAAATATCCAAATACATAAGTAAGTCAAACAACTCAATAGCAAATAACAAATAACCTGATTGAAAAACAGGCCAAGGAGCAGCATAGGCTCCTCTCAAAATAAAATAATGTTTCAAGGCGCTACTATTGTCTCTGTTAGACACGTCAAGTAGGACACGCGTATTTCGAAGGAAATTTCCTGAGTTTCTCTATTAACTTAGCTGGTAGCCAATGCCCCAGGCAACCACCAGAGGTTCAGAGAGAAATGCACAGCAGGGGATTCACCCACTAGGTCCCTCTGGGGTGGTCCAGGAGTCACAGGTCAGACTGGGGGCACAGGCTCAATGTTGAAACCTCAATGTGAGAGTTTAAGGTCTGTGTTAATTACAGCTCCTGAAGTTAGGCAGAGTGACCAGAGAGGGCAGACAGCAGTCCTCTGTCCCTGGTCTCCTGTAGCAAGAGCAGCCGTGCACAAACATTAGGGGACTTCCCTATTTAAGGGTGATTTGGGATCAGGTATCCTAATATCCTGGGTTACTTTCTGTTGGGTACATTAAATAACTCTGGTGGCAAGGGCAGTTGAGAAATTTGGAGGGACGCTGTGATGTAGACATGAGTCCACAGAGAACCCCGCATCTAACTCGGTCAGCCCTGGCCAGGCCCAGGCAGCAACCAATGATAGATTCCATGACTCCTAAGACAATGGACCCCGAGATGCCTGTGCTGATGGCTCAGGCTGAGGTAATTGCACCCAGGGAATACTTAAAGCCCCCAGGAGAGCCTGGCCTGCATATCACAGGATACACTCTGTTAGGGAGACAAGTTACGACAGACACCCATGCACAGGAGAGGATGAGGAATCTTGCCTGAACCAGCCTCCCAAGTACCTGTGCTCTAACCGTAACAACACATCAAAGCCGATTGGCTGGGTTGGGATGTTGCAGACCACCTGGTTGAGACTGAATCCCACGTCGGCTTGTGTTACCAGGCAGGGCAGGTTTTGTTGGGTTTGTTAAGGATGTGCACACAGCATGTGGTTCCCGGGAGCGGACAATTGCCTCGTTGCTTGGGCAATGGACAGTTTAAGGCTAAACGAGTGTCTAGGACCACTGGCGCCAAGGACTCCTGAGTTTCCTGCTTGAGATCTAATGTCTTTTGGAAGTCTCTCAGGGAGGCGGCCAAGGTGGAAGCAAGATGGGTGTTAGCTTACATCACCTGGTGCTGTGTTCTCAAATACCTTGCTCTTAAGTCAATTCTGGGCAGGCTTAAGAGCCTCCATACACACGGCGTGAGTGGGAAGATCACTGGTCACTCGAGATATGCAGGATTGAGCTCCTGTGGTCCCTCCTGTGTTATTTCAGGAGAAGTCCTAGGAAAACTAGAGCACATTTTAAAATGTACCACTATCCACCCTCCTCCTCCTTCTCATAGTGAGGTAGATGTGATAAGGTTTCTGGAAATGAGAAAAGAAAGCAGTCACTCGAGAGGCAGTAAATACCTGTGGTGAGGTTGCTGAACCCAGTGTACAGGCCAGACAGCCCCTGCTGCCATGGGAAGGTCATGCACAGCGCTGGTCCCACAGGCTGGGTGCTCAGGGCCTCCCCTGCAGCTCTGTGTGCAGGCAGCAGGCATCGGCCGGTGGAGGCCTGGGGGCAGTGGAGTGAGAACTAAAGCATCTCCCTCAACCTTAAGGTAGAGGAGGCATCTCAAGCCTTGCTAGGGGCGGTCACTGTGGCAGAGCAGTGGGGTCTCCTGTCCCTCTGAGGAAGCAGTGAATTCCTGATGTGTGGCAGGCCCAGGAACTTCAGCTTTGGAGGAAGTGAGCACCAGTCTCACCCCAGCATAAGAAGAAATTTGGGCTCTTTGGGGAAACTGAGGCTCTGGTGACAGTTTTAGCTTCCAGGGCATTAGTAGGTGCCTGTAGGGTCGCAATGATGAGGTTATAGGGACTAAATATGAAGGGGTGTATATGAGCGAGAGGAAGATCTCCGGGTTCTGGAAATGTCCCATGTCCTGCGGAAGTGAAACCTGGACCTGCTTCCTGCACACAGAGCACACTCCAGTCCATAGGCATTTCCGCAGCACTGCATGAGCGTTATCACTGGAGAGCTGGTGAGATTCGGGCATGGTATTCTTACACACAGTTCTCCCAAGTCCATAGTTTTCCGTAGCTTGTAGGGCAGCTTTACAATCTCACTGAGGCTCTATGGGTTCCTTGCACCATAAAGTAATGGGCTTATTCTGAAAGCAAATGGTGATCTCAGCAAAATTCCACTCTAATGAGGTCATTTTTGGGGTAATCAGCAAAGCATGAGGTCAGGGAAGCAGCAAGTCAAGGGTTTGGGTACTGGCCATGAGCCAGCACCGTGTACTGGAGATGGCAAGGTCCGTGTTTGTAGCAGTAAGGAAAGGCTGGTTGGTGGTGATCTCGTGGTCAAAGTGATTTTCCTCTACAAGGGACTTAAACAAATAAGTAAGCAAAAAAGAAATGACCCCTTTAAAATGCGTGCCAGGGCATGAACAGATACTTCTCAAAAAAAAGACATACAAGAGGCCAAGAAACATGAAAAAATGCTCCACATTACTGATCATTAGAGAAATGCAAAATAAAACCTCAAAGGGATACCAGCTCACACTAGTCAGAATGGCTGTTATTGAAAAGTTAAAAAATACTGATATTGGCAAGACTGCAGAGAAAGAGAACGCTTATACACTGTTGAGGGGAATGTTAATGAGTTCAGCCATAGTGGAAAGCAGTTTAGAGATTTTGCAAATAACTTAAAATAGAACCAGCATTCAACCAAGGAATCTCACTACTGGGTATATATCCAAAGGAAAACAAATTATTCTGCCAAAAAGACACATGTACTCGTATGTTCATGGCAGCATCATTCATGCTAACAAAGACATGGAGTCAACCTAGATGGCCATCAGTGTTGGACTGGATGAAGAAAATGTGGTACATATACATGATGGGATACTACATTCATAAAAGAGAATGAAATTATGTCATCTGCAGCGAGTGGGATTCAGTGAGAAGGTGCCGTCTATGAATCACAAAACTGGTCCTCACCAGACACCAAGTGTGTTGGCACCTTGTTTTGGACTTCTCAGCCTCGAGAACACCAAGACATATATTTCTGTTGTTTCTAAGTCACTTGGTGTATGGTATTTTTTTCCAGCACTCCACATACACTCAGATTGCTTGTGTCTTTGAAGCCCGGATACCATGCTTGGAGGAAGTCTAAGTGTTGCAAATCCTGCTAGCTATGAGTGGGATACAAAGTGTCACACCAATCTCCTCCTTCATGAACCGGCATGATCTGACATCAGTGCCTCACAGGGTCTCATCCCTGAGCCCTGTCAGAGCTGCAGCTGAGCCAGCACCCCCTGCCACCTGTTCACAAGTGTCTTGGGCCTGAGGTTTTCAGATCCCAGCAGCACTTCTCCTCTGATGCCTGTGGAGAGAGCCACCTCCCAATTGCAAATGTGTGAATGAAGACCTGATCATGTTGTTTTAATCCATTAAGTCTTGTGGTGTCTTTTCATAGAGCCCTAGATGAACAGAGGGCAATTTTCACAGTATTGGTGACAAATTGGACTTGTACTTTGTGTGTGTGTGTAAATCTCAGCTTCTCTAAAATATTGATGAAATAGGAGAGAACTTTCTCAATTGAATCCCAAAGTGTCACAAAGAGCCCATTGTGGTGGGGGCATGGAATTGTGGACTCTTTGGAGTGACTGAGGAACCCTGTCTCACCCATTCTTAGTTTGAATTTTTCCTGTGGGGAGCTGGGGTAGTGTGGGATCCAGGTGGAGTCTCAACCTCTCCCCTCAGTGACAGACTCAGAAGAGGGTGCGGAACTCCAGAGCTGGCTGAAACAACGGAGAGAGAAGTAGGGGTTTTCTCCCGGAGATCAGCTATGAAGTCCCAGGGAGGATGACCATTATTCACACGACTGTCATCTGGGGAGAGACCCCCAGTTAAGATCAAGAGAAAAAAGCGGGAAACAAAATGGTAAAGACAACAAGGTAACTCATGCCTAGAGTCCTTGGATCAGGCATTTTATGAAGCCAGAAGCCTTTCTTTTCTTTTCTTTCTTTCTTTCTTTCTTTCTTTCTTTCTTTCTTTCTTTCTTTCTTTCTTTCTTTCTTTTTTTTCTTTTCTTTTCTTTTTTTTTTTGAGGCAGAGTGTAGATCTGTCACCCACGCTGGAGTGCAGTGGCGCGATCTTGGCTCACTGCAACCTCCACCTCCCAGGTTGAAGCGATTCTCCTGCCTCAGCCTCCTGAGTAGCTGAGATTACAGGCACCCACCACCACACCCGGCTAATTTTTCTATTTTTAGTAGTAGAGACAGTTTTCACCGTGTTGCGCTGTCTGGTCTTGAACTCCTGACCTCATGATCCACCCTCCTTGGCTTCCCGAAGTGTTTGGATTACAGGTGTGACCCACTGTTCATGTGGGGCATTCAAAATGTTAATTCAGCTTGTTGTGGTTTCTTAAATTTGAGTGCACAACTCCGCTAATATGCCTGAAAAAGATACAACAAAAATTACCCAGATAAGAGAAGCTGAGGCAAAATGGTGCAGTGCATAAGAATAGGAAATGAGAGCGGATGGCAGGTGTCCTGGGTGCAGCCTGGAGAAGAGACTCCTGGATGATTCCCATGCACAGCCCCGGGGGAGAACAGCCTTATTGATGCTGATCAGCAGAGAAGGAGGGACGGCTATGTGAGAGGCTGGAGGACAATGGGTGTGTCAGGGACAGGAATTTCATAAGTGATGTTCAGAGGTGCAGGAATTCCAGGTGGTGCAGGAGTTAGGGAGTAGCCATGGGGTGGAAGGCTGGTACGAGGTGGCGGTCCCTGTTATCCAGGAGGACACAGAATTGAGATGTTGGGAGGTTGACTTCTAGGAAATGTTAGAGTGAGCTCTTTCCCTTAGTTTCTTCATGAGTTATTTGTTTTTTTCGTGAACACGGAAAAAATACAGATATTCCTAAAATGGAATGAGTTCTTTTCAGATCTCTTTCCTTCTGGTTTTGCTTATAAGCCGAGTTTAGAAAATCAGAACAGGAACAGCAAAAGAAACCTATTTCATTTTTTGTACAAGTAAAAATTAACCAAGACCTTTTAAAAATGTGAAGGAAGCACTTATTGAAGACTGTTGAAATGGGAGTCAGAACGTTGCAACAGGGAGAGCCGTTGGCCTCAACTTTCCTGAAGCCAAAGCGGGAAGGTTAAGGCCTGGGTGAGCTAGCGGAAATGCACTGGAGGTTGGTAGTGGGAGTCTTGCAGTGTGATTGGGCCATCTGCGTTTGCTAGTTTGTGCTTATTGGAGTTAGGCTCCTGCCTGCCTACAGAGACAGGGCTGCTGTCCCCTTGAGTAGTTACATTTAAAGGGATGAGGCATCTAACTTATTCCTTATTTCCTTGTCCTGCCGCATGAATGGCTCATTTCCGGTAGAAAAGTTCTTGCATGTCATCACTAATCCTAGAGTGTATGTGCATCCCAGTAAACAGTGTTGTGCCTCATTTGAGGCTGAGTAAGTTGCCCTGGTTGTTTGGAGACCCTCACACCTCTCCCTGAATTCTCCGTCCCTAGAGTTTGCAGCAGTCATCGCCCACCCTAGACTGCAGTAGCAGAAGCCACATGTGGTGCTCCCAGTGTGCCTTTATCCACACAGAGGAGCAGGGAGGCTCCGTTCTCATCTGGCCCTTTCCCTTGGATTGATGGATGCTTCTCAGCACATCAGCCTGAATTCTACTCCGTCCTTCTCTCTGGCAACATCCATTCCTCTGAATTCAGTGGAGGTCCACCCTCATCCTGCATAGCTCTTGCCCTGATAGCATTCTGTCCACCAAACATTTCATTCTACCTCTTCTTTTAGTCATTCCATGTTTTAAACATATTGATGTTGTACTTGAAGATTCACATGAAATCTTTTTGCCTGCTTTAGCCGGAATGGCCTGCTTCTTCTAAGGTCCTAAAGCTTCATGATGCCAAATAGTACCCATGATGTTTTTTCATGTTTCAGCCTTGAATACTTTTATTTATTTTGTTTTTTAAAGGTGTGCTGTCATAGGGTCTAGAAAATGGACTGCTCTACCTCTGTTGAATTTAGCTTTTTCCTGTGGAATTTAGGAATAACAATTAATAAATCATTTTATATTGTTATGTGCTATTAGATGCAATTAGTTAATGTAATCAGAATTAATTTATTAACCCCCTACTTTATGTTACAGTCATCCATGCACTCTGGTACAACAATAAGCAAAACATGCAGCTTCCCTTCTGGAGTAAGGAGGCAAATGTTACGTATAGTAAGTGAAGTGTACAGGGAGTGAGATGGTTGCAATTCTATAGTTAGCAATGAGGAAAATCGGAGAATGGAGGTCAGCAGGGGGATCTTGTTGCAATTTAAGGTTGAGAGATCAGAAAAGACCTCAGTGACCAAGTGAAGTTTTAGCTGAGACCTCAGATGCTTGGGAGAAAGTCAGGTGGACCTCTGGCAGATGCCCCAAGATGCAGCCATCTTGATCCAGTTCATAGTTCAGAATACTATGGAAAGTTAATTCAGGGACCACATGATTCCAAGTCCATGGCAGTCACAGGAAGCCAAAGAAGGTTCCTGGGCTTCACACCGTGATTCCCTATTTGTGTCCTTCATCATCTAAACAAGAAGAAGTCTGGGATCATTACGCACTCTGTCCTCCCAGGGTTCTTGGTGGGCTTCCATATCCATGCAGTGTCTCAGTGGGTACCTGGGCCCCTGGGCTGCCTCAGCCCCCTGCAGCAACAAGAACGCTACCATGTTCCTGGTGAAATGCTTTCCCTCCCTCGTCCCTTATCCCCTCTGAAGCTGTATTTTCCAGGCAGAATCAGGTTCTCAGCAGCTTTAGGGTAACACAAGAGGGTGCGCGTTGCAAAGTGCGGTGGAGCATTTGTGTGTGTGTGTTTTCTGGGTGTGAAGACAACTTTATGATTGTGAAATCCAGGTCTTAGTAGACGTGGCTGGAGGGTCCTCTTAATGAGGACGTGCCAATGTGAGATGCTGTGCTTTCTGTTCCATGTATCCCGCCTTTGCTAACAACCCATTTCCCTCTGAATGAAAGTTTTTTCCGTGGATCTCATGTAACCCTATGTCTTAAAAGGAAAATGTACAATCTGACATTGTTCAATGAAACTCCAATTCTTTAGCACAGAGGATGGTTTTTTTTTCCCGGAGAAGTAATGATTTTGTGACTGCATGAAATGTAAGCTGACACCGATTGTTTGCCCAGCACACGCGAGCTCTTTGAGAGTGGATCCAGAGAAAATGAGGCAGGGTGAAAAGGCAGAGCAGTGGGTGGGGAAATCAGTGGTGTCATATGGGCCTTCTTTTCAATTTGGATCTGAAGCCCAAACTCCTGCTTGAAATTCCTAGAATTTGGAATTTTATATTGTTCAAAAATTTGATTTTGCGTTTTGGTACGTGTATCCCAAGTGTCTTGACACAGACACATATCACACATTAAAGAGGTGGAAACACAGAAATCTTGTAACAAGGCATTTATTTGGGATGAGGAAAGGAAATTGAGCAGAAGGTACAGGAGTAATAGCAATTCCCTGTAGCTCTCAAAGCAAATTTTGAGCTCATTTTTCTTTTTCTGCAAGCTCAGCAGCAGAATGCCCAGAGTCTTCCCTGGTAGATGCAGGTTCCATAGCGACGTTCTCCTGCAATGCACGCTGGTATTCTGCAATAGCAGGCCATGTTTTTCCTTGAGCCTGGGACAGGGAGAGCATGAGAAATTGAGTATGGAGTTAGCAGTGGGTAAGAAAAAGAATCTCGGGGAAGTCACATGCTAGCTGACAGGTGATGCTGGCTGCATTGCAGCCGGTAGCACGAACAACCTCAGTCGATAGGAATAAACACGCAGAGCAGTGCTTGTCACACAGAATTTGAGACTCATTCTCCTTTGCTCTCATTTTTGCATTCCTGCCCCATCACACACACACCTGAACATACCCGCAGGCTTGGCTGCAGTTTTTAAAAGCTCTTCTGTAGATAGAGTAAAATGTTCTCTTTACAACTAAGTCTACTTGTTTAGATCCAGAAATAACTAGTCTGTCTCTTCATATCTTAAACTTAGTGAATTTCACAGACGTTTCTTGGAATCAAGTCTTTGGAGAAATAAAGTTTCTCATGTTTATTTGGCTCTCTGTTCAATTTCTAGATGAGAAAATCAATGCCCAGAGATTCTAAGTGAAGCCACCTCAGTGACATAGACTGCTGAGACCCAACTCTGGAACCTCTCTCCCGTCCTTCCCTCTAGACTTAGCAGCTCTGCATGCCTGCCTCTCTCACCTGGATGCTTTGGAGCCAAGCTTTCGTCCCATGCAAGGGAAACAACCACTTCTGGGATGTCCGCTGCAATCTGCTCCGGGGCTGCAGCAACCTCATCAGCTCTTGCCTGGAGTGGCTCAGCCTGGGCCTGCAGGGCCACCAGGAGAATGGCAGCAAGGATGGCGAGGGTCCTCATGGCTGGGGTCACCTGGAGGAGGGAGAGCAGGAGCAGCTGTGTGGGGAGGGAGGAGCCAGCCTGGATTTATAGCTCTACTGGGAGAAGGCTCGGAGACAAGAAACCTTCCTCAATCTCAGTGAGAGGAGGTGTGCATTTTATAAGAGAGGCCCATTGGTCTCAAGGTTGCTCGAATGCTCCTGTTCTCCCAGTTTCATGCTAGTATACATCTGTACCTTTAATGTCTGTGCTAGGTTGGAGCTAATAATGACAAGAAAGACCCTGCTATGTTACTCGTGGGTTCACCTGCTTAAATATTATGACTCACTTTTTAACATTCCAAAAAGAATAGAAATTGCACTTTGATTCAACAGGCTCAGGGAACAAATGCTTCTTATTTTCTGAAGATGGGTCCTGCTGTTCTCTGGAGGTCTAGATTCTGGTGTCCTATATGAGTTCCAATGGAATAGCGAGTAATTCACTTCAGGATTCAGGTGACTTACCATCCTCATGAAGAGGTTTTTGAGGTTATGGGGTGAGTAGTCTCCTGTAGGAATCAGGGTGGAGAGGACAATGATTTTATCAGGCTAAAGGTGAAATCAGCTCAGTGACACAGAGTGGTTTAAGTAAAAAAAAGAAAGTTTATTATTTCCACCTCTACTTAGACTTGAGTAACAATTAACAATTGTATATTTATAGTGTACACTACCTCATGATTTTATATATGTATGTATTTAAATCTTTATCTCACACCATGTAGGAACATCAACTCAGAATGAATTGAAAACCTAAATGTAACAACTGAAACCATAAACTACTAGAAGTGTATAGAAGGATAAAGCTTTTGACATTGATGTAGGTAATGATTTCTTGGCTATGACACCAAAGGCACAGGCAATAAAAGGGAAAATAGACAAGTGTGGCTTCATTTAACGCTAAAGCATCTGCACAGCAAAGGAAACAATCAACCGAGTGAAAAGATAACCCAGAAAATGAGAGAAAATATTTGCAAAACCTACATGGCAGAAGGGGCAAATATCTGAATACATAAGGAATTCCAACAACTCAATAGCAAAAATCAAACAACCTGATTGAAAGACAGACCAAGGACCTAAATAGGTTTCTCTCAAAAGAATGTTCCAAAGACCTGTGATAGTCTCTACTGGACATGTCAACCAGGACATGTGACATGTGTATTTAGAAGGAAACTGCTTGAGTTTCTCTATTAAGTTAGCTGGAAGCCATCGTCCCCAGCAGTCACCAGAGGTCCGGACAGACGTTCCTAGCAGGGATTCACCCGCTGGGTCCCTCTGGGGCGGCCCCACAGTCAGAGGTCAGATTGGAGGCATAGCTTCAATGATGAAAACTCAGTGTAAAGTTTAAGTTTTGTAGTACTTACAGATCCTCTAGCTAGGCAGGGTGACCAGAGAGGGCAGACAGCAGTCCTCTGTCCCAGGTCTTCTATAGCAAGGAGCAGCCGTGCACAAGTGGACTTCCCCTATTTAAAGGTCTTTTGGGATGAGGTGTCCTAATTTCCGGGGTTACTTTCTGTTGGGTCCATTAAATAATTGTGGTGGCAAGGACAGTTGAGAAATTTGGTGGGAAGGTGAGGTTAAAGTAGAACTCCACAGAGGAACCTCTCATCTACCTTGGTCAGCCCTGGCCAGGCCCAGGCAGCAACCAACTATGGATTCTCAATGGCTCCTAACACAGTTGACCCTGTGATGCATTGGCTGTGGCTAAGCTGAACTACCTGCACCAAGGGAATATTTAAGGCCTCTGGGACAGCCTGGCTGCGTATCATAGTATACACCCTGCAAAGAGATTGGGATAGGAATGCCACCTGCACACAGAGGAGGATTTGGAATGTGTTTCTAAAGCAGTGTCCCGAGGACCTGGGGTCTAACCATAAAAACTAATGAAAGCCATTTGGCTGAGCTGGGATGTTGGAGAACACCCAGGTGAGACTGAGTGCTACCTGGGCTTCTGTTGCTATGTGGAACAGACATTTTTGGGTTCTCCTGAGTACTGGATGTACACGCGGCATGTGGTTCCCCAGAGGTGACTATCACCTGTTTGCTTGGCCAATGAACAGTTTAAGCTTAAACAATTGTCTAGGATCATCTGGGCCAGGAACTGGTCTGAGGCATTAGCCATCAGGGTGGGAGTGGCCTTTCCAGATGGCCACCCAAGAAAGGAGGTGGGAGTTTGGGCATTCACTTTACTGCTGGTGTTGCACAGCCTCTCAGGCCTTGTGGGCCTTCAGAGAAGCATTTAGCAAAAGCTTGAGTGGTGCTTTCTGGGAGGCATAGGAGTTTCCATCCTTAACTCGTACACATTGGAGAACAGGCGTATCCCTTAGCCCATGATCATGTCTGGATGCTTCCTGTGAATGCAAGGCTCCAACTCTTCAGGCTGCAGTCTGGGTGTGTGCTGCGGCGTCATGAGCCCATTTGGATTGAAGCCTGTGCATCCAGAGAACTACCTCCTCATCCTTAAAACACGATCTGTGGTTGTGAGGGCTGCTGGTGTTTAAGCATTGGTGCCATGGGACCCATTCAATATCTAAGGGTTGAGTTGCCTGCCTTGGACACAGGTCAGGTTGTATTTGGGGTACAGCCCCTCTAACAGGGCTTACAGGGAATTCCCCAGTTTTCCAGTCTGGGGTACAAATTCTGACTAGGGCTGTCCTGTTCCAGCAGCCCTCTAGGCTGCCAGGCCTGGGTTAAACAGCTACCCCACAAGCCATTTGTACATAAGATACCAAGCAAGGCCAATCATAGAGAACACTGACATCTTGTCACTCAGGGCTTTCTTCCCAGTGCTTCTATATTGACACTGATGATGGGGTTGGCTGGCACCCACTTTTCCTTGGAGCCTTTCTCCCCCATGGCCACGTTTGGTGATGGCACTTCCATATGGTCTTTGCCTGACGTAGTTGGTGTCTCTAGTTTGAAGGCTTCTTCTCCTCGTTACTGCCTCTGACTGCACCCTCGGTGGGTTCTGGAGCAATAATCCTTACTTCCTGCCAGGAGGAGTAAGTGGGAAATATTAGCTAACCTTTAAAACCGGTAAAAAAGGGAGCTTTTGCCGGAAGCTGCATGTGAAATGGAGAGGTGTGGTGTAGCAAAAGCCTCGTGGTCCTGCTGGGTGCCAGTGGGCCTGGGGGGTCATCCTCAGAAGATCGTAGTTTACTATCCATCCACAGTCCATTGTTCAGTACATGTTTGATGTTGAGATGGTGGATGTCTTGTGATGATATGGGGAGGTCTCATTATTGGAGAACATGTAAATGATGTTATCTGTAAGGGAAAAAAGAAGCTAACTCTTCTGTGATCACCAAGATAGGCACCAAAGTGCGTCTAGCCCAATTGTGATGAGGCAGTGGTGGCCATGGGATTGAGAGTTAAAAAAGTGACGGCCCTTGGAAGGACCTTGGTGCCTTGGGTCTTGGGTGTCCATAGCACATCCAGAGACATTAATAACCATGACTTTAGGAGGCCACCGTGCTGCTTGAGGAGGCTGGTGGCTTGGGGACGATGGACTAAATGAGACTCCCTTAACCCACCCTCATGTTGTGATGTCCTGAGGTGGGAGCCTCCATCTGAATCAATGATAGGTGTGGTTCTAAAGGAGATAGTGAAGAAATGCCACGTAAAGAGAACACCTGCTCCACGCAGGGCATAAGGAGCTACGGTCCCTGGAAGACTACATGTGCAGAAGCTCATAGTTAGGACAGGTGTGCTTTGTCCAGAGGCTCTGAGACTTATGATGGGTGGTAGTGAGGGCCTCCCCATGAAACTCAGAACCCGGGACCCGGGCATGGACTAGAGAGATCACCTGCTGGACCAGCAACAGACTGTATCCTGCTGTGGCCCCAGTGGATGTGAAGGGCTTCTGGGTGATGGCATTTGTGGGCCTCAGCAGAATGGACAAGTGGGGTATAGCTGTCTCCAAAGACACGATGTCCCAGTACATGGAGGGCCAGCTGCAAAGTGGCTAGGACACTAGTGGTGAGGATTTGGTTTTTAACTGCAAGGGGACTTTGTCAGCCCACTGACGACAAATCGATGCCCAGAATCTTTACAACAGTGCTGGAGGGGCCATGAGTGTGTCCTGCAGAAACCTGGCCACTGTCCAGGAAGAGGGAGAGCGGGTGCAGCAACCCTGCCACAGATGTGTGTCCTGGCCCAGGCGGTGGCTTTACATGCAGCACCCAGAGCGATCTGGGGAGCTGAGGGAGAACAGAGACCCTCCAGCTGGCTCAGAGTCACGGGTGGCTCCTGTCCCTGGAGGGGTGGCCTTCTCTGCCCCAACCCTGTCTTGTGCTCTCCTTCCCTCCCATTCTTGGCTGCAGGACTGGGAACCATCTGCTGGGACGTTGCTCTGTGTCTCCCTCATGGCCATGCTCCCATCCTTGCCTCCTCCATAGACTGCGGTCAGGACTCGGCAGCCCAGAGCCCCAGCAGGGTCTCAGTCTGTACTGAGGTCACACCTAGGCATTGTCGCCATCCTTCCGCAGGTGATTCTCAAACTCCAAAACTCAAATTAGAACAGAGAGATTCTTCCCTGTGGTCCTTTTCACCTTTCTCTTTGGGCTGCACCGGAACCTTGGCAGAATTTTGTGGTTTAAACAAAAAAGGTGTTATGTCTACAGATTTTTTACAGTACTTTCACTTCCATGTTGATCCATAGTCCCCAACCCCAGCCTGATGTTTTCCACTGATTGCAGCCAGTGTAGACAATCAGTGTCCACACTGTGGACACTATATGTAGATGCAGCTGAAGCTGTTTTTTTCAGACACACGCATTTGAATTTTAGGGAATATTGAAGCGAGTCTAGACTCAATAAAAACCTTGACATCATTAGGCTGGGGTAAACATTCTGGAGAAGCTGTGGGTGGGGTTGTAGGTGTGAGAGGAGAGAAGCTTCCAGGAGCAGCACACATATTCTCACACATGTTTATGGTGTCTGGTGGCCTCAGCAGACACAGTGTGTGTGGACCTTGGGCGGGGCCCTGGGGTTATGGTTTTGACCCGGTAGGAAAGGGTAGTCATGGAACACAGCATGCGTGTTACCATGGGGCGCAGCGGGGGCTACGCAGAGGTGAGCTCTGAGGAGGACCCTCCACCTCCCAGCTCCTCAGAGTGCATCGCCCTGTCCCTCCCCTCAGCCCTTTGTCCACTGTCCTGCAGGGAGGGTCCTGGTGCTGCCTGTGCCACACAGTCACTCCCGGGCCTGCAGATCCAGCTGGGACAGGTAGGAGCTCCAAGTCCCTGCCCTTTGTCTGCCTTTCCCAGCCGCCTCTCACAAGCTGTCTGTGTGTCTGGTGTTGAGGATTGCAGCAGGATTATTTTACAATAAACCATAAGGAAATAGCTTCCTTGAGCTGTTTTAAAATATGGCCCTAAATCCCTGACTCTTTTCACATAAAAATGGAGGTGAAAATGTCTCCTGTTGAATCTAGATTGGGCGACATCTTGACCAGTTGAACACACCTGACTGAGCACCGTGCTGTTTGTTGGGCTAAGGTCATAAGAAGTTGGTATCTTTCACTTCCTGTGTATTGGATGGTGCTGCAGCCTGAATGTTTTTGTCCCTCTGAAATTCATATGTTGAAATCCCTCCTCTGGTGATAGCATGAAAAGGTGGGGCTTTCTGGGAAGTGATATGTTCAGGAGGATGGAGTCCTCATGAGTTGCATTAGTGCCCCTGAGGAAGAAGCCCCAGAGAGCTCCTTCATTCATTCCCTCAGGTGAGGAAGCAGTGAGAAGGTAGCATCTATGAACCAAAAAGCTGGTCCTCACCACACACCAAATCTGTTGGCACCTTGATTTGGACATCTCAGCCTCCAGAACACTGAGAAATGTATTTTTGTTGTTTATAAGTCACTTGGTGTATGATTTTCTTTCCCCCAGCATCCCACATATACTAAGAGTGCTGGTGCCTTTGAAGCCCAGCTACAATGCTTGGAGGAAGTCTAAGCATTGCAAAAAAAGGAACTGAACCCACCTGCAAGGAAGAGCTAGAGAACCCAGAGCAACCAGCTTTCTAGGAAAAACAAAACTCTGATACGCAGTGTTTGTAAATCTCTCTGGTTCAAATCCTCCTAGCTATGAGTGGGATAAAAAGTGTCACACCTATCTTTTCTCTCATGAGCTGGCATGACCTGGCCTCAGTGCATCACAGTGTCTCATCCCTCAGCCTGTCAGAGCTCCCACTGAGCCAGCCCAGCACTCCCCGCTACCTGTGCGCAAGCGTCTTGGCCCTGAGGTTTTCAGCTCCCAGCAGAACCTCTCCTCTGTTGCCCATGGGGGGGGCTATGTCCCAATTGCAAATGTGTGAATGACGACCTGATCGTGCTGTTTTAATTCCCTACGTTTTGTGGTGTCTTTTCACCAGCCCTAGATGAACAGAGGGCATTTTCACAGTATTGCTGAGGAATTCGATTTGTACATATTTTGTGTGTGTAAACCTCAACTTCTCTGAAATACTGATAAAATAGGAAGGAATTTTCTCAACTTCTTCCCAAAGCGTCACAAAGAGCCCATCATGGTGGGGGATGAAACTGTGGACTCTATGGAGTGACTGAGGAAACCCTGTCTCATCCATTCTTAGTTTGAATTTTTCCTGTGTGGAGGAGGGGTAGTGGATCCAGGTGGAGTCTCAATCTCTCCACTGAGGGACAGACTCAGAGGAGGGCATGGGACTCGGGAGTTGACTGAAACAATGGAGAAATCAATAGGGGTTTTCTCCCGGAGATCAGCAACGGAGGCTGTGGGAAGATAACCACAATTCATGTGGCTGTCACTTGGGGAGCGAGCCCAAGTTATCAAGAGAAAAATGGGGGTGATAAAAGGTAAAGACAAGAAGGACTCTTATGCTTTGGGTCCTTCAATCAGGGATTTTATGAAGCCAGAATTCTTTCGTAAGTATCAGGTGTGGCAGTCAAATTGTTCACTCAGCTTGTTGTGGTTTCTTAAATTTGAATGCAAAACTCAGCTAATATGCCTGAAAATTATATAAAAATATTACCTAGCTCAGAGAATCTGAGTTAAAGACAGTACAGTTCATAAGAACAGGAAACGAGGGTAGATGACAGGTGTTCCTGGTGCAGCCTGGGGAACAGACTCCCGGGTGATTCCCCGGCACGTTTCTGTGGGAGAACAGCCTTATCGATGCTGATCAGCAGGGAAGGAGGGACGGCTACCGGAGAGGCTGGAAGTACAGCGGGTGAGTCAGCAACAGGGACCTTCATACTTGATATTCAGAGATGCAGGAATTCCAGGTGGTGGCAGGAGCATGGGGTGGAGGGCTGGAACAAAAGTGGGCGTCGCTGTCAGCCAGGAGGATCCAGCACAGAGAGGTTGGGAGGGTGACTGAGAGGAAATGTGAGAGTGGGCTCTTTCCCTTAGGTTCTTCATGAGTTGTTTGTTTCTTAGTGAAAAAGGAAAAATTTCAGATACTCATAAAATGGAATGAGTACTTTTCAGATCCCTTTCCTTCTGGTTTTGCTTGTAAGCCGAGTTTAGAAAATCAGAAAAGAAATAGCCAAAGAAAACTATTTCATTTATTGTACAAGAAAAAATTCACCAAGACGTCGCAAAAATGTGAAGGAAGCGCTTATTGAAGACTGGTGAAATAGGAGTCAGAACGTTGCAATAGGGAGAGCCGTTGGCCTCAACTTCCCTGAAGACAAAGGCAGGAAAGGTGAAACCCTGGGTGAGCTAGGGGAAATGCACTGGAGGTTGGCACCCACTCTGTCCTCCTTGGGATCTGCATGGGCTTCCCCATCTATGCAGTTTCTCAGTGGGGTGCCTGGACCCCTGAGCTGCCTCAGCACCCTGCAGCAACAAGAAGGCTACCCTTTTCCTGGTGAAGTGCTTTCCTGGCCTCATCCCTTATCCCCTCTAAAGCTGTATTTTCCAGGCAGAATCAGATTCTCAGCGGCTTTAAGGCAACAGAGGAGAGTGCGTCTTGCAAAGTGTAGTGGAGCATTTGTGCTTGTGTGTTTTCTGGGTGTGAAGACAACTTTATGGGTGTGAAATCCAGGTCTTAGTAGACCTGGCTGGAGGGTGCTTTTAATGTGGACATCCCAGTGTGGGCCGCTGTGCTTTCTGTTCCACGCATCCTGCCTTTGCTAACAACCCATTTCCCTCTTGAAGTTGTTTCAGTGAATCTCCTGTAACCCAATGGCTTAAAAGGCAAATGTGTGACCTGGACACGTTCAATAAAACCCCAGTTCTTTGGGACAGATGATGCTGGTTTCTCCTGAGGAGGAATGTTTTTGTGACTGCGTGAACTTTAAGCTGACACTGATTATTTGCCCAGCACACGGGAGCTCTTTGAGAGTGGATCCAGAGAAAATGAGGCAGAGTGAAAAGACAGAGCAGTGGATGGGGAGATGGGTGGTATGATTTGGGCCTTCATTTCCATTTGAGTCTGAAGCTCAAACGCCTGCTTGAAATTCCTAGAATTTCAAATTTTATTTTGTTTAAAAACTTAGGATTCTGGTAAGTGCATCCCAAGTGTCTTGAGACACAAAGACACATCAAATGTGAAAGAGATGTAAAGAGAGAAATCTTGCAACAAGGTATTTATTTTGGATGAGAAAAGGAAATGGAGGACAAGGTACAGGAGTAACAAGAATTTCTTTTAACTCTCAAAGTAAATTCTGAGCTTATTTTTCTTGATTCTGCGAGCTCAGCGGCAGCAGACCCGGTGGAGTGTACCACGAAAGGCGCAGGACCCAAAGCGACGTTATAACAAACGGCAAATTCCTCTTCCGCAAATGCACCTCAAGCCTCTCGCTGAGTCTGAGGACACAGGGAAATCATCATAAATGGATCAGAAGGTCAGCAGTGATGGTAAAGGGAATCTTGGATAAGTCATGTGCTAGGTAATGAGTGATGTTGGCTGCATTGGGGCCAGTAGCATGAACAACCTCAGTCAATAGGAATAAATACACAGAGCAGTGCTGGTCACACAGGATTTGAGACTCATTCTCATTTGCGCTCATTTTTGTGCTTCTGCCCCGTCACACACACAGCTGAACACACTCTTGGGCTTGGCTGTACTTTTTAAAAACTATTCTACAGATACAGTAAAATATTCTCCTTGTAATGAAGTCTACTTGTGTGAATCCAGAAAGAACGAGTCAGACTGTCTCTTCATATCTAAAACCTACTGAATTTCACAGACATATCTTGACGTCAAGTTTTATTTTTCAATTTTATAGATTTTCTGAAGTGAAAGGATTGTTAAGGAAGTAAAGGAATAAAAGAATGGTTACTCTCCAGGCAGAGCAGCCTCAAGTCTTTAAAGACAGAAAGATTTATTTGGCTCTCTATTCAATTTATAGATGAGAAAACCAAGGCCCAGAGATGCTAAATGAAGCCCCCGAAGTGACATGGACATTGAGACTCGATTCCACACTCTGTCTCCCATCCATCCCACTAGACCCTGCAGTTCTGCATGCCGGCCTGTCTCACCTGAAAGCGGAAGAGCGGCACTTTCATGCCATGTAAAGGCATGAGCCATTTCCTGATCATCTGCTCCAGGCTGCTCCTGGGCTGCAGCTTCATCAGCTCTTGCCTGAAGTGGCTCCGCCTGAGCCTACAGGGCCACCAGGAGAAGCATGGCAGTGAGGAGGGCGAAGGTCCTCATGGCTGGGGTGACCTGGAGGAGGGAGAGCAGGAGCAGACGAGTCGGGAGAGAGGAGTTAGCCTGGATATATAGGTCTGCAGAGAGAAGGCTCGGAGACAAGAAACCTGGAACCCTCTCAGAGAAAGGAGGTGTGCATTTCGTTGGAGACTGTGTGGGATCCCGTTGGTCTCAATGTCCCTGTTTTCTTCCTTTGCTCTCCCAGCTTTCACTCTAGTTTGAATCTCTACGTGTAGTGTTTGTGCTGGGTTGGAGAGGATGGTGACGACGAGGATCCTGGCATGTTTTTCTTGTTTCTCACTTCATTGTATATTGACTTTTTACTATTCTACCAAAGGATAACAGCAGTGCTTTTGTTCAATAAGCTCAGGATACAAATGCCTCTTTTCCTGCAGATGGCCCCACTACTCTGTACAGTCTACACTCTGGCAGCAGGCATGAATTCCTATCAAGTGAAGAGTCATTTGTTGCAGGCATCAAGGGCGTGACCACTCTCATGAAGGCATGGGGTGAGTAGCCTCCTGTAGGGGCCAGTGTGAAGAGGACAATGACCCTATCAGGCGATAGGTGACATGAACACAGTGATATTAAGGTAAAAAGTTCATCTACAGCCAAAAATGTGTTTCCGGGTCTATTGAGATATGAATAAGAATTTAAAATGGTATATATCTCCTGTATACCACCTTAGGATTTGATGTTCATGTACATGTGGTTTTTGATCATATACTATATACACAAATCAACTCAAAATGATCGAAGACCCAAACATAGACCTGAAACCATAAAATGACGAGAGGAACATATGAAGATAACGCTTTGTCATTGGTGTCGGTAATGATATCTTTGCTATGACACCAAAGACACAGGCAATAAACGGGAAAATAGACAAATGGGGCTGCACTGACCTCTAAAGCATCTGCACGTCAAAAAACAAACCAACAAACAAATAATCAACTGAGTGAAAAAGCAACCCAGAAAATGAAAGACAATAATTGCAAACCCTAGGTGGTAGAAGGGGCAAATATCTAAATACATAAGGAAGTCAAACAACTCAAAAGCAAATAACAAGTAACCTGTTTGAAAAACAGGCCAAGGAGCAGGATAGGCTTCTCTCCAAATAAAAGGATGTTCTAAGGAGCTATTGTTGTCTGTATTGGACGTGTCAAGTAGGACACGTAGATTTAGAAGGAAATTCCTTGAGGTTCTCTATTAATTGAGCCGGTAGCTAAAGCTCCCAGCAGCCACCAGAGGTTCAGAGAGAAATGCGCAGCAAGAGATTCACCCACAAGGTCCCTCTGGGGTGGCCCAGGAGTCAGAGGTCAGACTGGGGGCACAGGTTCAATGTTGAAACCTCAATGTGAAAGTTTTAAGTCTTGGGTTACTTACAGATCCTCAAGGTAGGCAGAGTGAAGAGGGAGGGCAGACAGCAGTCCTCTGTCCCGGGTCTCCTGTAGCAAGAGCAGCCGTGCACAAACAGGAGAGGACTTCCCTATTTAAGAGTCATTTGGGATCAGGTGTCCTAATAACCTGGGTTACTTTCCATTGGGTTTATTAAATAACTCTGGTGGGAAGGACAGTTGAGAAATTTGATGGGAAGCTGGGGTTCGGACAGGAGTCCATGGAGGGTCCCCTCATCTGCCTTTGTCAACCTTGCCCAGGCCCAGGCAGCAACCAACGATGGATTCTCCATGACTCCTAACACAATGGACCCCGAGATGCCTGTGCTGGTGGCTGATGCTGAGCTAGTTGCAGCAAGGGAATATTTAAAGCCCCCAGGAGAGCCTGGCCTGCATATCACAGGACACACTCTGTTAGAGAGACAAGTTCAAGTTTGACACCCATGCACAGGAGAGGATGAGGAATCTTCCCCTGAACCAGCCTGCCCAGTACTTGAGCTCTAACCATAACAAGACACCAAAGCCGATTGGTGGGCTGGGATGTTGCAGACCACCTGGTTGAGACTGAATCCCACGTGGGCTTGTGTTAGCAGGCAGGGCAGGTTTTGCTGGGTTCGTTAAGGATGTGCACACAGTATGTGGTTCCCTGGAGTGGACAATTGCCTCACTGCTTGGGCAATGGACAGTTTAAGGCCAAACGAGTGTCTAGGACCACTGGGGCCAAGAACTCCTGAGTTTCCTGCTGGAGACCTAATGTCTCTTGAAAGTCTCTCAGGGAGGCGGCCAAGGTGGCAGTGAGTTTGGTGTTAGCTTGCATCACCTGGTGCTCTGTGCTCCAATGCCTTGCTCTTAAGCCCATTCTGGGCAGGCTTAAGAGTCTCCATGCACATAGCATGAGTGGGATGATCAGTGGTCGCTTGAAATATGCAGGATCAAACTCCTGTGGTTCCTCCTGTGTTATTTGAGGAGAATTCCTAAGAAGACTAGAGCACATTTTAAAATGTACCACTATCCACCGTCCTCCTCCTTCTCCTAGTCAGGTAGATGGGGTAAGGTTTCTGGAGATGAGAAAAGAATGCAGTCGCTCGAGAGGCAATAAATACCTGTGGTGAGGTTGCTGAACCCAGTGTGCACGCCGGGCAGCCCCTGCCACCATGGGAATGTCGTGCACAGCGCTGGTCCCACAGGCTGGGTGCTCAGGGCCCCCCCTGCAGCTCTGTGTGAAGGCAGCAGGCATCGGCCGGTGGAGGCCTGGGGGCAGTGGAGTGATAACTAAAGCATCTCCCTCAACCTTAAGGTAGAGGAGGCATCTCAAGCTTTGCTAGAGGCGGTCGCTGTGGCAGAGCAGTGGGGTCTCCTGTCCCTCTGAGGAAGCAGTGAATTCCTGATGTGTGGCAGGCCCAGGAACTTCAGCTTTGGAGGAAGTGAGCACCAGTCTCACCCCAGCATAAGAAGAAATTTGGGCTCTTTGGGGAAACTGAGGCTCTGGTGACAGTTTTAGCTTCCAGGGCATTAGTAGGTGCCTGTAGGGTCGCAATGATGAGGTTATAGGGACTAAATATGAAGGGGTGTATATGAGCGAGAGGAAGATCTCCGGGTTCTGGAAATGTCCCATGTCCTGCGGAAGTGAAACCTGGACCTGCTTCCTGCACACAGAGCACACTCCAGTCCACAGGCATTTCCGCAGCACTGCATGAGCGTTATCACTGGAGAGCTGGTGAGATTCGGGCGTGGTATTCTTACACACAGTTCTCCCAAGTCCATAGTTTTCCGTAGCTTGTAGGGCAGCTTTACAATCTCACTGAGGCTCTATGGGTTCCTTGCACCATAAAGTAATGGGCTTATTCTGAAAGCAAATGGTGATCTCAGCAAAATTCCACTCTAATGAGGTCATTTTTGGGGTAATCAGCAAAGCATGAGGTCAGGGAAGCAGCAAGTCAAGGGTTTGGGTAGTGGCCATGAGCCAGCACCGTGTACTGGAGATGGCGAGGTCCGTATTTGTAGCAGTAAGGAAAGGCTGGTTGGTGGTGATCTCGTGGTCAAAGTGATTTTCCTCTACAAGGGACTTAAACAAATAAGTAAGCAAAAAAGAAATGACCCCTTTAAAATGCGTGCCAGGGCATGAACAGATACTTCTCAAAAAAAGACATACAAGAGGCCAAGAAACATGAAAAAATGCTCCACATTACTGATCATTAGAGAAATGCAAAATAAAACCTCAAAGGGATACCAGCTCACACTAGTCAGAATGGCTGTTATTGAAAAGTTAAAAAATACTGATATTGGCAAGACTGCAGAGAAAGAGAACGCTTATACACTGTTGAGGGGAATGTTAATGAGTTCAGCCATAGTGGAAAGCAGTTTAGAGATTTCGCAAATAACTTAAAATAGAACCAGCATTCAACCAAGGAATCTCACTACTGGGTATATATCCAAAGGAAAACAAATTATTCTGCCAAAAAGACACATGTACTCGTATGTTCATGGCAGCATCATTCATGCTAACAAAGACATGGAGTCAACCTAGATGGCCATCAGTGTTGGACTGGATGAAGAAAATGTGGTACATATACATGATGGGATACTACATTCATAAAAGAGAATGAAATTATGTCGTCTGCAGCGAGTTGGATTCAGTGAGAAGGTGCCGTCTATGAATCACAAAACTGGTCCTCACCAGACACCAAGTGTGTTGGCACCTTGTTTTGGACTTCTCAGCCTCGAGAACACCAAGACATATATTTCTGTTGTTTCTAAGTCACTTGGTGTATGGTATTTTTTTCCAGCACTCCACATACACTCAGATTGCTTGTGTCTTTGAAGCCCGGATACCATGCTTGGAGGAAGTCTAAGTGTTGCAAATCCTGCTAGCTATGAGTGGGATACAAAGTGTCACACCAATCTCCTCCTTCATGAACCAGCATGATCTGACGTCAGTGCCTCACAGGGTCTCATCCCTGAGCCCTGTCAGAGCTGCAGCTGAGCCAGCACCCCCTGCCACCTGTTCACAAGTGTCTTGGGCCTGAGGTTTTCAGATCCCAGCAGCACTTCTCCTCTGATGCCTGTGGAGAGAGCCACCTCCCAATTGCAAAAGTGTGAATGAAGACCTGATCATGTTGTTTTAATCCATTAAGTCTTGTGGTGTCTTTTCATAGAGCCCTAGATGAACAGAGGGCAATTTTCACAGTATTGGTGACAAATTGGACTTGTACTTTGTGTGTGTAAATCTCAGCTTCTCTAAAATATTGATGAAATAGGAGAGAACTTTCTCAATTGAATCCCAAAGTGTCACAAAGAGCCCATTGTGGTGGGGGCATGGAATTGTGGACTCTTTGGAGAGACTGAGGAACCCCGTCTCACCCATTCTTAGTTTGAATTTTTCCTGTGGGGAGCTGGGGTAGTGTGGGATCCAGGTGGAGTCTCAACCTCTCCCCTCAGTGACAGACTCAGAGGAGGGTGTGGAACTCCAGAGCTGGCTGAAACAACGGAGAGAGAAGTAGGGGTTTTCTCCCGGAGATCAGCTATGAAGTCCCAGGGAAGATGACCATTATTCACACGGCTGTCATCTGGGGAGAGACCCCAAGTTAAGATCAAGAGAAAAAAGTGGGAAACAAAATGGTAAAGACAACAAGGTAACTCATGCCTAGAGTCCTTGGATCAGGCATTTTATGAAGCCAGAAGTCTTTCTTTTCTTTTCTTTCTTTCTTTCTTTTTTTTCTTTTCTTTTTTTTTTTTTTTTGAGGCAGAGTGTAGATCTGTCACCCACGCTGGAGTGCAGTGGCGCGATCTTGGCTCACTGCAACCTCCACCTCCCAGGTTGAAGCGATTCTCCTGCCTCAGCCTCCTGAGTAACTGAGATTACAGGCACCCACCACCACACCCGGCTAATTTTTCTATTTTTAGTAGTAGAGACAGTTTTCACCGTGTTGCGCTGTCTGGTCTTGAACTCCTGACCTCATGATCCACCCTCCTTGGCTTCCCGAAGTGTTTGGATTACAGGTGTGACCCACTGTTCAGGTGGGGCATTCAAAATGTTAATTCAGCTTGTTGTGGTTTCTTAAATTTGAGTGCACAACTCCGCTAATATGCCTGAAAAAGATACAACAAAAATTACCCAGATAAGAGAAGCTGAGGCAAAATGGTGCAGTGCATAAGAATAGGAAATGAGAGCAGATGGCAGGTGTCCTGGGTGCAGCCTGGAGAAGAGACTCCTGGATGATTCCCATGCACAGCCCTGGGGGAGAACAGCCTTATTGATGCTGATCAGCAGAGAAGGAGGGACGGCTATGTGAGAGGCTGGAGGACAATGGGTGTGTCAGGGACAGGAATTTCATAAGTGATGTTCAGAGATGGAGGAATTCCAGGTGGTGCAGGAGTTAGGGAGTAGCCATGGGGTGGAAGGCTGGAACGAGGTGGCAGTCCCTGTTATCCAGGAGGACACAGAATTGAGATGTTGGGAGGTTGACTTCTAGGAAATGTTAGAGTGAGCTCTTTCCCTTAGTTTCTTCATGAGTTATTTGTTTTTTTCGTGAACACGGAAAAAATACAGATATTCCTAAAATGGAATGAGTTCTTTTCAGATCTCTTTCCTTCTGGTTTTGCTTATAAGCCGAGTTTAGAAAATCAGAACAGTAACAGCAAAAGAAACCTATTTCATTTTTTGTACAAGTAAAAATTAACCAAGACCTTTTAAAAATGTGAAGGAAGCACTTATTGAAGACTGTTGAAATGGGAGTCAGAACGTTGCAACAGGGAGAGCCGTTGTCCTCAACTTTCCTGAAGCCAAAGCGGGAAGGTTAAGGCCTGGGTGAGCTAGCGGAAATGCACTGGAGGTTGGTAGTGGGAGTCTTGCAGTGTGATTGGGCCATCTGCGTTTGCTAGTTTGTGCTTATTGGAGTTAGGCTCCTGCCTGCCTACAGAGACAGGGCTGCTGTCCCCTTGAGTAGTTACATTTAAAGGGATGAGGCATCTAACTTATTCCTTATTTCCTTGTCCTGCCGCATGAATGGCTCATTTCTGGTAGAATAGTTCTTGCATGTCATCACTAATCCTAGAGTGTATGTGCATCCCAGTAAACAGTGTTGTGCCTCATTTGAGGCTAAGCAAGTTGCCCTGGTTGTTTGGAGACCCTCACACCTCTCCCTGAATTCTCCGTCCCTAGAGTTTGCAGCAGTCATCGCCCACCCTAGACTGCAGTAGCAGAAGCCACATGTGGTGCTCCCAGTGTGCCTTTATCCACACAGAGGAGCAGGGAGGCTCCGTCCTCATCTGCCCCTTTCCCTTGAGTTGATGGATGCTTCTCAGCATATCAGCCTGAATTCTACTCCGTCCTTCTCTCTGGCAACATCCATTCCTCTGAATTCAGTGGAGGTCCACCCTCATCCTGCATAGCTCTTGCCCTGATAGCATTCTGTCCACCAAACATTTCATTCCACCTCTTCTTTTAGTCATTCCATGTTTTAAACATATTGATGTTGTACTTGAAGATTCACATGAAATCTTTTTGCCTGCTTTAGCCGGAATGGCCTGCTTCTTCTAAGGTCCTAAAGCTTCATGATGCCAAATAGTACCCATGATGTTTTTTCATGTTTCAGCCTTGAATACTTTTATTTATTTTGTTTTTTAAAGGTGTGCTGTCATAGGGTCTAGAAAATGGACTGCTCTACCTCTGTTGAATTTAGCTTTCTCCTATGGAATTTAGGAATAACAATTAATAAATCATTTTATATTGTTATGTGCTATTAGATGCAATTAGTTAATGTAATCAGAATTAATTTAGTAACCCCCTACTTTATGTTACAGTCATCCATGCACTCTGGTACAACAATAAGCAAAACATGCAGCTTCCCTTCTGGAGTAAGGAGGCAAATGTTACGTATAGTAAGTGAAGTGTACAGGGAGTGAGATGGTTGCAGTTCTATAGTTAGCAATGAGGAAAATCGGAGAATGGAGGTCAGCAGGGGGATCTTGTTGCAATTTAAGGTTGAGAGATCAGAAAAGACCTCAGTGACCAAGTGAAGTTTTAGCTGAGACCTCAGATGCTTGGGAGAAAGTCAGGTGGACCTCTGGCAGATGCCCCAAGATGCAGCCATCTTGATCCAGTTCATAGTTCAGAATACTATGGAAAGTTAATTCAGGGACCACATGATTCCAAGTCCATGGCAGTCACAGGAAGCCAAAGAAGGCTCCTGGGCTTCACACCGTGATTCCCTATTTGTGTCCTTCATCATCTAAACAAGAAGAAGTCTGGGATCATTACCCACTCTGTCCTCCCGGGGTTCTTGGTGGGCTTCCATATACATGCAGTGTCTCTGTGGGTACCTGGGCCCCTGGGCTGCCTCAGCCCCCTGCAGCAACAAGAACGCTACCATGTTCCTGGTGAAATGCTTTCCCTCCCTCGTCCCTTATCCCCTCTGAAGCTGTATTTTCCAGGCAGAATCAGGTTCTCAGCAGCTTTAGGGCAACACAAGAGAGTGCGCGTTGCAAAGTGCGGTGGAGCATTTGTGTGTGTGTGTTTTCTGGGTGTGAAGACAACTTTATGATTGTGAAATCCAGGTCTTAGTAGATGTGGCTGGAGGGTCCTCTTAATGAGGACGTGCCAATGTGAGATGCTGTGCTTTCTGTTCCATGTATCCCGCCTTTGCTAACAACCCATTTCCCTCTGAATGAAAGTTTTTTCCGTGGATCTCATGTAACCCTACGTCTTAAAAGGAAAATGTACAATCTGACATTCTTCAATGAAACTCCAATTCTTTAGCACAGAGGATGGTTTTTTTTCCCGGAGAAGTAATGATTTTGTGACTGCATGAAATGTAAGCTGACACCGATTGTTTGCCCAGCACACGGGAGCTCTTTGAGAGTGGATCCAGAGAAAATGAGGCAGGGTGAAAAGGCAGAGCAGTGGGTGGGGAAATCAGTGGTGTCATATGGGCCTTCTTTTCAATTTGGATCTGAAGCCCAAACTCCTGCTTGAAATTCCTAGAATTTGGAATTTTATATTGTTCAAAAATTTGATTTTGCGTTTTGGTACGTGTATCCCAAGTGTCTTGACACAGACACATATCACACATTAAAGAGGTGGAAACACAGAAATCTTGTAACAAGGCATTTATTTGGGATGAGGAAAGGAAATTGAGCAGAAGGTACAGGAGCAATAGCAATTCCCTGTAGCTCTCAAAGCAAATTTTGAGCTCATTTTTCTTTTTCTGCAAGCTCAGCAGCAGAATGCCCAGAGTCTTCCCTGGTAGATGCAGGTTCCATAGCGACGTTCTCCTGCAATGCACGCTGGTATTCTGCAATAGCAGGCCATGTTTTTCCTTGAGCCTGGGACAGGGAGAGCATGAGAAATTGAGTATGGAGTTAGCAGTGGGTAAGAAAAAGAATCTCGGGGAAGTCACATGCTAGCTGACAGGTGATGCTGGCTGCATTGCAGCCGGTAGCACGAACAACCTCAGTCGATAGGAATAAACACGCAGAGCAGTGCTTGTCACACAGAGTTTGAGACTCATTCTCCTGTGCTCTCATTTTTGCATTCCTGCCCCATCACACACACACCTGAACATACCCTCAGGCTTGGCTGCAGTTTTTAAAAGCTCTTCTGTAGATAGAGTAAAATGTTCTCTTTACAACTAAGTCTACTTGTTTAGATCCAGAAATAACTAGTCTGTCTCTTCATATCTGAAACTTAGTGAATTTCACAGACGTTTCTTGGAATCAAGTCTTTGGAGAAATAAAGTTTCTCATGTTTATTTGGCTCTCTGTTCAATTTCTAGATGAGAAAATCAATGCCCAGAGATTCTAAGTGAAGCCACCTCAGTGACATAGACTGCTGAGACCCAACTCTGGAACCTCTCTCCCGTCCTTCCCTCTAGACTTAGCAGCTCTGCATGCCTGCCTCTCTCACCTGGATGCTTTGGAGCCAAGCTTTCGTCCCATGCAAGGGAAACAACCACTTCTGGGATGTCCGCTGCAATCTGCTCCGGGGCTGCAGCAACCTCATCAGCTCTTGCCTGGAGTGGCTCAGCCTGGGCCTGCAGGGCCACCAGGAGAATGGCAGCAAGGATGGCGAGGGTCCTCATGGCTGGGGTCACCTGGAGGAGGGAGAGCAGGAGCAGCTGTGTGGGGAGGGAGGAGCCAGCCTGGATTTATAGCTCTACTGGGAGAAGGCTCGGAGACAAGAAACCTTCCTCAATCTCAGTGAGAGGAGGTGTGCATTTTATAAGAGAGGCCCATTGGTCTCAAGGTTGCTCGAATGCTCCTGTTCTCCCAGTTTCATGCTAGTATACATCTGTACCTTTAATGTCTGTGCTAGGTTGGAGCTAATAATGACAAGAAAGACCCTGCTATGTTACTCGTGGGTTCACCTGCTTAAATATTATGACTCACTTTTTAACATTCCAAAAAGAATAGAAATTGCACTTTGATTCAACAGGCTCAGGGAACAAATGCTTCTTATTTTCTGAAGATGGGTCCTGCTGTTCTCTGGAGGTCTAGATTCTGGTGTCCTATATGAGTTCCAATGGAATAGCGAGTAATTCACTTCAGGATTCAGGTGACTTACCATCCTCATGAAGAGGTTTTTGAGGTTATGGGGTGAGTAGTCTCCTGTAGGAATCAGGGTGGAGAGGACAATGATTTTATCAGGCTAAAGGTGAAATCAGCTCAGTGACACAGAGTGGTTTAAGTAAAAAAAAGAAAGTTTATTATTTCCACCTCTACTTAGACTTGAGTAACAATTAACAATTGTATATTTATAGTGTACACTACCTCATGATTTTATATATGTATGTATTTAAATCTTTATCTCACACCATGTAGGAACATCAACTCAGAATGAATTGAAAACCTAAATGTAACAACTGAAACCATAAACTACTAGAAGTGTATAGAAGGATAAAGCTTTTGACATTGATGTAGGTAATGATTTCTTGGCTATGACACCAAAGGCACAGGCAATAAAAGGGAAAATAGACAAGTGTGGCTTCATTTAACGCTAAAGCATCTGCACAGCAAAGGAAACAATCAACCGAGTGAAAAGATAACCCAGAAAATGAGAGAAAATATTTGCAAAACCTACATGGCAGAAGGGGCAAATATCTGAATACATAAGGAATTCCAACAACTCAATAGCAAAAATCAAACAACCTGATTGAAAGACAGACCAAGGACCTAAATAGGTTTCTCTCAAAAGAATGTTCCAAAGACCTGTGATAGTCTCTACTGGACATGTCAACCAGGACATGTGACATGTGTATTTAGAAGGAAACTGCTTGAGTTTCTCTATTAAGTTAGCTGGAAGCCATCGTCCCCAGCAGTCACCAGAGGTCCGGACAGACGTTCCTAGCAGGGATTCACCCGCTGGGTCCCTCTGGGGCGGCCCCACAGTCAGAGGTCAGATTGGAGGCATAGCTTCAATGATGAAAACTCAGTGTAAAGTTTAAGTTTTGTAGTACTTACAGATCCTCTAGCTAGGCAGGGTGACCAGAGAGGGCAGACAGCAGTCCTCTGTCCCAGGTCTTCTATAGCAAGGAGCAGCCGTGCACAAGTGGACTTCCCCTATTTAAAGGTCTTTTGGGATGAGGTGTCCTAATTTCCGGGGTTACTTTCTGTTGGGTCCATTAAATAATTGTGGTGGCAAGGACAGTTGAGAAATTTGGTGGGAAGGTGAGGTTAAAGTAGAACTCCACAGAGGAACCTCTCATCTACCTTGGTCAGCCCTGGCCAGGCCCAGGCAGCAACCAACTATGGATTCTCAATGGCTCCTAACACAGTTGACCCTGTGATGCATTGGCTGTGGCTAAGCTGAACTACCTGCACCAAGGGAATATTTAAGGCCTCTGGGACAGCCTGGCTGCGTATCATAGTATACACCCTGCAAAGAGATTGGGATAGGAATGCCACCTGCACACAGAGGAGGATTTGGAATGTGTTTCTAAAGCAGTGTCCCGAGGACCTGGGGTCTAACCATAAAAACTAATGAAAGCCATTTGGCTGAGCTGGGATGTTGGAGAACACCCAGGTGAGACTGAGTGCTACCTGGGCTTCTGTTGCTATGTGGAACAGACATTTTTGGGTTCTCCTGAGTACTGGATGTACACGCGGCATGTGGTTCCCCAGAGGTGACTATCACCTGTTTGCTTGGCCAATGAACAGTTTAAGCTTAAACAATTGTCTAGGATCATCTGGGCCAGGAACTGGTCTGAGGCATTAGCCATCAGGGTGGGAGTGGCCTTTCCAGATGGCCACCCAAGAAAGGAGGTGGGAGTTTGGGCATTCACTTTACTGCTGGTGTTGCACAGCCTCTCAGGCCTTGTGGGCCTTCAGAGAAGCATTTAGCAAAAGCTTGAGTGGTGCTTTCTGGGAGGCATAGGAGTTTCCATCCTTAACTCGTACACATTGGAGAACAGGCGTATCCCTTAGCCCATGATCATGTCTGGATGCTTCCTGTGAATGCAAGGCTCCAACTCTTCAGGCTGCAGTCTGGGTGTGTGCTGCGGCGTCATGAGCCCATTTGGATTGAAGCCTGTGCATCCAGAGAACTACCTCCTCATCCTTAAAACACGATCTGTGGTTGTGAGGGCTGCTGGTGTTTAAGCATTGGTGCCATGGGACCCATTCAATATCTAAGGGTTGAGTTGCCTGCCTTGGACACAGGTCAGGTTGTATTTGGGGTACAGCCCCTCTAACAGGGCTTACAGGGAATTCCCCAGTTTTCCAGTCTGGGGTACAAATTCTGACTAGGGCTGTCCTGTTCCAGCAGCCCTCTAGGCTGCCAGGCCTGGGTTAAACAGCTACCCCACAAGCCATTTGTACATAAGATACCAAGCAAGGCCAATCATAGAGAACACTGACATCTTGTCACTCAGGGCTTTCTTCCCAGTGCTTCTATATTGACACTGATGATGGGGTTGGCTGGCACCCACTTTTCCTTGGAGCCTTTCTCCCCCATGGCCACGTTTGGTGATGGCACTTCCATATGGTCTTTGCCTGACGTAGTTGGTGTCTCTAGTTTGAAGGCTTCTTCTCCTCGTTACTGCCTCTGACTGCACCCTCGGTGGGTTCTGGAGCAATAATCCTTACTTCCTGCCAGGAGGAGTAAGTGGGAAATATTAGCTAACCTTTAAAACCGGTAAAAAAGGGAGCTTTTGCCAGAAGCTGCATGTGAAATGGAGAGGTGTGGTGTAGCAAAAGCCTCGTGGTCCTGCTGGGTGCCAGTGGGCCTGGGGGGTCATCCTCAGAAGATCGTAGTTTACTATCCATCCACAGTCCATTGTTCAGTACATGTTTGATGTTGAGATGGTGGATGTCTTGTGATGATATGGGGAGGTCTCATTATTGGAGAACATGTAAATGATGTTATCTGTAAGGGAAAAAAGAAGCTAACTCTTCTGTGATCACCAAGATAGGCACCAAAGTGCGTCTAGCCCAATTGTGATGAGGCAGTGGTGGCCATGGGATTGAGAGTTAAAAAAGTGACGGCCCTTGGAAGGACCTTGGTGCCTTGGGTCTTGGGTGTCCATAGCACATCCAGAGACATTAATAACCATGACTTTAGGAGGCCACCGTGCTGCTTGAGGAGGCTGGTGGCTTGGGGACGATGGACTAAATGAGACTCCCTTAACCCACCCTCATGTTGTGATGTCCTGAGGTGGGAGCCTCCATCTGAATCAATGATAGGTGTGGTTCTAAAGGAGATAGTGAAGAAATGCCACGTAAAGAGAACACCTGCTCCACGCAGGGCATAAGGAGCTACGGTCCCTGGAAGACTACATGTGCAGAAGCTCATAGTTAGGACAGGTGTGCTTTGTCCAGAGGCTCTGAGACTTATGATGGGTGGTAGTGAGGGCCTCCCCATGAAACTCAGAACCCGGGACCCGGGCATGGACTAGAGAGATCACCTGCTGGACCAGCAACAGACTGTATCCTGCTGTGGCCCCAGTGGATGTGAAGGGCTTCTGGGTGATGGCATTTGTGGGCCTCAGCAGAATGGACAAGTGGGGTATAGCTGTCTCCAAAGACACGATGTCCCAGTACATGGAGGGCCAGCTGCAAAGTGGCTAGGACACTAGTGGTGAGGATTTGGTTTTTAACTGCAAGGGGACTTTGTCAGCCCACTGACGACAAATCGATGCCCAGAATCTTTACAACAGTGCTGGAGGGGCCATGAGTGTGTCCTGCAGAAACCTGGCCACTGTCCAGGAAGAGGGAGAGCGGGTGCAGCAACCCTGCCACAGATGTGTGTCCTGGCCCAGGCGGTGGCTTTACATGCAGCACCCAGAGCGATCTGGGGAGCTGAGGGAGAACAGAGACCCTCCAGCTGGCTCAGAGTCACGGGTGGCTCCTGTCCCTGGAGGGGTGGCCTTCTCTGCCCCAACCCTGTCTTGTGCTCTCCTTCCCTCCCATTCTTGGCTGCAGGACTGGGAACCATCTGCTGGGACGTTGCTCTGTGTCTCCCTCATGGCCATGCTCCCATCCTTGCCTCCTCCATAGACTGCGGTCAGGACTCGGCAGCCCAGAGCCCCAGCAGGGTCTCAGTCTGTACTGAGGTCACACCTAGGCATTGTCGCCATCCTTCCGCAGGTGATTCTCAAACTCCAAAACTCAAATTAGAACAGAGAGATTCTTCCCTGTGGTCCTTTTCACCTTTCTCTTTGGGCTGCACCGGAACCTTGGCAGAATTTTGTGGTTTAAACAAAAAAGGTGTTATGTCTACAGATTTTTTACAGTACTTTCACTTCCATGTTGATCCATAGTCCCCAACCCCAGCCTGATGTTTTCCACTGATTGCAGCCAGTGTAGACAATCAGTGTCCACACTGTGGACACTATATGTAGATGCAGCTGAAGCTGTTTTTTTCAGACACACGCATTTGAATTTTAGGGAATATTGAAGCGAGTCTAGACTCAATAAAAACCTTGACATCATTAGGCTGGGGTAAACATTCTGGAGAAGCTGTGGGTGGGGTTGTAGGTGTGAGAGGAGAGAAGCTTCCAGGAGCAGCACACATATTCTCACACATGTTTATGGTGTCTGGTGGCCTCAGCAGACACAGTGTGTGTGGACCTTGGGCGGGGCCCTGGGGTTATGGTTTTGACCCGGTAGGAAAGGGTAGTCATGGAACACAGCATGCGTGTTACCATGGGGCGCAGCGGGGGCTACGCAGAGGTGAGCTCTGAGGAGGACCCTCCACCTCCCAGCTCCTCAGAGTGCATCGCCCTGTCCCTCCCCTCAGCCCTTTGTCCACTGTCCTGCAGGGAGGGTCCTGGTGCTGCCTGTGCCACACAGTCACTCCCGGGCCTGCAGATCCAGCTGGGACAGGTAGGAGCTCCAAGTCCCTGCCCTTTGTCTGCCTTTCCCAGCCGCCTCTCACAAGCTGTCTGTGTGTCTGGTGTTGAGGATTGCAGCAGGATTATTTTACAATAAACCATAAGGAAATAGCTTCCTTGAGCTGTTTTAAAATATGGCCCTAAATCCCTGACTCTTTTCACATAAAAATGGAGGTGAAAATGTCTCCTGTTGAATCTAGATTGGGCGACATCTTGACCAGTTGAACACACCTGACTGAGCACCGTGCTGTTTGTTGGGCTAAGGTCATAAGAAGTTGGTATCTTTCACTTCCTGTGTATTGGATGGTGCTGCAGCCTGAATGTTTTTGTCCCTCTGAAATTCATATGTTGAAATCCCTCCTCTGGTGATAGCATGAAAAGGTGGGGCTTTCTGGGAAGTGATATGTTCAGGAGGATGGAGTCCTCATGAGTTGCATTAGTGCCCCTGAGGAAGAAGCCCCAGAGAGCTCCTTCATTCATTCCCTCAGGTGAGGAAGCAGTGAGAAGGTAGCATCTATGAACCAAAAAGCTGGTCCTCACCACACACCAAATCTGTTGGCACCTTGATTTGGACATCTCAGCCTCCAGAACACTGAGAAATGTATTTTTGTTGTTTATAAGTCACTTGGTGTATGATTTTCTTTCCCCCAGCATCCCACATATACTAAGAGTGCTAGTGCCTTTGAAGCCCAGCTACAATGCTTGGAGGAAGTCTAAGCATTGCAAAAAAAGGAACTGAACCCACCTGCAAGGAAGAGCTAGAGAACCCAGAGCAACCAGCTTTCTAGGAAAAACAAAACTCTGATACGCAGTGTTTGTAAATCTCTCTGGTTCAAATCCTCCTAGTTATGAGTGGGATAAAAAGTGTCACACCTATCTTTTCTCTCATGAGCTGGCATGACCTGGCCTCAGTGCATCACAGTGTCTCATCCCTCAGCCTGTCAGAGCTCCCACTGAGCCAGCCCAGCACTCCCCGCTACCTGTGCGCAAGCGTCTTGGCCCTGAGGTTTTCAGCTCCCAGCAGAACCTCTCCTCTGTTGCCCGTGGAGGGGGCTATGTCCCAATTGCAAATGTGTGAATGACGACCTGATCGTGCTGTTTTAATTCCCTAAGTTTTGTGGTGTCTTTTCACACACCCCTAGATGAACAGAGGGCATTTTCACAGTATTGCTGAGGAATTGGATTTGTACATATTTTGTGTGTGTAAATCTCAACTTCTCTGAAATACTGATAAAATAGGAAGGAATTTTCTCAACTTCTTCCCAAAGCGTCACAAAGAGCCCATCATGGTGGGGGATGAAACTGTGGACTCTATGGAGTGACTGAGAAACCCTGTCTCATCCATTCTTAGTTTGAATTTTTCCTGTGTGGAGGAGGGGTAGTGGATCCAGGTGGAGTCTCAATCTCTCCACTGAGTGACAGACTCAGAGGAGGGCATGGGACTCGGGAGTTGACTGAAACAATGGAGAAATCAATAGGGGTTTTCTCCCGGAGATCAGCAACGGAGCCTGTGGGAAGATAACCACAATTCATGTGGCTGTCACTTGGGGAGCGAGCCCAAGTTATCAAGAGAAAAATGGGGGTGATAAAAGGTAAAGACAAGAAGGACTCTTATGCTTTGGGTCCTTCAATCAGGGATTTTATGAAGCCAGAATTCTTTCGTAAGTATCAGGTGTGGCAGTCAAATTGTTCACTCAGCTTGTTGTGGTTTCTTAAATTTGAATGCAAAACTCAGCTAATATGCCTGAAAATTATATAAAAATATTACCTAGCTCAGAGAATCTGAGTTAAAGACAGTACAGTTCATAAGAACAGGAAACGAGGGTAGATGACAGGTGTTCCTGGTGCAGCCTGGGGAACAGACTCCCGGGTGATTCCCAGGCACGTTTCTGTGGGAGAACAGCCTTATCGATGCTGATCAGCAGGGAAGGAGGGACGGCTACCGGAGAGGCTGGAAGTACAGCGGGTGAGTCAGCAACAGGGACCTTCATACTTGATATTCAGAGATGCAGGAATTCCAGGTGGTGGCAGGAGCATGGGGTGGAGGGCTGGAACAAAAGTGGGCGTCGCTGTCAGCCAGGAGGATCCAGCACTGAGAGGTTGGGAGGGTGACTGAGAGGAAATGTGAGAGTGGGCTCTTTCCCTTAGGTTCTTCATGAGTTGTTTGTTTCTTAGTGAAAAAGGAAAAATTTCAGATACTCATAAAATGGAATGAGTACTTTTCAGATCCCTTTCCTTCTGGTTTTGCTTGTAAGCCGAGTTTAGAAAATCAGAAAAGAAATAGCCAAAGAAAACTATTTCATTTATTGTACAAGAAAAAATTCACCAAGACGTCGCAAAAATGTGAAGGAAGCGCTTATTGAAGACTGGTGAAATAGGAGTCAGAACGTTGCAATAGGGAGAGCCGTTGGCCTCAACTTCCCTGAAGACAAAGGCAGGAAAGGTGAAACCCTGGGTGAGCTAGGGGAAATGCACTGGAGGTTGGCACCCACTCTGTCCTCCTTGGGATCTGCATGGGCTTCCCCATCCATGCAGTGTCTCAGTGGGGTGCCTGGACCCCTGAGCTGCCTCAGCACCCTGCAGCAACAAGAAGGCTACCCTTTTCCTGGTGAAGTGCTTTCCTGGCCTCATCCCTTATCCCCTCTAAAGCTGTATTTTCCAGGCAGAATCAGATTCTCAGCGGCTTTAAGGCAACAGAGGAGAGTGCGTCTTGCAAAGTGTAGTGGAGCATTTGTGCTTGTGTGTTTTCTGGGTGTGAAGACAACTTTATGGGTGTGAAATCCAGGTCTTAGTAGACCTGGCTGGAGGGTGCTTTTAATGTGGACATCCCAGTGTGGGCCGCTGTGCTTTCTGTTCCATGCATCCTGCCTTTGCTAACAACCCATTTCCCTCTTGAAGTTGTTTCAGTGAATCTCCTGTAACCCAATGGCTTAAAAGGCAAATGTGTGACCTGGACACGTTCAATAAAACCCCAGTTCTTTGGGACAGATGATGCTGGTTTCTCCTGAGGAGGAATGATTTTGTGACTGCGTGAACTTTAAGCTGACACTGATTATTTGCCCAGCACACGGGAGCTCTTTGAGAGTGGATCCAGAGAAAATGAGGCAGAGTGAAAAGACAGAGCAGTGGATGGGGAGATGGGTGGTATGATTTGGGCCTTCATTTCCATTTGAGTCTGAAGCTCAAACGCCTGCTTGAAATTCCTAGAATTTCAAATTTTATTTTGTTTAAAAACTTAGGATTCTGGTAAGTGCATCCCAAGTGTCTTGAGACACAAAGACACATCAAATGTGAAAGAGATGTAAAGAGAGAAATCTTGCAACAAGGTATTTATTTTGGATGAGAAAAGGAAATGGAGGACAAGGTACAGGAGTAACAAGAATTTCTTTTAACTCTCAAAGTAAATTCTGAGCTTATTTTTCTTGATTCTGCGAGCTCAGCGGCAGCAGATCCGGTGGAGTGTACCACGAAAGGCGCAGGACCCAAAGCGACGTTATAACAAACGGCAAATTCCTCTTCCGCAAATGCACCTCAAGCCTCTCGCTGAGTCTGAGGACACAAGGAAATCATCATAAATGGATCAGAAGGTCAGCAGTGATGGTAAAGGGAATCTTGGATAAGTCATGTGCTAGGTAATGAGTGATGTTGGCTGCATTGGGGCCAGTAGCATGAACAACCTCAGTCAATAGGAATAAATACACAGAGCAGTGCTGGTCACACAGGATTTGAGACTCATTCTCATTTGCGCTCATTTTTGTGCTTCTGCCCCGTCACACACACAGCTGAACACACTCTTGGGCTTGGCTGTACTTTTTAAAAACTATTCTACAGATACAGTAAAATATTCTCCTTGTAATGAAGTCTACTTGTGTGAATCCAGAAAGAACGAGTCAGACTGTCTCTTCATATCTAAAACCTACTGAATTTCACAGACATATCTTGACGTCAAGTTTTATTTTTCAATTTTATAGATTTTCTGAAGTGAAAGGATTGTTAAGGAAGTAAAGGAATAAAAGAACGGTTACTCTCCAGGCAGAGCAGCCTCAAGTCTTTAAAGACAGAAAGATTTATTTGGCTCTCTATTCAATTTATAGATGAGAAAACCAAGGCCCAGAGATGCTAAATGAAGCCCGCGAAGTGACATGGACCATTGAGACTCGATTCCACACTCTGTCTCCCATCCATCCCACTAGACCCTGCAGTTCTGCATGCCGTCCTGTCTCACCTGAAAGCGGAAGAGCGGCACTTTCATGCCATGTAAAGGCATGAGCCATTTCCTGATCATCTGCTCCAGGCTGCTCCTGGGCTGCAGCTTCATCAGCTCTTGCCTGAAGTGGCTCCGCCTGAGCCTACAGGGCCACCAGGAGAAGCATGGCAGTGAGGAGGGCGAAGGTCCTCATGGCTGGGGTGACCTGGAGGAGGGAGAGCAGGAGCAGACGAGTCGGGAGAGAGGAGTTAGCCTGGATATATAGGTCTGCAGAGAGAAGGCTCGGAGACAAGAAACCTGGAACCCTCTCAGAGAAAGGAGGTGTGCATTTCGTTGGAGACTGTGTGGGATCCCGTTGGTCTCAATGTCCCTGTTTTCTTCCTTTGCTCTCCCAGCTTTCACTCTAGTTTGAATCTCTACGTGTAGTGTTTGTGCTGGGTTGGAGAGGATGGTGACGACGAGGATCCTGGCATGTTTTTCTTGTTTCTCACTTCATTATATATTGACTTTTTACTATTCTACCAAAGGATAACAGCAGTGCTTTTGTTCAATAAGCTCAGGATACAAATGCCTCTTTTCCTGCAGATGGCCCCACTACTCTGTACAGGTCTACACTCTGGCAGCAGGCATGAATTCCTATCAAGTGAAGAGTCATTTGTTGCAGGCATCAAGGGCGTGACCACTCTCATGAAGGCATGGGGTGAGTAGCCTCCTGTAGGGGCCAGTGTGAAGAGGACAATGACCCTATCAGGCGATAGGTGACATGAACACAGTGATATTAAGGCAAAAAGTTCGTCTACAGCCAAAAATGTGTTTCCGGCTCTACTGAGATATGAATAAGAATTTAAAATGGTAGATATCTCCTGTATACCACCTTAGGATTTGATGTTCATGTACATGTGGTTTTTTATCATATACTATATACACAAATCAACTCAAAATGATCGAAGACCCAAACATAGACCTGAAACCATAAAATGACGAGAGGAACATATGAAGATAACGCTTTGTCATTGGTGTCGATAACGATATCTTTGCTATGACACCAAAGACACAGGCAATAAACGGGAAAATAGACAAATGGGGCTGCACTGACCTCTAAAGCATCTGCACGTCAAAAAACAAACCAACAAACAAATAATCAACTGAGTGAAAAAGCAACCCAGAAAATGAAAGACAGTAATTGTAAACCCTAGGTGGTAGAAGGGGCAAATATCTAAATACATAAGGAAGTCAAACAACTCAAAAGCAAATAACAAGTAACCTGTTTGAAAAACAGGCCAAGGAGCAGGATAGGCTTCTCTCCAAATAAAAGGATGTTCTAAGGAGCTATTGTTGTCTGTATTGGACGTGTCAAGTAGGACACGTAGATTTAGAAGGAAATTCCTTGAGGTTCTCTATTAATTGAGCCAGTAGCTAAAGCTCCCAGCAGCCACCAGAGGTTCAGAGAGAAATGCGCAGCAAGAGATTCACCCACAAGGTCCCTCTGGGGTGGCCCAGGAGTCAGAGGTCAGATTGGGGGCACAGGTTCAATGTTGAAACCTCAATGTGAAAGTTTAAGTCTTGGGTTACTTATAGATCCTCAAGGTAGGCAGAGTGAAGAGGGAGGGCAGAGAGCAGTCCTCTCTCCCGGGTCTCCTGTAGCAAGAGCAGCCGTGCACAAACAGGAGAGGACTTCCCTATTTAAGAGTCATTTGGGATCAGGTGTCCTAATAACCTGGGTTACTTTCCATTGGGTTTATTAAATAACTCTGGTGGGAAGGACAGTTGAGAAATTTGATGGGAAGCTGGGGTTCAGACAGGAGTCCATGGAGGGTCCCCTCATCTGCCTTTGTCAACCTTGCCCAGGCCCGGGCAGCAACCAACGATGGATTCTCCATGACTCCTAACACAATGGACCCCGAGATGCCTGTGCTGGTGGCTGATGCTGAGCTAGTTGCAGCAAGGGAATATTTAAAGCCCCCAGGAGAGCCTGGCCTGCATATCACAGGACAAACTCTGTGAGAGAGACAAGTTCAAGTCTGACACCCATGCACAGGAGAGGATGAGGAATCTTCTCCTGAACCAGCCTGCCCAGTACCTGAGCTCTAACCATAACAAGACATCAAAGCCGATTGGTGGGCTGGGATGTTGCAGACCACCTGGTTGAGACTGAATCCCACGTGGGCTTGTGTTAGCAGGCAGGGCAGGTTTTGCTGGGTTCGTTAAGGATATGCACACAGTATGTGGTTCCCTGGAGTGGACAATTGCCTCACTGCTTGGGCAATGGACAGTTTAAGGCCAAATGAGTGTCTAGGAGCACTGGGGCCAAGAACTCCTGAGTTTCCTGCTGGAGACCTAATGTCTCTTGAAAGTCTCTCAGGGAGGCGGCCAAGGTGGCAGTGAGTTTGGTGTTAGCTTGCATCACCTGGTGCTCTGTGCTCCAATGCCTTGCTCTTAAGCCCATTCTGGGCAGGCTTAAGAGTCTCCATGCACATAGCATGAGTGGGATGATCAGTGGTCGCTTGAAATATGCAGGATCAAACTCCTGTGGTTCCTCCTGTGTTATTTGAGGAGAATTCCTAAGAAGACTAGAGCACATTTTAAAATGTACCACTATCCACCGTCCTCCTCCTTCTCCTAGTCAGGTAGATGGGGTAAGGTTTCTGGAGATGAGAAAAGAATGCAGTCGCTCGAGAGGCAATAAATACCTGCGGTGAGGTTGCTGAACCCAGTGCGCACGCCGGGGAGCCCCTGCCACCATGGGAATGTCGTGCACAGCGCTGGTCCCACAGGCTGGGTGCTCAGGGCCCCCCCTGCAGCTCTGTGTGAAGGCAGCAGGCATCGGCCGGTGGAGGCCTGGGGGCAGTGGAGTGATAACTAAAGCATCTCCCTCAACCTTAAGGTAGAGGAGGCATCTCAAGCTTTGCTAGAGGCGGTCGCTGTGGCAGAGCAGTGGGGTCTCCTGTCCCTCTGAGGAAGCAGTGAATTCCTGATGTGTGGCAGGCCCAGGAACTTCAGCTTTGGAGGAAGTGAGCACCAGTCTCACCCCAGCATAAGAAGAAATTTGGGCTCTTTGGGGAAACTGAGGCTCTGGTGACAGTTTTAGCTTCCAGGGCATTAGTAGGTGCCTGTAGAGTTGCAATGATGAGGTTATAGGGACTAAATATGAAGGGGTGTATATGAGCGAGAGGAAGATCTCCGGGTTCTGGAAATGTCCCATGTCCTGCGGAAGTGAAACCTGGACCTGCTTCCTGCACACAGAGCACACTCCAGTCCATAGGCATTTCCGCAGCACTGCATGAGCGTTATCACTGGAGAGCTGGTGAGATTCGGGCGTGGTATTCTTACACACAGTTCTCCCAAGTCCATAGTTTTCCGTAGCTTGTAGGGCAGCTTTACAATCTCACTGAGGCTCTATGGGTTCCTTGCACCATAAAGTAATGGGCTTATTCTGAAAGCAAATGGTGATCTCAGCAAAATTCCACTCTAATGAGGTCATTTTTGGGGTAATCAGCAAAGCATGAGGTCAGGGAAGCAGCAAGTCAAGGGTTTGGGTAGTGGCCATGCGCCAGCACCGTGTACTGGAGATGGCGAGGTCCGTATTTGTAGCAGTAAGGAAAGGCTGGTTGGTGGTGATCTCGTGGTCAAAGTGATTTTCCTCTACAAGGGACTTAAACAAATAAGTAAGCAAAAAAGAAATGACCCCTTTAAAATGCGTGCCAGGGCATGAACAGATACTTCTCAAAAAAAGACATACAAGAGGCCAAGAAACATGAAAAAATGCTCCACATTACTGATCATTAGAGAAATGCAAAATAAAACCTCAAAGGGATACCAGCTCACACTAGTCAGAATGGCTGTTATTGAAAAGTTAAAAAATACTGATATTGGCAAGACTGCAGAGAAAGAGAACGCTTATACACTGTTGAGGGGAATGTTAATGAGTTCAGCCATAGTGGAAAGCAGTTTAGAGATTTCGCAAATAATTTAAAATAGAACCAGCATTCAACCAAGGAATCTCACTACTGGGTATATATCCAAAGGAAAACAAATTATTCTGCCAAAAAGACACATGTACTCGTATGTTCACGGCAGCATCATTCATGCTAACAAAGACATGGAGTCAACCTAGATGGCCATCAGTGTTGGACTGGATGAAGAAAATGTGGTACATATACATGATGGGATACTACATTCATAAAAGAGAATGAAATTATGTCGTCTGCAGCGAGTTGGATTCAGTGAGAAGGTGCCATCTATGAATCACAAAACTGGTCCTCACCAGACACCAAGTGTGTTGGCACCTTGTTTTGGACTTCTCAGCCTCGAGAACACCAAGACATATATTTCTGTTGTTTCTAAGTCACTTGGTGTATGGTATTTTTTTCCAGCACTCCACATACACTCAGATTGCTTGTGTCTTTGAAGCCCGGATACCATGCTTGGAGGAAGTCTAAGTGTTGCAAATCCTGCTAGCTATGAGTGGGATACAAAGTGTCACACCAATCTCCTCCTTCATGAACCGGCATGATCTGACATCAGTGCCTCACAGGGTCTCATCCCTGAGCCCTGTCAGAGCTGCAGCTGAGCCAGCACCCCCTGCCACCTGTTCACAAGTGTCTTGGGCCTGAGGTTTTCAGATCCCAGCAGCACTTCTCCTCTGATGCCTGTGGAGAGAGCCACCTCCCAATTGCAAATGTGTGAATGAAGACCTGATCATGTTGTTTTAATCCATTAAGCCTTGTGGTGTCTTTTCATAGAGCCCTAGATGAACAGAGGGCAATTTTCACAGTATTGGTGACAAATTGGACTTGTACTTTGTGTGTGTGTGTAAATCTCAGCTTCTCTAAAATATTGATGAAATAGGAGAGAACTTTCTCAATTGAATCCCAAAGTGTCACAAAGAGCCCATTGTGGTGGGGGCATGGAATTGTGGACTCTTTGGAGTGACTGAGGAACCCCGTCTCACCCATTCTTAGTTTGAATTTTTCCTGTGGGGAGCTGGGGTAGTGTGGGATCCAGGTGGAGTCTCAACCTCTCCCCTCAGTGACAGACTCAGAGGAGGGTGCGGAACTCCAGAGCTGGCTGAAACAACGGAGAGAGAAGTAGGGGTTTTCTCCCGGAGATCAGCTATGAAGTCCCAGGGAAGATGACCATTATTCACACGGCTGTCATCTGGGGAGAGACACCAAGTTAAGATCAAGAGAAAAAAGCGTGAAACAAAATGGTAAAGACAACAAGGTAACTCATGCCTAGAGTCCTTGGATCAGGCATTTTATGAAGCCAGAAGTCTTTCCTTTCTTTTCTTTCTTTCTTTCTTTTTTTTCTTTTTTTGAGGCAGAGTGTAGATCTGTCACCCACGCTGGAGTGCAGTGGCGCGATCTTGGCTCACTGCAACCTCCACCTCCCAGGTTGAAGCGATTCTCCTGCCTCAGCCTCCTGAGTAGCTGAGATTACAGGCACCCACCACCACACCCGGCTAATTTTTCTATTTTTAGTAGTAGAGACAGTTTTCACCGTGTTGCGCTGTCTGGTCTTGAACTCCTGACCTCATGATCCACCCTCCTTGGCTTCCCGAAGTGTTTGGATTACAGGTGTGACCCACTGTTCAGGTGGGGCATTCAAAATGTTAATTCAGCTTGTTGTGGTTTCTTAAATTTGAGTGCACAACTCCGCTAATATGCCTGAAAAAGATACAATAAAAATTACCCAGATAAGAGAAGCTGAGGTAAAATGGAGCAGTGCATAAGAATAGGAAATGAGAGCGGATGGCAGGTGTCCTGGGTGCAGCCTGGAGAAGAGACTCCTGGATGATTCCCATGCACAGCCCTGGGGGAGAACAGCCTTATTGATGCTGATCAGCAGAGAAGGAGGGACGGCTATGTGAGAGGCTGGAGGACAATGGGTGTGTCAGGGACAGGAATTTCATAAGTGATGTTCAGAGATGGAGGAATTCCAGGCGGTGCAGGAGTTAGGGAGTAGCCATGGGGTGGAAGACTGGAATGAGGTGGCGGTCCCTGTTATCCAGGAGGACACAGGATTGAGATGTTGGGAGATTGACTTCTAGGAAATGTTAGAGTGAGCTGTTTCCCTTAGTTTCTTCATGAGTTATTTTTTTTTTTTCGTGAACACGGAAAAAATACAGATATTCCTAAAATGGAATGAGTTCTTTTCAGATCTCTTTCCTTCTGGTTTTGCTTATAAGCCGAGTTTAGAAAATCAGAACAGGAACAGCAAAAGAAACCTATTTCATTTTTTGTACAAGTAAAAATTAACCAAGACCTTTTAAAAATGTGAAGGAAGCACTTATTGAAGACTGTTGAAATGGGAGTCAGAACGTTGCAACAGGGAGAGCCGTTGGCCTCAACTTTCCTGAAGCCAAAGCGGGAAGGTTAAGGCCTGGGTGAGCTAGCGGAAATGCACTGGAGGTTGGTAGTGGGAGTCTTGCAGTGTGATTGGGCCATCTGCGTTTGCTAGTTTGTGCTTATTGGAGGTAGGCTCCTACCTGCCTACAGAGATAGGGCTGCTGTCCCCTTGAGTAGTTACATTTAAAGGGATGAGGCATCTAACTTATTCCTTATTTCCTTGTCCTGCCGCATGAATGGCTCATTTCCGGTAGAAAAGTTCTTGCATGTCATCACTAATCCTAGAGTGTATGTGCATCCCAGTAAACAGTGTTGTGCCTCATTTGAGGCTAAGCAAGTTGCCCTGGTTGTTTGGAGACCCTCACACCTCTCCCTGAATTCTCCGTCCCTAGAGTTTGCAGCAGTCATCGCCCACCCTAGACTGCAGTAGCAGAAGCCACATGTGGTGCTCCCAGTGTGCCTTTATCCACACAGAGGAGCAGGGAGGCTCCGTCCTCATTTGCCCCTTTCCCTTGAGTTGATGGATGCCTCTCAGCACATCAGCATGAATTCTACTCCGTCCTTCTCTCTGGCAACATCCATTCCTCTGAATTCAGTGGAGGTCCACCCTCATCCTGCATAGCTCTTGCCCTGATAGCATTCTGTCCACCAAACATTTCATTCTACCTCTGCTTTTAGTCATTCCATGTTTTAAACATATTGATGTTGTACTTGAAGATTCACATGAAATCTTTTTGCCTGCTTTAGCCGGAATGGCCTGCTTCTTCTAAGGTCCTAAAGCTTCATGATGCCAAATAGTACCCATGATGTTTTTTCATGTTTCAGCCTTGAATACTTTTATTTATTTTGTTTTTTAAAGGTGTGCTGTCATAGGGTCTAGAAAATGGACTGCTCTACCTCTGTTGAATTTAGTTTTTTCCTATGGAATTTAGGAATAACAATTAATAAATCATTTTATATTGTTATGTGCTATTAGATGCAATTAGTTAATGTAATCAGAATTAATTTAGTAACCCCCTACTTTATGTTACAGTCATCCATGCACTCTGGTACAACAATAAGCAAAACATGCAGCTTCCCTTCTGGAGTAAGGAGGCAAATGTTACGTTTAGTAAGTGAAGTGTACAGGGAGTGAGACGGTTGCAATTCTATAGTTAGCAATGAGGAAAATCGGAGAATGGAGGTCAGCAGGGGGATCTTGTTGCAATTTAAGGTTGAGAGATCAGAAAAGACCTCAGTGACCAAGTGAAGTTTTAGCTGAGACCTCAGATGCTTGGGAGAAAGTCAGGTGGACCTCTGGCAGATGCCCCAAGATGCAGCCATCTTGATCCAGTTCATAGTTCAGAATACTATGGAAAGTTAATTCGGGGACCACATGATTCCAAGTCCGTGGCAGTCACAGGAAGCCAAAGAAGGCTCCTGGGCTTCACACCGTGATTCCCTATTTGTGTCCTTCATCATCTAAACAAGAAGAAGTCTGGGATCATTACCCACTCTGTCCTCCCGGGGTTCTTGGTGGGCTTCCATATACATGCAGTGTCTCAGTGGGCACCTGGGCCCCTGGGCTGCCTCAGCCCCCTGCAGCAACAAGAATGCTACCATGTTCCTGGTGAAATGCTTTCCCTCCCTCTTCCCTTATCCCCTCTGAAGCTGTATTTTCCAGGCAGAATCAGGTTCTCAGCAGCTTTAGGGCAACACAAGAGAGTGCGCGTTGCAAAGTGCGGTGGAGCATTTGTGTGTGTGTGTTTTCTGGGTGTGAAGACAACTTTATGATTGTGAAATCCAGGTCTTAGTAGATGTGGCTGGAGGGTCCTCTTAATGAGGACGTGCCAATGTGAGATGCTGTGCTTTCTGTTCCATGTATCCCGCCTTTGCTAACAACCCATTTCCCTCTGAATGAAAGTTTTTTCCGTGGATCTCATGTAACCCTACGTCTTAAAAGGAAAATGTACAATCTGACATTGTTCAATGAAACTCCAATTCTTTAGCACAGAGGATGGATTTTTTTCCCGGAGAAGTAATGATTTTGTGACTGCATGAAATGTAAGCTGACACCGATTGTTTGCCCAGCACACGCGAGCTCTTTGAGAGTGGATCCAGAGAAAATGAGGCAGGGTGAAAAGGCAGAGCAGTGGGTGGGGAAATCAGTGGTGTCATATGGGCCTTCTTTTCAATTTGGATCTGAAGCCCAAACTCCTGCTTGAAATTCCTAGAATTTGGAATTTTATATTGTTCAAAAATTTGATTTTGCGTTTTGGTACGTGTATCCCAAGTGTCTTGACACAGACACATATCACACATTAAAGAGGTGGAAACACAGAAATCTTGTAACAAGGCATTTATTTGGGATGAGGAAAGGAAATTGAGCAGAAGGTACAGGAGTAATAGCAATTCCCTGTAGCTCTCAAAGCAAATTTTGAGCTCATTTTTCTTTTTCTGCAAGCTCAGCAGCAGAATGCCCAGAGTCTTCCCTGGTAGATGCAGGTTCCATAGCGACGTTCTCCTGCAATGCACGCTGGTATTCTGCAATAGCAGGCCATGTTTTTCCTTGAGCCTGGGACAGGGAGAGCATGAGAAATTGAGTATGGAGTTAGCAGTGGGTAAGAAAAAGAATCTCGGGGAAGTCACATGCTAGCTGACCGGTGATGCTGGCTGCACTGCAGCCGGTAGCACGAACAACCTCAGTCGATAGGAATAAACACGCAGAGCAGTGCTTGTCACACAGAATTTGAGACTCATTCTCCTTTGCTCTCATTTTTGCATTCCTGCCCCATCACACACACACCTGAACATACCCGCAGGCTTGGCTGCAGTTTTTAAAAGCTCTTCTGTAGATAGAGTAAAATGTTCTCTTTACAACTAAGTCTACTTGTTTAGATCCAGAAATAACTAGTCTGTCTCTTCATATCTTAAACTTAGTGAATTTCACAGACGTTTCTTGGAATCAAGTCTTTGGAGAAATAAAGTTTCTCATGTTTATTTGGCTCTCTGTTCAATTTCTAGATGAGAAAATCAATGCCCAGAGATTCTAAGTGAAGCCACCTCAGTGACATAGACTGCTGAGACCCAACTCTGGAACCTCTCTCCCGTCCTTCCCTCTAGACTTAGCAGCTCTGCATGCCTGCCTCTCTCACCTGGATGCTTTGGAGCCAAGCTTTCGTCCCATGCAAGGGAAACAACCACTTCTGGGATGTCCGCTGCAATCTGCTCCGGGGCTGCAGCAACCTCATCAGCTCTTGCCTGGAGTGGCTCAGCCTGGGCCTGCAGGGCCACCAGGAGAATGGCAGCAAGGATGGCGAGGGTCCTCATGGCTGGGGTCACCTGGAGGAGGGAGAGCAGGAGCAGCTGTGTGGGGAGGGAGGAGCCAGCCTGGATTTATAGCTCTACTGGGAGAAGGCTCGGAGACAAGAAACCTTCCTCAATCTCAGTGAGAGGAGGTGTGCATTTTATAAGAGAGGCCCATTGGTCTCAAGGTTGCTCGAATGCTCCTGTTCTCCCAGTTTCATGCTAGTATACATCTGTACCTTTAATGTCTGTGCTAGGTTGGAGCTAATAATGACAAGAAAGACCCTGCTATGTTACTCGTGGGTTCACCTGCTTAAATATTATGATTCACTTTTTAACATTCCAAAAAGAATAGAAATTGCACTTTGATTCAACAGGCTCAGGGAACAAATGCTTCTTATTTTCTGAAGATGGGTCCTGCTGTTCTCTGGAGGTCTAGATTCTGGTGTCCTATATGAGTTCCAATGGAATAGCGAGTAATTCACTTCAGGATTCAGGTGACTTACCATCCTCATGAAGAGGTTTTTGAGGTTATGGGGTGAGTAGTCTCCTGTAGGAATCAGGGTGGAGAGGACAATGATTTTATCAGGCTAAAGGTGAAATCAGCTCAGTGACACAGAGTGGTTTAAGTAAAAAAAAGAAAGTTTATTATTTCCACCTCTACTTAGACTTGAGTAACAATTAACAATTGTATATTTATAGTGTACACTACCTCATGATTTTATATATGTATGTATTTAAATCTTTATCTCACACCATGTAGGAACATCAACTCAGAATGAATTGAAAACCTAAATGTAACAACTGAAACCATAAACTACTAGAAGTGTATAGAAGGATAAAGCTTTTGACATTGATGTAGGTAATGATTTCTTGGCTATGACACCAAAGGCACAGGCAATGAAAGGGAAAATAGACAAGTGTGGCTTCATTTAACGCTAAAGCATCTGCACAGCAAAGGAAACAATCAACCGAGTGAAAAGATAACCCAGAAAATGAGAGAAAATATTTGCAAAACCTACATGGCCGAAGGGGCAAATATCTGAATACATAAGGAATTCCAACAACTCAATAGCAAAAATCAAACAACCTGATTGAAAGACAGACCAAGGACCTAAATAGGTTTCTCTCAAAAGAATGTTCCAAAGACCTGTGATAGTCTCTACTGGACATGTCAACCAGGACATGTGTTTTTAGAAGGAAACTGCTTGAGTTTCTCTATTAAGTTAGCTGGAAGCCATCGTCCCCAGCAGTCACCAGAGGTCCGGACAGACGTTCCTAGCAGGGATTCACCCGCTGGGTCCCTCTGGGGCGGCCCCACAGTCAGAGGTCAGATTGGAGGCATAGCTTCAATGATGAAAACTCAGTGTAAAGTTTAAGTTTTGTAGTACTTACAGATCCTCTAGCTAGGCAGGGTGACCAGAGAGGGCAGACAGCAGTCCTCTGTCCCAGGTCTTCTATAGCAAGGAGCAGCCGTGCACAAGTGGACTTCCCCTATTTAAAGGTCTTTTGGGATGAGGTGTCCTAATTTCCGGGGTTACTTTCTGTTGGGTCCATTAAATAATTGTGGTGGCAAGGACAGTTGAGAAATTTGGTGGGAAGGTGAGGTTAAAGTAGAACTCCACAGAGGAACCTCTCATCTACCTTGGTCAGCCCTGGCCAGGCCCAGGCAGCAACCAACTATGGATTCTCAATGGCTCCTAACACAGTTGACCCTGTGATGCATTGGCTGTGGCTAAGCTGAACTACCTGCACCAAGGGAATATTTAAAGCCTCTGGGACAACCTGGCTGCGTATCATAGTATACGCCCTGCAAAGAGACTAGGATAGGAATGCCACCTGCACACAGAGGAGGATTTGGAATGTGTTTCTAAAGCAGTGTCCCGAGGACCTGAGGTCTAACCATAAAAACTAATGAAAGCCATTTGGCTGAGCTGGGATGTTGGAGAACACCCAGGTGAGACTGAGTGCTACCTGGGCTTCTGTTGCTATGTGGAACAGACATTTTTGGGTTCTCCTGAGTACTGGATGTACACGCGGCATGTGGTTCCCCAGAGGTGACTATCACCTGTTTGCTTGGCCAATGAACAGTTTAAGGTTAAACAATTGTCTAGGATCATCTGGGCCAGGAACTGGTCTGAGGCATTAGCCATCAGGGTGGGAGTGGCCTTTCCAGATGGCCACCCAAGAAGGGAAGTGGGAGTCTGGGCATTCACTTTACTGCTGGTGTTGGACAGCCTCTCAGCCCTTGTGGGTCTTCAGAGAAGCATTTAGCAAAAGCTTGAGTGGTGCTTTCTGGGAGGCATAGGAGTTTCCATCCTTAACTGGTACCCATCGGAGAACAGGCGTATCCCTTAGCCCATGATCCTGTCTGGATGCTTTATGTGAATGCAAGGCTCCAACTCTTCAGGCTGCTGTCTGGGTGTGTGCTGCGGCATTGTTAGCCCATTTGGATTGAAGCCTATGCATCCAGAGAACTACCTCCTCATCCTTAAAACACGATCTGTGGTTGTGAGGGCTGCTGGTGTTTAAGCATTGGTGCCATGGGACCCATTCAATATCTAAGGGTTGAGTTGCCCACCTTGGACAGAGGTCAGGTTGTATTTGGGGTACAGCCCCTCTAACAGGGCTTACAGGGAATTCCCCAGTTTTCCAGTCTGGGGTACAAATTCTGACTAGGGCTGTCTTGTTCCAGCAGCCCTCTAGGCTGCCAGGCCTGGGTTAAACAGCTACCCCACAAGCCATTTGTACATAAGATACCAAGCAAGGCCAATCATAGAGAACACTGACATCTTGTCACTCAGGGCTTTCTTCCCAGTGCTTCTATATTGACACTGATGATGGGGTTGGCTGGCACCCACTTTTCCTTGGAGCCTTTCTCCCCCATGGCCACGTTTGGTGATGGCACTTCCATATGGTCTTTGCCTGACGTAGTTGGTGTCTCTAGTTTGAAGGCTTCTTCTCCTCGTTACTGCCTCTGACTGCACCCTCGGTGGGTTCTGGAGCAATAATCCTTACTTCCTGCCAGGAGGAGTAAGTGGGAAATATTAGCTAACCTTTAAAACCGGTAAAAAAGGGAGCTTTTGCCAGAAGCTGCATGTGAAATGGAGAGGTGTGGTGTAGCAAAAGCCTCGTGGTCCTGCTGGGTGCCAGTGGGCCTGGGGGGTTATCCTCAGAAGATCGTGGTTTACTATCCATCCACAGTCCATTGTTCAGTACATGTTTGATGTTGAGATGGTGGATGTCTTGTGATGATATGGGGAGGTCTCATTATTGGAGAACATGTAAATGATGTTATCTGTAAGGGAAAAAAGAAGCTAACTCTTCTGTGATCACCAAGATAGGCACCAAAGTGGGTCTAGCCCAATTGTGATGAGGCAGTGGTGGCCATGGGGTTGAGAGTTAAAAAAGTGACGGCCCTTGGAAGGACCTTGGTGCCTTGGGTGTCCATAGCACATCCAGAGACATTAATAACCATGACTTTAGGAGGCCACCGTGCTGCTTGAGGAGGCTGGTGACTTGGGGACGATGGACTAAATGAGTCTCCCTTAACCCACCCTCGTGTTGTGATATCCTGAGGTGGGAGCCTCCATCTGAATCAATGATAGGTGTGGTTCTAAAGGAGATAGTGAAGAAATGCCACGTAAAGAGAACACCTGCTCCACGCAGGGCATAAGGAGCTACGGTCCCTGGAAGACTACACGTGCAGAAGCTCATAGTTAGGACAGGTGTGCTTTGTCCAGAGGCTCTGAGAGTTGTGGTGGACGGTAGTGAGGGCCTCCCCATGAAACTCAGAACCCGGGACCCGGGCATGGTCTAGAATCACCTGCTGGTCCAGCAACAGACTGTATCCTGCTGTGGCCCCAATGGATGTGAAGGGCTTCTGGGTGATGGCATTTGTGGGCCCCTGCAGAATGGACAAGTGGGGTATAGCTGTCTCCAAAGACACCATGTCCCAGTACATGGAGGGCCTACTGCAAAGTGGCTAGGACACTAGTGGTGAGGATTTGGTTTTTAACTGCAAGGGGACTTTGTCAGCCCACTGACGACAAATTGATGCCCAGAATCTTTACAACAGTGCTGGAGGGGCCATGAGTGTGTCCTGCAGAAACCTGGTCACTGTCCAGGAAGAGGGAGAGCGGGTGCAGCAGACCTGCCCGTGTGTCCTGGCCCAGGCGGTGGCTTTACATGCAGCACCCAGAGCGATTTGGGGAGCTGAGGGAGAACAGAGACCCTCCAGCTGGCTCAGAGTCACGGGTGGCTCCTGTCCCTGGAGGGGTGGCCTTCTCTGCCCCAACCCAGTCTTGTGCTCTCCTTCCCTGCCATTCTTGGCTGCAGGACTGGGAACCATCTGCTGGGACGTTGCTCTGTGTCTCCCTCATGGCCATGCTCCCATCCTTGCCTCCTCCATAGACTGCGGTCAGGACTCGGCAGCCCAGAGCCCCAGAAGGGTCTCAGTCTGCGCTGAGGTCACACCTAGGCATTGTCGCCATCCTCCCGCAGGTGATTCTCAAACTCCAAAACTCAAATTAGAACAGAGAGATTCTTCCCTGTGGTCCTTTTCACCTTTCTCTTTGGGCTGCACCAGAACCTTGGCAGAATTTTGTGGTTTAAACAAAAAAGGTGTTATGTCTACAGATTTTTTACAGTACTTTCACTTCCATGTTGATCCATAGTCCCCAACCCCAGCCTGATGTTTTCCACTGATTGCAGCCAGTGTAGACAATCAGTGTCCACACTGTGGACACTATATGTAGATGCAGCTGAAGCTGTTTTTTCAGACACACGCATTTGAATTTTAGGGAATATTGAAGCGAGTCTAGACTCAATAAAAACCTTGACATCATTAGGCTGGGGTAAACATTCTGGAGAAGCTGTGGGTGGGGTTGTAGGTGTGAGAGGAGAGAAGCTTCCAGGAGCAGCACACATATTCTCACACATGTTTATGGTGTCTGGTGGCCCCAGCAGACAGTGTGTGTGGACCTTGGGCGGGGCCCTGGGGTTATGGTTTTGACCCAGCAGGAAAGGGTAGTCATGGAACACAGCATGCGTGTTACCATGGGGCACAGCGGGGGCTACGCAGAGGTGAGCTCTGAGGAGGACCCTCCACCTCCCAGCTCCTCAGAGTGCATCGTGCTCTCCCTCCCCTCAGCCCTTTGTCCACTGTCCTGCAGGGAGGGTCCTGGTGCTGCCTGTGCCACACAGTCACTCCCGGGCCTGCAGATCCAGCTGGGACAGGTAGGAGCTCCAAGTCCCTGCCCTTTGTCTGCCTTTCCCAGCCGCCTCTCACAAGCTGTCTGTGTGTCTGGTGTTGAGGATTGCAGCAGGTTTATTTTACAATAAACCATAAGGAAATAGCTTCCTTGAGCTGTTTTAAAATATGTTCCCTAAATTCTTTTATTATTTTTTATAGAAAGAAAGGTTTCTGTTCTCTCCTGTTAGGTCTAGGATGGGTAACATTTTGACCAACAGACTACATGGAACTAGATGCCATGCTGTTTTCTGGGATCAGGCGCTAGTGAACTGGTGTCTTTTTCTATCTCTCTTTGGATGGTGCTGTGGTCTGAGACATTTTTCCTCTGAAATTCATATGTTGAAGTCTTAGACCCTAGGATGATAGCATTAAAAGAAAGGGTCTTTTTGGAAATGAGGAGGTCAGCATGGTGGAGTCCTCATGAATGGAATGAGTGCCCCTGTAGAAGAGGTCCCAGAGAGCTCCTTCATTCCTTCCACCAGATGAAGACACAATAAGAAGATGTTGTATATGAACCAAAAAGCTGGTTCTCACCAGACACTGATTCTGCTGCCACCTTGATTTGGACTTCTTAGCCTCCACAGGGGATTCCGAATGGTGGCAGAAGTTAGGGTGTGGCCATGCGGTGGAGGGTTGGAACAAAGAAGATGAAGGGTCACTGTTGTCCCGGAGGACAGAGCGCTGAGAGGTAGTGAGGGTGACCTTCCAGGCAATATTAGAGTAACTTAGTTCACGACATTTTGAATTTTTTTTAGCAGTCCACATGTGCTTAGAGGGCTGGTGCCTTTGGAGCCCAGATACCATGCTTGGAGGAAGACTAAGCATCCCACAGGGAGAGGAACTGAGCCCACCTGCAAGGATGGGCTAGAGAACACTGAGCAACCAGCTTTCTAGGAAAAAAGAAAACTCTGATTTGCAATGTTTGTAAATTTCTGTGGTTAAAATGCTCCCAGCTATAGACAGTTTAAGAATCATCACACAAAAACTCCTCTCTCATGAGCTGGCCTGATCTGACCCCAGCACATCACAGGGTCTCATCCTTCAGCTTTCTCAGAGTTTCCAGCTGAGCCAACACCACCTGCCACCTGTGCACGAGTGTCCTGGCCCTGAAATTTTCAGATCTCAGCAGAACCTCTCCTCTTATGCCCGTGGAAGGATCCAAACCCCAATTGCAAATGTGTGAGTGAAGACGTGATCATGCTGTTTCAATCCACTACTTTCTGTGGTGTCTTTTCGCACAGTCCTAGATGAACAGAAGGCACGGTCTTGGTGAGAAGTTGAATGTGTGCATTTTTTGTGTGTGTAAATCTCAGCCTCTCTATGATATTGTTGAAGTAGGACAGAACCCTCTCACCTTATTCCCAAAGTGTCACAAAGAGCCCATCTTAATGGCAGCGTGGAATTGTGGACTCTTTGGAGTGACTGAAGAACCCCCGTCACCCATTCTTAGTTTAAATTCTTCCTGTTCAGAGCAGGGGTGGTGTGGGAGCCAGGTGGAGTGTCAACCTCTCCCCACAGTGACAGACTCAGAGGAGGCCACGGGACTTGGGGGTTGGCTGGAACAACATGGGAAGAAGTAGGGATTTTCTCCAGGAGATTAGCTACAAAAGTCATAGAGAGATGATGATGATTCACATGGTTGTCACCTGGGGAGAGAGCCCAAAGTAAGTTCAAGAGAAACAAAGGGAAAAAAAAGGTGAAGACAACAGTGTAACTCATGCTTTGATTTCTTGGATCAAGCAATTCCTGAAGCTAGAATTCCTCCTCAATTCCAAGATATAGGAGTCAAAATATTAACTTAGCTTGTTGTTGGTTTCTGACATTTGAATTCAAGACCCCATTAAGAGATCTGAAAAACATCAAAAATACCAGACTCAGAGAACCTGAGGCAAAGATGGTGCAGTGCACAAGGACAGGAGATGAGAGCAGATGTCAAGTGTCCCGGGGCAGCTTGAGACCAGATGACAGGTGTACCAAGGGCAGCTGGGGCATCAGGCTCCCTGGTGATTCCCATGCACAGCCCCGGGGCAGAATAGCCTTGTTAATGCTGATCAGCAGGGAAGGAGGGGCAGCTATGTGAGAGGCTGGAAGGACAGCAGGTGAGTCAGGGATGGGGAGCTTCATAGTTGATGTGCAGAAATGGAGGAATTCCAGGTGATGGCAGGAGTTAGTGGGTGGCCGTGGGTGGAGGGCTTGGGCAAAGAGGAGGGGGTTCACTGTTATCCAGGATCTCAAAGCATTGAGAGGTAGTGAGAGTGACCTTCTGGAAAATATTAGAGTGAAAAATAACTTCTCATAATCTTAAGTTTCTTCGTGAGTTACGGGGCTTTTAGCAGCAAAAGACAAAATATGCCAAAGTTCAGAAAAGGGAACAAGTACTTTTCTTATCTCTTACATTCTTGTTGTAAACAGAGTTCAGAATATCATATAAACAGGCACAGAATATCAACAGCAACAATAACGAGGCAGTATCCTTTGTTTAAAAGAAAAATTGCACCAGATACTTTTATGAAATGCCAAGGAATTGGTGTTGAGGAATGTCCCAATAGGTGTTAACTCTTTGCAATAGGGAGAGCAGTTGAACTCAACTCTCTTGAGGCCAAACACAGGAGAGTTTAAGCCCTAGGGTGAGCTGGTGAAAAAGTACTGGAGGTTGCTGGCAGGAAGGTTGAGCAGTGTGATTGGGCCATCTGTGTTTCCCAATTTGTATTTATGGAAGGTAGGCTCCTATCCTCCCACAGAGAAAAGGGTACTTTCTTCTTGGAAAATGACATTTCAAAGGGTTAGCTTCATATTTGACTTATTCTTTATTTTCTTCTACTGTATGAGTGGCTTATTTAAGGTAGAAATATCTCACTGGCATTCCATAAATGTTCTGTGTGTGTGCATTCCAGTAATAAGCTTTGGGTTTTATTTGAGGCTAAGCAAGTTGCTCCCATTGTTTGGAGACCCTCACACCTCTCCCTGCATTCTCTGTCCTTAGTGTTTGCAGCTGTCATCGCGCACCCTAGACTGCAGTAGCAGAATCTTAATGTGGTTCTACCAGTATGCCTTTATCAACACAGAGGAGCAGGGATATTCCATCCTCGTCTGCCCCTTTCCCTTAAATTGATGGATGCCTCCGAGAATATCAGCTCGAATTACCAGTTCATCCTTTTCTCTTGCAACATCAATTCCTCCAAATCCAGCAGACTTAGACCCTGACCTTGCATATCTCTGTCCCTGATACCATTATCTCCAGCAAACGTTCTTCTCTAACCCTCCTTTTAATCTATTCAGTTGTAAACATCTTTATGTTCCGGTTTAAGATACACCATAAAATCTGTCCTTGCCACTCCAAGACAAAATGATCTCTTCTTTCTAAAGTCCTAATGTTACTTAAAGCCACATTTTACCAGTGATATTCTCCTATATTTCATTCTTAAAAGATTTTAGTTTTTGAAAGGTCTGCTGTCACATGAACTGACATACAGAATTTTTTCTTCTGTAGGTTTCAGCTTTTTTTCTATGAAGTTGAGTAATAATAATGCAATTTTGTAATAGTATGTGATGTTGGGGATAATTAATAACTCAGAATTAATTTGTTGATCCCCAGCTATGTGTTAGGCAGTCATCTGGGCACTGTGGTACAACAATGAGCAAAACATGCAGCTTCCCTTCTAGCACAGAGAGAGAAATGTTACCGAGAATAAGTGAAATGTATAGGATGCGAAATGGTTTGAAATGCTACAGTTAGAAATAAAGAGAACAAGGAGGATGGAGGTATCCAGGGGAACTTGTGGCAATCTTAAGTTGGGAAATCAAGAAAGATTTCAGTGACCAAGGGATGTTTTAGCTGAGACCCCAGGAGCTGGAGGAGTGAGCCAGGTGGACTTCTGGGTGAAGGGCAGCTGCCCCAAAATGAAGTGATCCTGGCCCAGTGGACAGTTAGGAATAATTTGCAGTTAGTTCAAGGACCACATGACTCCAACTCCAAGGCAGTGACAGGAACCCAAGGAAGGTGGCTTGTTTTTCACCCCCTGAATCATAATATGTGTCCTTCACTGTCTACACAAGGGGGAAGATCTGGGAGCATTTATTTTGTCAGACACCAACCCACTGTGTCCTCCTTGAGGTCTGCAGTAGGTTCCCCAGCTGTGCATTGTCTCAGTGGGGTGCCTGGAACCCTGAGCCGCCCCTTTACACAGGCAGAGCCTCAGTCTGGGACTGAGACCTGCTCGGAATCTGCATGGATTGGATGTGGACAACACCTGCTTCCTTCTCCTGGGTGCTGGGCATTTGTGGTTGGTGTTGGTGGTCACAGCTGTGTCTAGACTCATTATATTGTTTTATTCAAGAATGGTGAATAATCCACTTGAAACACTATTTCTTCCTTTGCAAACTATGGTCTCTCTGTCACTGTAAGGGTTCTTGGGGCATTTTACCAGTACCACCCAATAAGAGTAGCCAAGGCTTGAACAGACATATTTTTATTCAAAAAATGTATTGTGGAATCACAAACTAGCACTACTAAATTTAAAGTAAAATAAAGACTCTGGGGCTCACGCTAGAATACTTCCCGGGGCTCTGGGGCTCACGCTGGAATCCTTCCTGGGCCTTTGTGGTCATGTTCTCATAGGCTATTTGCAGGATATGTTGAACTAGTGTTCAAGGTTCAATGGGTGCCTAGAGAAGGAAAGAGAAGAGATACAGGAAGGGTCACATCACACCTCAGCAAGATGTCAGCCTGGCCTCAGGGACACCGGTAGCGACCCTGTCCTCTTGGAGGAGAGGAGAAAGACAGGCTCAGGAAGGTACATACCCAACGTGTGCTGTGCCTGGTGGGGAGGCTGCAGTTGGAGGCAGGACAACAGGGGGCGCTGTGGTCTTCCAGGTAATTGCTCTGAGCATCTCAGAGGGCGCTCAACTCCTGGTTCATTCCCTTTCCGCAGACCTGGTTTCCTGCTCACTGGCTGATGTGCAGCACTTTCTGAGTATCAGAACCTCAGCGCCCTGCAGCACCAGCCGGGACGCAGATTACTTCGATAGCTTTTCCCTCACTTCTGTTTTCCCGGTGCCCCTTTAAAACTGTATTTTCAGGTAGAATCAGGTCCTCTGCAGTTTTAAGGGAACACAAGAGTGTTACCAGATGGAAGATCTTGACTGTGAGTTGTCCAGATTCTTAGTGCATTGAACAAATAATTCAACAAAACGTACAAACAAAGCAACAAAAGAACAAAGCAACGAAAGACAAACCAAAGCAACATGAGAATGCAGTAACGAAAGTACAGATTTATTGACACACCACAGAGTGGGAGCCAGTTCAAGCAAGTGGCTCAAGAGCCCCCCACTTAGTGTTTTTATTAAGCTCAAAGAATTTGGTGTGCTGCCTAATCTTGCCTGGAACTGGCTGCACCTGGTGTTCTTTTCCTTATGCCTTAACCCTTGATTATCCTATTTCCCTATTCTCCTGTCTCAAGGGTGCATCTTTCAGAATACAGTTGAGGAATCTGCGTTTTGTTTGTGTGAAGACAACTTTATGAATATGAAATCAAGATTTTCCCTGGCATGGGTGGAAAATATTGATGATGAGTCTGTCGCAGCGAGGTGCTCCTATGCTTTTCGTTGTACTCATTACAGGATTTGTTTTGTTTTGTTTTTTTGATGGAGTTTCGCTCTTGTCACCCAGGCTGGAGTGCAATGGCATGATCTCAGCTCACCGCAACCTCCATTTCTCAGGTTCAAGTGATTCTCCTGCCTCAGCCTTCCAAGTAGCTGGGATTACAGGCATGTGCCACCACTCTCGGCTAATTTTTGTATTTTTAATAGAGGCGAGGTTTCACCACGTTGGCCAGGCTAGTCTCGAACTCCTGACCTCAGATGATCCATCTGCCTCAGCCTCCCAAAGTGCTGGGATTGCAGGCGTGAGCCACTGCCCCCGGTCTGGAACCATTTCTTTGGTGCTGGGATTACAGGTATGAGCCACCACACCTGGCCCATTACAGCTTTCTTAACTGTTCATTCCAATCTCAATTAAATTTTTTTCAATAGAGCTGTGACAACCCCAGGTCTTCAAAGGCAGATGTGTGACCTGGGTCTGTTCAATGAAACTCCAACACTTCAGGAAAGAACATGGTGGTTTTTTCCCTAAGAAGTAGCGATGTTATGATTGTGTAAACTGAAAGCTGATAATGACTGTTTTTCCTAACACATGGGAGTTACGTTTGAGTGAATCCAATCAAAGTGAAGCAGAGTGAAAAGACAGAGAAGTAGAAGGAGAAATTGGCAGCATAATTTGTGCTTGTAAATCAGTTTGTGTCTGAAGCCAATGTTTGTCCTTGATATTCTTAGAATTTGGAGTTGTATTTTGCTTAAAAAGCTTAATTTAGGATTCTGGTGCTTGCATCCCAAAGAGTCTTGACTAAGAGGTGCATTAAACACCAAACAGGTACAAACACAAACTTGCTACAAAGACTTTATTAGGAATAAGGGAAGAAATTGAAGACAAGGTAAAGGAGTAATAAAAGTTCTCCTCTAGATCTCAAAGCAAATGATGAACACATTTTCCTCTGTGCTCCATGATCCCACTATTGGTGCAGGTCCCATAGCGGTGTTTGGAAAAATGACAGCCTGATATTCTGCCATAGCAGACCAAGCCCGTCGCTGAGCCTGAAGACACAGAGAAAGCATCAGGCATTGGGACTGGGGTCAGACGCGGTTGGTAAGGAGAATCCCCGTGCAGTTACTTACTGGGCTGATTGCATTCATCATGGTGGCCACACCACAGCAGCAGCAAGATCAGCTCAATCAATAGGAATCAACGTACACAGCAGTGCTGCTCACAGGCAGGATTAGAGACTTATTCTCATTTGCTCACTTTTTGTGATGCTGCTTCTTCACACACACATTTGAGTACACCCTTAGGTCCCTTCCCATTTGTGAAGCTCCTCTAACAAACAAAGTGAAATATGTTTCTTTCCAAGTGGGTTCTCATCCTCGATGCCAGAGAGACTCCCCAGCGTGTTTCCACATAGCATAAGATTACTAAATTTCACTGACTTTTCACAGAATCAAATACCTTTGGAGGAGCAATGTCCATTGAATATCATCTGATTCTGTCTTTTCAGTCTACACTTGAGGAAATTGAGGCCTGGAGAGGTGATCACCTAAGAGAAAGAACCAGCTATTGGGTCTGATTCTAGCGGTGCCTGGTTTTCCTCTCTAGACTCCTGGCTCTGCAGTGCTGGTGGCTCTCACCTGAATCTCTAAAACCTGAGCTTATGTCCCCTGTGAAGGAGATGGCAAAGTCCTGGTGGTCTGCCCCAAGCTGCTCCTGGGCTGCAGCCTAGTCAGCTCTTGCCTGGAGTGGCTCAAGCCAGGGCCTGGAGTGGCACCAGGAGAATGGCAGCGAGGAGGGTGAGGGTCCTCATGGCTGGGGTCACCTGGAGGATGGAGAGCAGGAGTGGATGTGTGGGGAGTGATAAGCCAGCTTGGATTTATAGCTCTGCTGGGAGAAGGCTCAGAGACAGATGCTGCAGTGAGAGGAGGTGGAGCATGTGATTGGGGAAGGGAAGGGCTGCCTTTGCCATCAAGATCCCTTTGATGCTCTTCTGTTCTCCGAGCTTTTATCATAGCATGAGTCTGCTTATCGAGTGTCTGTTCTGGGTCCAAGCCAATAGTGATGATTAGGATCATGCTATAATTTCCTGTGTCTCATCTGCTGGAACATTTACTTCTTAATATTCAAAAAAGAAAAGAAACACTGCTCTTATTCCATAAGTTCAGGCAATAAATGCCTCTTATTTTCTGAAGATGAGCCCTGCTATTCTTGGTGGTCTAGACCCTGAGGCAAGACCTGGACCCCAGCATAGAGAGTAATTCATTGCAGGATTCTGGGGCATTTCTACCCTCATGAAGGACGCTTTTGAGGTTCTGGAAGGCATAGTCTTCTGCCACTGCTAGTGTGGAGAGGACAATGGCCTCATCAGGCTATCAGTCAAATAAGCTCAGTGGGATACTAGTTAAAGAGTTGGTCTGAATAAGGTTAAAAATTTTTTTTTATTTCCAACCGTATTGAGAGGAGTGACAATTAGAAATTATATCGGTTGAAAGTACACAACCTGATAATTCAACGTATATCTACATTTGTACCCTTATCTCACACCAAATGTAAAAATCAACTCTGAATGAATTGAAGACCTAAATATAAGTCTTGAAATCATAAAACTTACTAGAAGAACCCATAGGGATAAAGCTTCCTAACGTTGAACTGGGAGATTATTTCTTGGATATTACATTAAAGGTAGAGGCAACTAAAGCAAAAATAAACCAGTTGGAGTTCATTTAACTGTAAAACATCTGCATAGCAAAGGAAGTCATTAACTGAGCAAACAGGCAACCTAGCAAGAGAGAGAAATATTTGTAAACGATACATGTAATGAAAGTAAATATCTAAATATATAAAGAACTTAATAGAAAAAAACGAGTATTAATGATAAATGTGACTAAACAACTAAAAGAAACCATTATTACATAATTAAAGGAAACTGTGATGACAAAATCTTTTCAAGGGCAGAATATAATAAAGTGAAGTTACGAAGAAACACATGAAATTCTGGAATTGAGAAGTACAATAATCGAAATGTAAATTTTATGAACGGCTGCTCAATAGTATACTTAAACTGGCAGAACCAAGATTTAGGAAATGTGTGTACAGATAGATAAAAGATTATATAGTCCAGAGAACAGAGAAAAAAGATGAAGAAACAAGAATACAGTTAGAGAAAAGTGAGATACTATTAGGCATGAAAACACTCACTGGGTTGAGAGGTGAACTCTCAATCTGTTAAGGCAGCAGTCCCCAACTTTTTTGGCATCAGGGACATCTATGAAAAACTTACAACTAACATCATACTCGGTGGTTGAAAAAAAAAAAAAAGGATGCTTTCCTACTGAAATTAGAAACCAGCCAAGGATATCTGAAATCAGCACTTCTACTCAACATTGTGCTAGAGGTTCTAGGGCAGTCAGGCAAGAAGGAAAAATTAAATGACATCCAGGTTAGAAAAGAAGTTGTTAAATAATCTCTGTTTGCAAAGACATGATCTTTTATATATAGAAAATCCAAAACAATTTATTAAAAAACTATTAGAACTAATAAGGGAGTTTAGCATGGTTGAAAAATAGAAGACCAGTGCACAAAAATCAATTGTATTTTTTCTTTCATAATAAACTTTTCAAAAATGAAGCTAAAAACTCCTTTTACAAGTAGTATCAAAAGGAACATAGCTAGTCGTTGAATTTAAAAAATGTGCAAAACTTATACTCCCCAAACCACAAAAAGTTGAAGTTTTTAAGAATATCTAAATAACTGGAAAGAGATCTTATGCTCAGGGATTGTGAGGTTTAATGTGAGATGTCAGTGCTCCCCAAACTGATCTACAGATTCAGCTCAATCTATTTCAGAATCCCTAATGACTTCTTTGTAGAAGACTTTCTTTGTAGAAACTGACTAGGTGATTCTAAAATTTATATGGAATAGCAAGGATCCCAGAATAGCTAAATAATCTTGAAAAAGAAGAAAAGATTCCTGTTTTCAAAGCATCCTACAAAGAAACGGTAATCATGACAGGGTGGTACTGCTGTAAAGATAGACATAGATCAGTGGAATAGAATTGAGAGTTCAGAAATAAAAACGTGTCTATGGTTATTAACTCACTTTCTGCAGTGGTGCCAAGGGCATTCAATGGAGGCAAGAAAATTCTTTTCAACAAATGGTGGGGTAAACTAGATGGCCACAAGCATTAGAATGAGTTGGACCCTACCTCACACTATATTTAAAAGGTAATTCAAAATGGGTTAGAAATCTAAATGTAAAATCTAAAAGCATAAAACTTTTATAAGGAAACATAGGGGTAAGCCTTCATAACCTATGTTTGGCAATGGATTCTTAGATATTATATCAAAAGCATGAGCAACAAAAGAAAAAAACAGGTAATTGGATATTATCAAAATAAAAATCTTTTGTATTTCAAGTGACACTATCAAGAAAGCGAAAAGGCAACTCACAGAATGAGAGAAAATACTTACATATCACGTATCTCATGAAAGACATGTATCCCATGTATCCAGAATATATGCAGTCCTCTTATGATAAACACTTAAAGCTAAATAAACAAATTTATAAACGGGCAAAGGATCTCCTTAGACATTTCTCTAGGGAAGATATACAGATAGTCAATAAGCACATGAAAAAATTCTTGGCATCATTATTTATTAGGAAATTCAAATCAAAACCACAGTGAAATACCACTTCATATCCACCAGGGTTTTTTAGAATCAAAAAGGCAGATAATAGACAAAACCTGTCGAGGATGTGGAGAAATTTACTGCTGTGGTGTAAAATGGGGCAGTCTCTGGGGAAAACAGTTTTATTGATTCTTTAATAAGTTAAACATAGAATTACCCTGTGAGCTAGGAATTCCACTCCTAGGTATATACCCAAAAGCTATGAAAGTGTATGTCCACACAAACAGTCATGGGGAAGGGCAAGAAGCCAGACATAAAAGACCATGTATTACATGATTCTGTTTATACAAAATATCCAGAATAAGCAAGTCTATGGGGACAGAAAATAGCTTAGTGGTTGCTCAGAGGTAGAGGGATGGGAATATCGGAAGGGAGGAATGGAAAGTCCTTGGGTTCTTTATGAAGTGATGAAAATTAATTTGAATGTGGTTATTGCTGCACATGTCTGTGAATATACTAAGCGCCACTGAATTCTGCACTTTAAATGTGTGAGTTGTACATCATGTTAATTTTATCTCGATAGAGTGGCTTTAAAAAACAAAATAACACGAAAAATGATATAACCAATTTTTTTTTAAGTTACCAAATGCATTTCCTTTCTCTATATATGGTGCACTACTGGTTTGGGGCCAAATATAAAATAAAATATGTTGGCATGATGGAAATTGTGTTATATTGCTACATTAATGGTGGTTTATTATGTGACCTGGATTAGTGTAATCTGAGAGATATTTGTCGTTACGTTTTTCCAAGCAAACCTTGTTTACTCAAATGTGGAGGCAATTATTACCACTTTTCTTCACTCCCAACTTTTTTATAAGATCGTGTATTCAAAAAGCTGTTTTGGGACAACTAAAATGTTAAATATTTTATGCTATATGATACTATTATCATTTTTGTTTGTCTGTTCGTTGTGAGACGGAGTTTGCACTGCTGCCCAGGCTGAAGTGCAATGGCGCGACCTCGGCTCACTGCAACCTGTGCCTCCCAGGTTCAAGCAATTCTCCTGCCTTAGCCTCCCCAAGTAGCTGGTATTAAAAGTGTGCACCACCACGCCCTGATAATGTTTGTATTTTTAGTAGAGATGGGGTTTCACCACATTGGCCAGGCTGGTCTTGAATTCCATACCTCAGGTGATCCGCCACCCGCCTCAGCCTCCCACAGTGCTGGGATTACAAGTGTGAGCCACCGTGCCCGGCCTATCATTTATTTTTATTGTGTGTGTTGTTACAGTTCAATGTAATCGTCAATTATAAAATGCCTCTCCCATTTCACATTTCATAAGAGTAAAGAGTTTTTTTAAAAGAGACTTTCTAGAATAGAGAATGTGACATAATTTTATTCTCTTTTGATATTGGAAAAGTAAGGATTTTTAGAAGATTTCTAGGCAAGGCAGAGAACTCAGTTGTGCTTTAATTGGATTTACGGCATGGGGACTTTTTCTCAGCATCAAGGTGAAGGTGAGAACAGTATAAAATTGATGTGGGCTTAGCATTTGGCATTTGCCCAGAGAGATAAGAGAGTGGGGGGAAAGGAACGAAGTCCTCATTCAACAGTGATTAAGTGATGGAACATAGACCAGGGCTGGATGTGAAAGAATTAAAAGAGTTTGGACAACTGATTGGGAAATAGTGGTGTTCCTAGAGAATGGAAGTGTTGACGACACTGAGTGACAGTATGGGAACGGCTGAGTCAGAAAGATTGAGGGGTGGGGACGAGGCAGGGTAGGATGCTGGAATCTGCATTTTTAAGGTGAGAGTATCTCCAAGTGATAAGAAGATTGATGTTATGGCTGTGGATTGGGTGAACAAAACAGAGTATAAGGGAGGTTTCTGAAACCAACAGGTCAAGGATCCCTGAGGTTGTTGGGAGCCATGTGAGAGCAATGCCATTTCCCACACCACAGCAGTGTTCTCAAAGCCGGAGCTCTGAACCAGAAGCACCTGCATCACCTGGGAACATGGTAGCAATACAAACTCCTGGATCCCACCTCAGACCTATTGAATCAGAAACTCTGTGGAATGGGTCCTAGCAACAGTGTTTTACTGAGACCTCTGCAGACCTAGTGGAGGTTTACTGCTCATAGACCATCATCACTCAGGACAAAGACTCTTTCTCCCAGGTCCTTAGAAAAACAGTGGACATAAATGCTTTCTGTTAAATCCCATTGCTGAAGTCCGTTCAGAGTGAAAGAATTCTGAAACTTTTCAGCCATTTCCAGAGATGTGCCTTTTGTGTGTAAATGCATTTGTTTTATATTTACTTGAACTTGGCATTCATTTATCCACTGTGAGGTGGCCTTTTAACCAAGGCCCAGGTTTCCAATTAAACCTGCCTCCTTCACCCCAATTTTTTTTGAGACAGTCTTGCTCTGTCACCCAGGCTGGAGTGCAGTAGCACGATCTCAGCTCACTGCAACCTCTACCTGCTGGGTTCAAGCAATTCTCCTGCCTCAGCCTCCCAAGTAGCTGGGATTACAGGTGCACACCACCACACTCAGCTAATTTTTGTATTTTTATTAGAGTCAGAGTTTCACCGTGTTGGCCAGGCTGGTCTGAAATTCCTGACCTCAACTGATCCCCTCCTCTCGGCCTCCCAAAGTGCTGGGATTACAGGTGGGAGCCACCATGCCCAGCCCTTCACCCCACATTCTGCTTGTTCATTGTGAATTAAAGGTGTCCACATCACTTTCCCTACTTGCTCAAGGGGAAGACAACAATTACCCTATCACCTGGCAATCCTTCCCAGGAGCTATTCCTAAGCTACCCTGATCTATCTAAGAGGACAAGATTCTTCTAAGGGTAAGTGGTCCTGATTTCCTGGTCTTGACCTAAAGGGGAATTCTGTAATTGTCTGATCTACCTTTGGGAAATAATAAGTGGCCCCAGCTTACTCTGTGGAATAGAAGATAACACAGCCTAGTCCACATGGTGGTTGGTAAACATATAGACAGACGGGAAGCAGGGACTCTTATTGGGATCCATATCACGACTCATGAAATCATCAGAGGCACCAAGCAAATAGATGGCACACCTGGAATAAGAAGAACATCAAAGGGCTTTGGAGACAATAAGGGAACTTCAAATGGTTTGCTTTCCTCTCTTCCCTCTCCTCCCAGCCCCCATACTCACATATGGACAAATGTCCAAGCCCTATTCAGCAAAGCCCATTACTCTTGGGTCCAGCTTTCAATGAACAAATGCAAACACAGGATGGGTATATTTCTCCCTCATTAGCCATCAGGCTTGTGCAGCTTCGTGAGAAGAAACGACTGTCCCCTGTGATGACCGGTAGTCATGAGGACCTTATCTCTGCTCAGCGCCCTTCTCTCCTTCACCCCACCCCACCCCACATCGAAGCCAGAGCATTTTCACTGAAGTTCAATCTGTTTGTGCCAAGGGCTCTTTCTTCTTTTTCCTCAGTAGCTTCAGTATGTTTCCACCTTGAGATGTCCTCAGTTATCAGAGGGCGACTTAGCAGTGCCCATGCTATATTCCCAGTCAAGGAGAACCTGCTCTGACAGAAAGCTGGGCCAGCAGAGCCACAGTAGCACCTTAAGGACAGCAGGCGGCGCTCCTGCCCCTTATAAAGTTACCCTGGAGGAACTGCATAGGTACACTACTGAATAGCGGTGTCCAGCAAATTCTTTTTTTTTTTTTTTTTTTTTTTTTTTTTGGTTGTTGTTGTTGAGACAGAGTCCTGCTCTGTCGCCCAGGCTGGTGTGCAGTGGCGCGCGATCTCGGCTCACTGCAACCTCGCCTCCCAGGTTCAAGCGATTCTCTTGCTTCGGTCTCCCGAGTAGCTGGGATTACAGGCACACACCACCATGGCAGGCTAATTTTTTTTGTGTTTTTAGTAAAGACCGGGTTTCACTATGCTGACCAGGCTGGTCTCGAACCTCAGGTGATCCGCCCACCTCTGCCTCCCAAAGTGCTGGGATTATAGGCATGAACCACCAGGCCCGGCCTGGAACCATTTCTTGGTTGGACACAGACCCACTCTGTCCTCCCTGGGATCTGTATTGGGTTCCCTAGCTGTGTAGTGTCTCAGTGGGGTGCCTGGACCCGCTGCCTAGCTGAAGCTGCCTCTTCAGACAGACAGAGCCTCGGTCTGGGGCTGAGACCTGCTTAGAATCTGCATGGGGTGAATGTGGAGAACACCGGCTCCCTTCTCCTGAGGTCTGGGCATTTGTTGGCGGTGTTGGTGGTCACAGCAGTATGTGGGCCCGTTGAATTATTTTAGTCAAGAATGGTAAATAACTCACTTGATATTCTGTCTCTTTGCAAACAGTGGTCTCTCTATCAGTCTTGGATTTCTTAAGGCGTTTTACCAGAGCCCACCTGATAAGAGTAGCCTTGGCTCAAACAGACATATTCTTATTCCAAATACGTGTTGTGGAATCACAAACTGAAACTGCTATATTCCAGGTGAAATAAGGAGCTGGCACTCACGCTGGACGCCTCTGTGGGGTCTTGTGGTCAGGGACTGACAGGCCATTTGCAGGACACGTTGGATAATTGTTCAAGGGACAGTTGGAATCTGGGGAAGGAAACAGAGGGGAGACAGGAGGAAGAGTCACATTACACCTCAACAAGATGTCAGCCTGGCCCTACAGAGACACCAGGTTTAGGCAGTGACCATGTCCTCTTGGAAAGGAAGAAAAAGACAAGCTCAAAAGGACACAGGCCCCAAGAGTGAGATATGAAGATGAGCAACAGTTGGAGACAGCCTGGGAGGGAAGCCGTGACCATCCCGGTACATACTCTGAGGACCTAAGAGGGTATTGCTGTTGCTGTTCCTCCTGGAAGGTCCTGATAATGAATCTATCACAGTGTGGTGTTCCTGGGCTCTTTGTTTGATTCATTACAGCTTTCTTAACAACTCATTCCAATCTTCAAAAAAAACAATTTTTTTTTTTTTGAGATAGGGTCTCACTCTTTTGCCCAGGCTGGAGTGTCTCACTCTGTTGCCCAGGCTGGAGTGTCTCACTCTGTTGCCCAGGCTGGAGTGTCTCACTCTGTTGCCCAGGCTGGTGTGTCTCACTGTTGCCCAGGCTGGAGGGTCTCATTCTGTTGTCTAGGCTGGTGTGTCTCACTGTTGCCGAGGCTGGAGTGTCTCATTCTGTTGCCTAGGCTGGTGTGTCTCACTGTTGCCCAGGCTGGAGTGTCTCATTCTGTTGCCTAGGCTGGTGTGTCTCACTCTGTTGCCCAGGCTGGAGTGTCTCACTCTGTTGCCCAGGCTGGATTGCAGTGGTGCAATCTCAGCTCGCTGCAGCCTCAACATTCCAGGCTCTAGCAATCCTCCCACCTCAGCCTCCCTGATAGCTGGGACCATGGGTGTGTGCCACCATGCCCAGCTAATTTTTTATATGTTTTTGTATAGATGGGGTTTCACCATGTTGCCCAGTGTGGTCTCAAACTCCTGCAACCCACCATTCCAACCTTAGCTAAAGTTGTTTCAATAGAACTGATATAACCCCCAAACTTAAAATGTAGATGTGTGATCCAGTTTGGTTGAATAAAACTCCAACAATTTTGGAAACAGCATGATGGTTTTTCCTGAGAAGGAATGATTTTGTGATTGCATAAACTTTTAGCTGACACTGATTGTCTGCCCAGCACACAGGACTTCTTTGAGAGTGGATCCAGTGAAAATGAGGCAGAATGAAAAGACAGAGCAGTGGATGGAGAGATCAGGGGCATCATTTGACCTTTCATATACATGTGTCTGAAGCCAGAATTCTTCCTTGAAGTTCCTAGAATTTGGATCTTTATTTTATTAGATCGGCCTGGCCCGGTGGCTCACGCCTGCAATCCCAGCACTTTGGGAGGCTAAGGCGGGTCAGTCACGAGTTCGGGAGATCAAGACCATCCTGGCCAACATGGTGAAACACCGTCTCTACTAAAAATACAAAAATTAGCCAGGCGTGGTGGTGGGCGCCTGTAGTCCCAGCTACTCAGGAGGCTGAGACAGGAGAATTGCTTGAATCTGGGAGGCAGAGCTTGCAATGAGCTGAGATCCCACCACTGCACTCCAGCCTGGGTGACAGAGGGAGACTCCGCCTCAAAAAAAAAAAAACCCGGAAATCATGTTACCAAGTATTTATTTGGGATGAGGACAGGAAATCGAGGACAAGGTATAAGAATAACAATTCCCTTTAATGCTCAAAGAAAATTATGAACTCTTTTTCTCTAGTCTGCAAGCTTAGTAGCAGCAGATTGGGTAGCGTTCACCAAGGATGAAGCAGGTCCCACCAAGATGTTCTCCAAAAATGCAGTATAGTACTCTGCAATGGCAGATCAAGCCCTTTGTTGAGCCTGGGGACCCAGAGAGAGCATCAGAAACTGAGTACGGGGTCAGCAGTGGGTGGTAAAGGGAATCTTGGAGAAGTCACATGTTGGCTGATGAGTGATGTTGGCTGTATTACAGCCGGTAGCACAAACAATCTCAGTCAATAGGAATAAATACACAGAGCAGTGCTGGTCACACAGGATTCGAGACTCATTCTCCTTTGCTTCACTTTTCTGCATTCCTGCCCATCACACACACACCTGAACACATTCTTAGGCTCCTCTCCAGGTTCTAAAACCTCCTATATAGACAGGGTGAAATATTTTCTATATACTTAAGCTTGTTTGTCTGGCTCCAGAAGGAACTAGGTAGCATCTCCTTATATCTTAAATCTAGTGAATTTCACAGTCATATCTTGGAATCAAGTTTTTGGAGAAAGAAAAATCTCTTAGATTTCTTTGGTTCTCTATTCCATTTAGATATGAGAAAATCCAGGACCAGAGATGTTAAGTATAGCCACCTAAGTGACATCTGCCACTGAGATCCAATTCCAGAGCCTGTCTCCTGTCCTTCTGTCTAGTCTGTAGCTCTGCATGCTGGCATCTCTCACCTGGAACCTGAAGAGAGCAGCTGTCATCTCCTGAAAAGTAAATGACCACATCCTGGTCATCTGCTGGAGGCTGCTTCTGGGCTGGCATCTCATGAGCTCTTGCCTGGAGCGGCTCTGCCCAGGCCTGAAGGGCCACCAGGAGAAAGGCAGAGAGGAGGGTGAGGGTCCTCATAACTGTAGTCACCTGGAGGAGAGGAGGGAGAGCAGGAGTGGATGTGTGGGAACGGAGGAGCCAGGCTGAATTTATAGCTCTGCTGCGAGAAGGCTCAGAGATGGATGCTGCAGTGAGAGGAGGTAGGCATTTCGTTGGAGAGGTTGCAGGTGTCCATTGGCCTCCACATCCTTCTGAGACTCCTCTGCTCTCCCAGCTTTCATTCTAGTGTGAATCTCTAGGTTTAGTGTCTATGCTAGCTTGGAATTCACGGTGATGATAAGGACCCTACCATTATTTCTGTTTTTACCTGTTTAAATATTTACTTTTAATATTGCAAAAAGTAATCGAAACAGTGATTTAATTCAGTAATTTCAGGGAATAAATCCTGCTTATTTTCTGAAAATGAGAGCTCTTCTCTTCAGAGATCCAGACCCTCATAACAGACCTGAATTCCACTGTAGTAGAGAACTAATTCATTGCAGGATTCAAGGGCATTATCACCCTCATGAAGGGGTTTTTGAGGTTAGGGGATGAGCAGTCTCCTATAGGAGCTGGGGTAGAGAGGACAGCAACCTCATCAGGCTATAGGTGAAACAAGTTCAGTGAGATAGAGATAGAGTTGATTGAAAGATAAAAATATGTTTATTATTTTCAGCTCAATGTGTGTAAATAGACACATTGTATGTGTCTAATATATACTACCTTAGAATTTGAGATATGTATACATGTGGTCTTTTTTCTTATACCACATACAAAAATCAACTCAATGGATTGAAGACCTAAACATAAGATCTGAAACCATAAACTACTAGAAGAATATATAGGGATAAAGCTTTTTGACATTAATCTGGGCAATTATTTCTTGGCTATGACATCAAAGGGACAGGCAATAAAATGGAAAATAGACAAGCGGGGCTGCGTTGAACACTAAAGCACCTGCACAGCAAAGGAAACCACCAACTGAGTGAAAAGGCAACACAGAACATGAGAGAAAATATTTGCAAACCCTACGTGTTAGAATGGGTAAATATCCGAATATACAAGGAAGTCAAACAATTCAATAGCAAAAAACAATTAATCTGATTAATCAGTGGGCCAGTGAGCCCCCATGATGGCTCACACAGGCAATCTCAGCGCTTTCAAAGGCCAAAGTAGGAAGATCGCTTGAGCCCAGGAGTTGGAGACCAGCTTGAGCAACACAGTGAGACTCCATCTCTGCAAAATAAATAAATAATAAATGAAAACTCCATGGGCCAAGAACATGAATAGACTTTTCTCAAAATAAAATAATGTTTTAGCAGCTATGAGTATGATCATCTCTGTTGGACACGTTAAGTAGGACATGTGTGTTTGGAAGGAAACTGCTTGAGTTTATTAACTGAGCTCATAGCCACTGCCCCCAGCAACCAACAGTCCCAGATGGCAAAATATTCCCTCACTGGTTCCCTCTGAGGTGGCCCCATAATCACGGGTCAGATTGGGAACACAGCTTCCTGGGTGGAACCGCAGTATGAAAGTTTAAGTTTTGTATTGTATTACTGACAGATTGTTAAGCTACGTGAGGCTACCAGAGTGGGCAGAGGACAGTCCCCTGTCCCAGGCCTCATGTTGCCACATCAGCAGCTGTGCACAAGCAGGAAAGGACTTCCCCTATTTAAGGGTCTTTTGGGAACAGGTGTCCTAATTTTCAGGGTTACTTTCTATTGAGTAGTTTAAATACCTGCTGGTAAGAGCAGTTGAGAAATTTGTTGGGAAGCTGGCATTAAAATAGGAGTTCACAGAGGGATACCTTGTCTATGGTCAGCCCTGGCCAGGCCCAGGTAGCTACCAACTATGAATTCTCCATGACTCCTAAGACAATTGACCCTGTGATGCCTACACTGGTGCTGAGGCTGAACTATCTGGACCAAAAGAATATTGAAAGCCACTGGGACAGCCTGGCTGTGTATCATAGTATCCACCCTGTAAGGAGGCTAGGCTAAGAATGCCACTCACACACAGATGAGGATTTGGAATATGGCCTGAACCAGCCTCCTGGGAACCTGGGGTCCAACTATAAAAACAAATCAAAGCTGTTTGGACAAACAGGTGTGTTGGAGAATGCCCGGGTGAGAGGAGTACCACCTCGGCTTGTGTTGCTAAGCAGGGCAGGTTTGTTGGACTTTCCGGAATTAAGGATGTACATGCAACATGTGGTTTCTTAGAGGGAGCAACCACCTCTTCTCTTGACCTTAGAGAGTTCAGACTGAACAATTTTTTAGGACCGTTTGGGCCTAGAAATCCTGAGATTTTTAGGTGAGACCTAATGTGTCTCAGAGGTCTCACAAGGGAGGGGGCCAAGGTGGCAGCAAGACGGTGCTGTGTGCTCAAACACCTTGTTCTAAAGCCAGTTCAGGGCAGGCTTAATGGCCACCATACACTCAGCATGAGTGGGATGATTACTCTATGCTTGGGATACACAGGAATGAGCTGGTATGGTCCCTCCTGGGTTATTTGAGGGGGAGTCCTAGGGAGAATAGTGCACATTTTAAAATGTACCACTCTCCACCCTCCTCCTCCTCCTCCTCATAGTGAGGTAAATGGCATCAGTTTTCTGGAAATGGGAAAAGAATGCAGTCACTCCTGAGGGAATAAATACCTACAGCGAGGTTGCCAAGCCCAGTGTGCAGGCCGGGCAGCCACTGTTGCCATGGGAGGGTTGTGCACAGCGCTGGTCCAGCAGGCCGGATACACAGGACCTCCCCTGCAGCTCTGTGTGAAGGCAGCAGGCACCGCGCTGTGGAGGACTTGGGGCAGTGGAGTGAGAGCTGAAGCGTCTCCCTCAGTCTTAAGGAGGCAAGAGGCATCTCAAGCCTCGCTAGGGGTGGTCGCTGTTGCAGAGCAGTGAAGTCGGCTGCCCCTATGAGGAAGCAGTGAGTTCCTGATCTGTAGCAGCCCAGCAATTTCACCGTTGGAGGAAGTGGGCACTGGACTCATTCCAGCAGAGGAAGAGATTAGGGCCATTCAGGGAACTGGGCCCCAGATGATGGTTTTAGGTTCTAGGGCATTAGTAGGTGCCTGAAGGGCCCAGTGGATATGGATGTAGAGGCAAAATGAGAAGGGGTGTGTGTGCACGTGGGGAAAGTCTGCTGGTTTTGGGAAACGTCCAGTGTCCTGCAGAAGTGAAACCTGGACCAGCCTCCTGCACACAGAACACACTCCAATCCACAGGCATTTCCTCAGTAACACATGAGCATGCTGTTATGGGGAGAGCTGGTTAAATTTGGGTGTGATGTTGTTACGCACAGGTCTCCCAAGTCCATAGTTTTTGCATAACTTGTAAGGCAGCCTCATGGTGTGACCTAGGCCCTATGGTTTCCTTGCACTAGAGGGTATAGCTAATGGGGTTACATGAAGACAAATGGTGTTCCCAGCAAAATACCGCTCTATGAAGTCACCTGCAGGGTACGCAACAAAGCATGAGCTAAGAGAGCAGCTAAGCAGGGGTCCAGGTACTGGATGTGAGCCAGCACCATGTCCTGGCGGTGGTGAGGTCCCTACCCTGTAGCAGTAAGGAGAGGCTGGTTTAGTGGTGACCTCACCATCAAGGTGAGATTCCTTGGAGTCCCCTGGTTCTGGTGAGGCTCTTGTTTTCCTTGACAACCCTTGGGTTGGGGCGCTGTGGTCTGAGGCTGTTGCCATCCATGACCCCTACCCCAGTCGATTTTTCCATGAATTTCTACAAGTGTAGACTTCCAGTGTAGACGTGGTTGAAACTGTTCTCTCATACACATGCATTTGAATTTCCAGAGAATATTGAAGTGAGCCTGCGCTAGGTTGGAGCTGACCATAAGAGCCTTGACACCATCAGGCTGGAGTATATATTCTGCGGAAGCTGTGGGTGGGGCTGCAGGTGTGGGTGTGACAGGAGAGAGGGCTCCCGGAGCAGCAAGGATATTCCCACACAGCTGAGGCTGTCTGGTGGCCCCAGCAGACACAGGGTGTGTGGACCTTGGGCATGGCCCTGGAACATCGTTTTGACCTGGTAGGGAAGGGCAGTCTTGGAACCTAGCGTGCGTGTTAGCGTGGGGCAGGGCGGAGGCTGCGTGGGGGTGAGCTCTGAGGACTGTCCACCTCCCAGCTCCTCAGAGAGCACCACCCTGTCCCTCCCCTCAGCCCTTTGTCCACCCGCCTGTGGGGAGGGTCCTGGTGCTGCCTGTGCCACACAGCGACTCCCACGCCTGCAGATCCAGCTGGGACAGGCAGGAGTTCCAAGTCCCTGGCTTTTGTCTGCCTTTCCCAGCCACCTCTCACAAGCTGTCTATCTGTCTAGTATTGGCGTCTGCAGAAATTTTACAAAAAACTATGAGGGAATAACTCCGTTGAGCTGTTTAAAATGCGTCCCTAAATCATTGACTCTCCTCACACAGAAAAGGAGGTTTACTTATCCCCTATTGAATCGAGACCTGGTAACATCTTGACAAATTGAGTGCACCTGACTTAGTGCCATGCTGTTTTTCTGGGATCGGGCCTGATGAACTGGTATCTTTCACTTCCTCTCTATTGGATGGTGCTGCAACCTGAATATTTTTGTCCCTCTGAAATTCATACGTTAAAATCTTAAACCATTAGTTGATAGTATAAGAGGTGGGAGCTTTTGGGAGTTAAGAAGGTCAGAAGGGCACAGGCTTTATGACTAGCATTAGTGCCCTTATAGAAGATGCCCCAGAGAGCTCCCTCTCTGGTGAGAGGGTTCACTAGATGAGAATACAGTGAGAAGATGCCATCTATGAGTCAGAAAAGCAGCTCTCATGACACCAAATCTCCTGGCACCTTGATTTAGACTTATCAGTCCATGAGAAACACATTTCTGTTTTTATAAGCAGCTTGGTTTATGGCATTATTTTGCTAGCAGCCCAGACAGACTAAGAGCGCTGGTGACTTTGGAGCCCAGGCACCATGCTTAGAGGAAGCCTAAGTGTTGGACAGGGAGAGGAACCGAGCCCATCTACAAGGACTGGCTAGAGAATGCAAAGCAACCCGCTTTCTGGGGAAAAAAAAAAAAAAAAAAAAAAAAAAAACAAGAAACAAAAAACAACTCTGATTTGCAGTGTTTTTAAGTTTCTATTCTTAAAATTCTCCTAGCTATAGATCATTTAACAATTATTTCACAAAAACTCCTCTCTCATGAGCCAGCATGATCCGACCCCAGCATATCACACAGTCCCGTCCCTCAGTCTTGCCGGAGCTCCCACCTGAGCCAGCACTGCCTGCCCCTGTGCAGGAGTGTCTCAGCCCTGAGATCTTCAGATCCCAGCAGAACCTCTCCTCTGATGCCCCTGGAGGGAGCCAGGCCCCAGTTGCAAATGTGTGAGTGAAGACCTGATGGTGCTGTTTCAATCCTCTGAATTTTGTGGTGGCTTTTTACAAAGCAGCAGGTGAACAGGGAGAGAAGTTCTCATTGTCATGGAGAGAAGTTGGACTTGTGCACTTTTTGTATGTAAACTTTTGCTTCTCTAAAATATCGATGGATCTTCTCACTTTATTTTCAAAGTGTAACACAGAGCCCATTGTGGTGGGGGAATGGGATTGTGGACTTTTTCCAGTGACTGACTAATCCCCTGTCAACTGTTCTTAGTTTCAATTCTTCCTTGGGGAGTGGGGCGATATGGGACCCAGGTGTGGTGCCAACCTCCGCCCTCAGTGACAGATTCAGAGGTGGCCTTGGGACTTGGGTGTAGGCTGGAACAATGGGAAGGAAGTAGGGATTTTCTCCAGGAGATCAGCTATGAAGGTCACAGAGAGACGACCATGATTCACATGGCTGTCACCTGGGGAGAGAGCCCAAAGTAAGATCAAGAGAAATAAATGGGAAAAAGGTGAAGACAACAATGTAACTTATGCTTTGAGTCCTTAAATCAAGTATTTCCTGAAGCCAGAATTCCCCCTCAATTCCAAGATATAGGAGTCAAAATGTTAACTCAGCTTGTCATGGTTTGACTTTTGAATTCAAGACCCTACTAAGTTGTCTGAAAAACATCAAAAATACCAAACTCAGAGAACCTGAGGCAAAGATGGTGCAGTGCACAAGGACAGGAGATGAGAGCAGATGACAGGTGTACTGGGGGCAGTCTGGGCATCAGGCTCCCTGGTGATTCCCATGCACAGCCCGGGGGAGAACAGCCTTGTTGATGCTGATCAGCAGGGAAGGAGGGACAGGTACATGAGAGGCTGGAAGGACAGCGGGTGAGTCAGGGATGGGGAGCTTCATAGTTGATGTTCAGAGCTGGAGGAATTCCAGGTGGTGGCAGGAGTTACTGGGTGGCCATGTGGTGGAGAGCTGGGACAAAGAGGACGGGGAGTCACTGTCATCCAGGAGGACAGAGCACTGAAAGGTTGGGAGGGTGATCTGCCAGGAAATATTAGTGTGAACTCTTTCCCTTAGTTTTTTTTTTAATGAGTTATTTAGCTTTTAGTGGCAAAGGAAGAAATACAGAACTTCAAAAAAGGAAACGAGCACTTTTCTCATCTCTTACATTCTGGTTTTGTTTGTAAGCAGAGCTCAGAACAAACAGTGATACAGAACAAAACAACTCTGTACTTTTCTTGTAAAAGAAAAATTTCACCAAGACTTTCAAGAAATGTCAAGGAAACGTTTATTGAAGACTGTTGCAATAGGAGTCACAACGTTGTAATAGGAAGAGCCGTTGGACTCAACTTACCTCAAGCCAAAGGCAGGAGAATTTAAGCCTTGAGGGGAGCTAGCAGGCTAGCTCTGGAGGTCGTTAGGAGGGAAGTTGGCTAGTGTGATTGGGCCATCTGTGTTTGCTAATTTGTGCTTGTTGGAATAAGTCTCCTATCCTCTCACAGAGACAGGGCTGCTGCCCTCTTGTGTAATTACATTTATATGGATGAGGCATCTGACTTATTCAATATTTATTGTTCCACCACACGAGTGGTTCCTGGTAGAAAATCTCTTGTATGTCATCAGTGAATGTAGAGTGTTTGTGCATCCAGTGAACAGTTCTGGGTCTTACTTGAGGCCGAGCAAGTTGTCCTGGTTGTTTGGAGACCCTCAAACCTCTCCCTGAATTCTCTGTCTCTAGAGTTTGCAGTAGTCATAGCCCACCGTAGACTGCAGTAGCAGAAGCCACATGTGGTGCTCCCAGTGTGTCTTTATCCACACAGAGGAGCAGGGAGGCTCCGTCCTCATCTGCCCCTTTCCCTTGAGTTGATGGATGCTTCTCAGCACATCAGCCTGAATTCTACTGCATCCTTCTATCTGGCAACATCCATTCCTCAATTCAGTGGAGGTCGACCTGACCCTGCATATTTCTTGCCCTGATATTTTTCTCTCCACCGAACATTCTACTGTACCCCTTCTTTTAATCTACCCATGTTTTAAATACCTCTGTGTTTCACCATGAAATCTTTTCTTGCACTCAAAACCAAAATAGTCTGCTTCTTTCTTCTAAACTCCTATTGCTTCATGAAGCCACATTTTCCCAAGGATATTTTTCTATATATCAGCCTTCAATGTTTTTAATTGGCTTTTTTTTCCATGCTGCCACAGAAACTTGATATATAGACTGCTTTGTGGCTGTAGTTTTCATTTTTTCCTATGCAGTTTAGTAATAATAATAATCTAATTTTATATCACTATGTGATATTAGATATGATTAATTAATTTTATCACAATTAATTTGATGATCTCTTACTATGTACTAGGCAGTCATCTGGACCCTGTGGTACAATAATGAGCAAAACATGCAACTTCCCTTCTAGAGTACGGAGGGAAATGTTACAGAGAGTGAGTGAAGTGTACAGAATGTGAGACCGCTACAATTCTACAGTTAGAAATAAAGAGAACAGGTGGGATGGAGATTGCCCAGGAAAGTTGCTGCAGTTTAAAATTGAGAAATCAGGAAAGACCTCAGTGACAAAGTGAAATTTTTTAGCGGAGACCCCAGGTCTGGGAAATGAGCCAGGTGTACTTCTGGGTGAAATGCAGATGCCCCTGGGTGGAGTCAGCCTGGCCCAGCCGACAGTTTGGAAAAATACGGAATGTTAGTTCAGGGACCTCAGGACTTTGAAGCAGTGGCAGTTACTAGAAGCCAAGGAAGCCTCCTGGCCTTCACAATCCAAAGTTCTGTGTGTGTCCTTCACCGTCTAAACAAGGGGAAGGTTGGGATCATTTGTCTGTCAGAATGCCTTTGTCCTCCCTGGGATCTGTGTTGGGTTTCCTGGCCGTGCAGTGTTTCAGTGTGGTGCCCGGACTCCTGAACTGCCTCTTCAGACAGGCAGAGCCTCAGTCTGGGGCTGAGACCTCCTCAGAATCTCATGGGGTGGACATGGGAAACACCAGCTCCCTTCTCCTGAGCTCTGGGTGTTTGTGATTGGTGTTGGTGGTCACAGCAGTGTCTGGCCCTTGAGATGTTTTGGTCAAGAATGGGGAAAACCCACTTGAAATGCTGTATCTTTCTTTGAAGTCTGTAATCTCTCTGTCCCACTCAAACTCCTTGTGTCATTTTATCAGTGACCACCTAAGAGTAACTGTGGCTTCAATATAGGTTTTGGTATATTGTGTTTCTAATTTCATTTGTTTCAAGCAATCTTTAAATTTCCTTATTTTTTTATTGACCCATTGGTCATTCAGGAACATGTTGTTTAATTCCATGTGTCTGTACAGTTTCCAAAGTTCCTCTTATCATTGATTTCAAATTGTATTCCACTGTGGTCAGAATAATACTTGATATAATTTTGACATACATGATATAGGTTTGACTTAAAAATTTGTTGAGAGTTGTTTTGTGGACTAACATATGATCTGTCCTGGAGAATGTTCTATGTGCTGATGAGAAGAATATATTCTGCATCAGTTAGATGAAATATTCTGTAAATGTCAGTTAGGTCCATTTGGGCTAGAGTGTAGTTTAACTCTGATGTTTGGTTTTGTTAATTTTCTGTTTAAATGGTCAGTTCTTTATTGAAAGTGAGTTGTTGAAGTTTTCTACTATTATTGTATTTCAGCTTATCTCTTTAGATCCAGTAATATTTGCATTTGAATGCTCTTTGAATTTTTATATCCTTTTGCTAAATTGACCACTGTATCATTACATAATGACCCTGTTTGCCTCTTTTTGTAATTTTTGACTCAAATTCTGTTTTGTCTGATAGAAATATGGCTACTGTTGCTCTCTTTTGGTTTCCATTTGCATGGAATATCTTTTTTCATCCCATCACTTTCAATCTATATGGGTCTTTATAGACAAAGTAATTTTCTTGTAGGGAGCATATAGTTGGATCTTGATTTTCAATCCATTCAGCCAATGTATGTCTATAAACTGAAGAATTTAGTTTATACTTAATGTTATTATTGATAGGTAAGAACTTACTATTACCATTTTGTTACTTGTTTTCTGTTTCTTTTGTAACTCATCTCTTCCTTTTCTTTCTTCTTTTATTACTTTCCTCCTTAGTGGTTAAATGATTTTCTCTGATAGCGCTTTAATTCTTTGCTTTTAAAAAAGTGTATGCATGGCTGGGCACGGTGGCTCACGTCTGTAATCCCAGCACTTTAGGAGGCCGAGGCAGGCGGATCACGAGGTCAGGAGATCGAGACCATCCTGGCTAACACGGCGATACCCCATCTCTACTAAAAATACAAAAAATTAGCCAGGGGTGGTGGCGGGCACCTGTAGTCCCAACTACTTGGGAGGCTGAAGCAGGAGAATGGCCTGAACCTGGGAGGCGGAGCTTGCAGTGAGCTGAGATCGTGCTACTGCACTCCAGCCTGGGTGACAGAGTGAGACTCTGTCTCAAAAAAAAAAAAAAAAAAAATGTGTATGCATTACAGGTTTTTGCTTTAGGGTTATTAGGAAGATTATGAAATGTTCATAAGAAGTTATTTTCAACAAATGACAACTTAACTTTGATCACAAAGAAAGTAGAAGAAGCTAACAATGACAGAAAAACCTAAAAAACTCTATACTTTAACTCCCTCCCCCCCAACATTTAGACTTTTTTGATCTCAGTGTACATCTTTTTATATTGCCTATCTCTTAACAAATTGTTTTATTTATTATTTTTCATAGATTTGCCTTTAAGTATTCATACTAGAGATATGAGAGATCTACAAACCACAATTATAATATTAGAGTATTCTAAAATTGTCTGTGTACTTACTTTTACCAATTGGTTTTATACCTTCAGATGTTTTCTTTTTGCATGTTGGCATCCTTTTCTTAAAGACTAAAGACTTTCCTTTTATAATTTTGTATTAAGACAGACAGGTCTGGTAATGAATTTCCTCAGTTTTTGTTTGTCAGTCACAACCTTTATTTCTACTCAATATGTGAAAGATAGCTTTGCTGGGTGCAGTATTCTTGGTGGGAAGATTATCTCTCAGCCTGTGCCCCAGCACTTTGAGCATATCATCCCTCTCCTTGTTGGTCTGTAGGATTTCCACTGAGAAGTTTGTAGCCAGATGATTTGGAGCCTCTTTATGTTTAATTTGCTTCTTTCTTTTTGCTGCTTTTAGAATCCTCTCTTTTTCCTTTGAGAGTTTAATGACCGTATGCCTTATGATAGTCTTTTTTGTGTTGAATCTGTTTGATAATGTTTAACCTTCCTATACCTAGATATTTATATCTTTCTCTATATTTGGAAAGTTTTCTATTATTATTTATTTAAGCTTTGTAGCCCTTGCCCTCTCTCAGCTCCCTTTTGAAGGTCAATGACTTTTAGATTTGTTCTTTTGAGGTATTTTCTATATTTAATAGGTATTCTTCATTCTTTCTGTTATTGAGAGTCTGACAGCTTTCTGCTAGGCAGTTTATTTCTCAGTTCCAGGGTTTCTATTTGCTTTTTAGAAAACGATTTTGATATACTTGCTAAATTTTTCTGATACATTTCTGAATTACTTTTCTGTGTCATTGCAAAGCTTGCTGAATCTCCTAAAAACTGCTGTTTTGAATTATTGAACATTGCCATCTTCTTAGGGTTGGTCACTGGCTCCTTTGTCCATTGGGGCTGGTCATCTTTTTCTGTTTGCTGTTGTTTCTTATGCAACATCAGGTATACCGAAGACTAAAGGATGGGCTGCCATGTACCAGGCCTCCATTTCTTAATCTCTCAAATCTAGATAATTGTCTCCTACCTCATGTGTGGTAGGGAAAGCAATTGGTGTGATGCCTAACACAATGGGGACAATGAATGGATATTAACCAATATTGCCATATTTCCTTGATCCTAAGATGGTAGCTGTCTTATATTATTTTTTTCTTTCCATAACTGAATACCTAAGACTGGGTAACTTACAAAGAAAATACATTTTTTTCTTACAACTCTGAAGGCTGGGAAATCTGAGATTTAGAGGCTGCATCTGGTGAGGGCCTTCTTGCTGATAAGGAATCTCTGCAGTCCTCAGTTGTGCAGGGTATCACATGGTGAGGCGGGACACACTGAGAGGAACTGGCTTTTACAACAGACTCACAGCAGACTCACTCTTGTGACAATCTACTAACACGTTAATTCATGAATGGGTTAATCCATTCGGGGGCATAGAGCCCTCAGAACCCCATCATCTCTTAAAGACCCCACCTTTTAATAGTGTTATATTGAGGAGTAAGTCTCAACATGAACTTTTGGAGGACATACTCAAATTATAGTAATACCAATTACATAATTATAGAAGTTTATCAAAGTAAATCAAAGCAAAACCACTATCAGATTACATTTACACATAGGTGTAAGATGCATCAAAAGTTTCAAAAGCAAGGCTGGGTGTAGTGGCTCAAACCTGTAATCCCAGCCCTTTGGGAGGCCAAGGCGGGTGGATCACCTGAGATTGGGAGTTCGATACCAGCCTGGGCAACATGGTGAAACCCTGTTACTACTAAAAGTAGAAAAAATTATCTGGATGTGGTTGCATATGCCTGTATTCCCAGCTACTTGGGAGGCCAAGGCATGAGAATCGCTTGAACCTGAGAGGCTGAGGTGGCAGCTGCCTGAGATCACACCACTGTACTCCACCCTGGGTAGCAGAGTGAGACTCTGTCAAAAAAAAAAAAAAAAGAAAAGAAAAGAAAAGAAAAAAAAACCCAACAACAGTTTCAAGAATTTAATCTGTGAAAAACGTGATATAGAATATGATAGAACTAGGATATTATTAAAGTCCTTCTAAAGAACTGGAACAAGATTGAAATACAGAGAAGACTTAGAAGATTGCTCAGTAAAACTGAAGGTCTAATGTGATGGTTAATTTTATGTGTCAACTTGGCTGTTTTGCAGTGGACCAGATATTTGGTCAAACATTATTCTGGGTATTTATGTAAGGGTGTCTTATTGGATGTGATTAACATTTAAGTTGGTGGACTTTCAGTGAATTAAATTGTCTTGCATAATGTAGGTGGTCCTCATCCAACCAGCTGAAGGCTTGAATAGGGAAAAGGTTGACCTTCCCTGGGCAAGAAAGAATTCTGCCAGCAGACAGGCTCCAGAGTTGAACTGCAACTTTGACTCTTCCCTGGGTCTCCAGGTTGATGGCCCATCCTGAAGATTGTTGACTTGCTAGCTCCTTAGTCACATGAGGCATTTACTTAAAACAAATCTCTCTATACATACACATTCTTTTGGTTCTGTTTCTCTGGAGATCCTTGATCAAGACATACAGTTTATGTAGACACTTCATTTGTGTGGTCACCTGAATTTTGTGCAGCAGAGAACAGGAAGATCTGCAGTTAGACTGATTGGGGTTGGGACATGAGAATGAGGATGTGTGGGATGGAAAGATGAGGAGATATATGAAGGACATGGTTAAAATGAGAGTGAAGTGCCTTTTATCACACCTTTTTGTTTAGGTCCATGCTGAGCCAAGAATTTCCATGAACAGAAAAAGCTTCCCGTTGCCTGAAGGAAGGGTGAAGAACATCTTCTGTCTATCTTGGTTTTTGCATAACTTGCTGTCCTCCTGACCAGAGACTTGATGCTCACTTTAATAGCTTTGGGCCCGAGGAAACATTTATTTTGTTTCTTACTGTAAGTTTTACTCAGGATAGTAGAGAGTAGGGTATTCTCCCCCATGACCTTGGAGTCCTACTCCATGGAAGTTATTCATATTGCTTGATCACTGTGCTAATATAAGACAAGAGTCTTAGCTTCAAGGGAAAACTGGACATTGAAGAGATCTGCCTGGAAAACCTAGGGTTGTTTATACTGTAGCTTCTCAGAATGGAGCAGCAGAGCCTCTAACAAACTCCCACGCTGTAACTGATGTTTACATAAAGACTGATGAAGAACAGGAGATGCTATTCAAGATTCTTATAAAAACAGAACCCATTGGCCCAGCACGGTGGCTCATGCCTGTAATCCCAGCACTTTGGGAGGCCAAGGTGGGGAGATCATTCAAGGTTAGGAGTTCGAGACCAGCCTGGCCAACATGGTGCAACTACATCTCTAATAAAAATACAAAAATTAGCTGGGTGCAGTGGCACTTGCCAGTAATCCTAGCTACTTGGGAGGGTGAGGCAGAAGAATCACTTGAACCTGGGAGGCGGAGGTTGCGGTGAGCCAAGATCGTGCTACTGCACTCCAGACTGGGTGACAGAGGAAGACTCCATCTCAAACAAAACAAAACAAAACACCCAAAAAACAAAAAGCAGAACACGTCAAAAAGAAAGGGCAGAGACCAACCGACTAATCAATTTTGGCTGTGAGTAAAGCAGTTAAATAGAGGAGCATCACAGTGACTTTTAGGCAACCAGGTGGGACCTGGAAAATCCTTCCCTTTCACCCTACACACCAACCTGACCTAAGTTCACAGACTTTGTAGAGTGACCTTAACTTCCCAAAAGATGTACTTGTATAGAGCATCTGAGGTCTCCCCACTCCCCATTCTGGTTCCTGCTGTCGGAGACCCTCACCTCTTGGGTGGTGCATGAGAATGCTCGCCTTCCTCTATCATGCTCTCTTGCTGGCCCTCCACTTCCAGGACCAGGTGTGACAGCAAAAGTGGAAGAGAGTCCTGCTAAGAAAGGTTGCTGAGGCAGAGAACCAGCCCCTACCACCTATCTCCCAGTAAAGTGGAGAGCTCTCACCAAGGACCATCAGATGAGGAAAGGCAGCACCAGCCTGCACTAGCCTGGTAGGTTCTTTAATATTGGAAGGACTTTGGGGCACAGAGAAAAATCTCACCACTATTTACACTAAGTTTAAACCAGTTCTTGAGTATTAAATATTGATACAAAGGTGATTATTTAAATTCCCTTCATCTATATTGATGTAATACATTTAGTATGCCTAATTGTTTTTAAACACATCTAATACCTTAAAGAATAGATAAACATATTCCTGAAAGACAATCACAAACTTATTCATTCATTATACCAAAAATGATACAGAAGGGCCCATATCATGGATTTGACATCTTTTCTCATTTGTTTTGAGTTTACTCCTTCCTATGATTTTTGTGATCTTCCGAGACCCCAAATGACTAAACGAGGTTGCAAGTCTAGGGCCAAATAGCTGACCCTTGATCAGGAAACAGTGCTTTGCATGTGTCTAAGATGAATCAAACCCAGACTACTTGTTATTTATTATCAGGCTGAGACTTTTTGTTGTTGTTGTAATAAAAATGTTTGTTTTTTTTTGTCATGTCATGACACTGTTCAATCCCTGTCTTTTATATAAATTTTAATTCTAGAAACTTGTTTTTCTCACAAATACGTCGTTCTTAAGTTTTTGCATAGCCCTAAGTGTATGGCCAATTTTCTTATCATTATGATGTATTGACTTGGTTCATTGGCATAATTAAAAACATATTAACATATATTTTCTCACTAGCATTTTATTAAAATGAGTATAGCTTTATTATAATAAATAGAGTTCATATGCTTGAAGGGATGGAGAGTTGAGACCAACTCCTTCATTAAACATTGGTCTAATTAACCTTTTGGGGACCAGTGAGGGACCATTTGTCTCATTGGTTATTGGGCCTCGTCCTCTATGGTCACCAGCTTCTGAGCTCCTCTTCTATCTGGTTATTAATTGAGATCACTGATGCTTGTCAGTCTTTCTTGTTTTGGGCACAGTTTTAACTTTTTCCTTAGTAAACTTTATTTTATTCTATCTTGTTGATACAGTTATATATCACCAAAACAGAGTGAAATAAAGCTTAATGTAAAGTGTATATATTTAACACATCTGCTTAAAATTTCAAAAATTATGTATAGCAATGCTTTCCCACTTTTTAAAATTAAAGGACAAGTAAACATAGCCCATTAGATCTATCTTTCCTTTGAGCCAACAACCACTTTTTGCCTCTCATTGTAAACTTCTACTTTTTGAGTATCATTAGGAATGCATTGAATTTTTAAGTTTCAAACTATTCCAATTAACACTTATATCCTGTCAGGAATGGTGGCTCAAGCATGTAATCCTAGCACTTTGGGGGGCTGAGGAGAGCAGATCACTTAAGCTCAGGGGTTCGAGACCAACCTGGGCAATATGGTGAAACCCTGTCTCTACAAAAAAATACAAACCATTAGTAGGGTGTGGTGGCACATGCCTGTAGTCCCAGCTACTCAAGAGGCTGAGGTGGGAGGATCATTTGAGCACAGGAGGTCAAGGCTGCAGTGAGCCGAGATTGCACCGCTGTACTCCAGCTTGGGTGGCTAAGTTAGACACTGTCTCAAACAACAACAATAAAAAACCCAATTATATTCATTTTTGTTATTTTGTTATTGCTCTATGATGCTCAAATTGTGCATCATTGGAATGCAAAGACCAGTTAACTTAATGTAGATCAGAATTCTCAATACAAAGGAACCATACAAACCACCATATAACAAAGCAAAAGAAAAAAAAGGAAAAAGAAAAGAAAATTAAAAAGGTCAAACACACTAAGTTTAATGCTTGAACTTTATTTTGGAGAGAGAAATTTAGAAAGACACAAGGTACACAGAGTAAAATGTTTTTCTTTTTTCAGGACCTTGAACTGAATCTTGCACTGCTTTGGTTTCTATCTAGGAAGCTCAGCGACAGCAGAGTCTGTAGAGGCGGCCACTGATTTCACACACCCCGGAGAGGGACTCACGGGTAGCACAACGGCCGGTTCGGCAATAGCAGGTGGCTCTTGCCTGAGAACCTGTGGAAAGAAGAGAGGGTCAGGCACAGCGAGGGAGGTGGGAAAAAGGACAAGCACAGCCAGACTAACTGAGATAGTCTAAATAAGAGACACTGTATCAGTCATGTTAGGATGGAGAAAATTCATGTCTTTGTCGTAAGTGACAAGAAATCTTACTAGCTATGTGTTAGTCATGCAAGATCATAGTTTTTTTCCCCATGTGAGTCTATCCAGGATGTATTTATTACCTGCTCCCTGGTCCAACAATATACCTCTCAACCTCAGGGTTACCTACTCTTCATTCTGCTTCATCCACACGCCTAATCTTGACCTCCATGTGTGATTTCCAGGTCCTAACAAGGCTCCCTAAAGCACCTGAATCAGTTTCTGAAATGCCGCATTGTGCATGCTAATGTCATGGACCAAATACTTTGGTGCTCAAGGAGTCTTTGAAGACTTTCCAAATTCAAATTCTTCATTCTCTGTCTCTCCTTTTTTTTTTTTTTTTTTTTTTTTTAACATTTTACATATTTACTTGTTTTAATTGACAAACAATAATTGTGTATATGTATGAGACACAATATGATGTTTTGATCTAAGGATGTATTGTAGAAAGATTTAATCAAGCCTATTAGCCTACATCAAAACACACCTATAGGTTCCTCTCTAGGTTCTAAAAGCTTTTCCAATGGACAAAGTAAAACACTCTCTATATAACTAAGTCTGCCCATTTAGATCTACAAAGAACTAGTCAGTGTAGCTCTTTCTATCTTAAAAGTAGCAAATTTCACAGAAATATCTTGGAACTGAAAGTCTTAGAAAAAAGAAAATCTTTTAGATTTATTTGGTTCTCACTGATTAATTTATAGATGAGAAAATCAAGGTCCAGGAAGATTAAGTAAAGTCACTCAAGTGAGGTAGACCTTTCCACACTTGACTCCAGATCCTTTCTCCAATCCTTTTTTTCTAGATTTTGCAGATGTGCAAGATTGATGTCTCCTACCTGAGGTTCTAAGAGCAGAGAGTCCATTTCCTGCAAAGGAGATAGCAAGGTCCTGGTTGTCTTCCCCAGACTGCTTCTGGGTTGTAGCCTCATCAGCTCTTTCCTGGAGTGACTCAGCCTGGGCCTGCAGGGCCACCAGGAGAATGGCAGCAAGGATGGCGATGGTCCTCATGGCTGGGGTCACCTGCAGGAGGGAGAGCAGGAGTGGATATGTGGGGAGTGAGGAGTCAGCCTGGATTTATAGCTCTGCTGGGAGAAGACCTGAGACAGAAGCTGCAGTGAGAGGAGGTGGGCATGTGATTGGGAGGGGAAGGACTGCCTTTGTTCTCAAGATCCCTTTGATGCTCCTCTTTCTCCCAGCTTTCATCAAAGCGTGAGTCTGTATGCTTAATGCCTCTTCTTGATCCAAGGTGTTAATGATGATAAGGGTATTACTATCCTGTTCTGTTTCCCATCTGCTTGAGTATTTACTTTTATATATTCAAAAAAGAAAAACAACAGCGCTTTCATTCAAGAAGTTTGGGGATCAAATGCCTCTTGTTTTCTGAAGATGGTCCCTGGTACTCTCTGGATGACTCTCTGGGGGCAGACCTGGGACTCAGTGGAGTAGAGAGTTAATTCATTGCAGGATTCAGGGATATTACTAACCTCATGTAGGAGGCTTTTGAGATCTCGAGGTGAGTAGTCTCCCGCTGGTGCCAGTATGGAGAGGTCAATGACCTTATCAGGCTATAGGGGAAATGAGTTCAGTAAAATAGTAGGCCAAGTTTATCAGATTAAAATAAAAATTCGGATTTAGTTCAAGGAGTTGGTGTGATCTGAATGCATCACATAAAATGTGTAGCGGGTACTTCTCTCCACTTTGGGGAATATCAAAGTAATTTAGGTGCGTACAGCCCCTTTCTGAGATTTTTTTTTTAGTTTTAGAAAATTGTAAATCATGCACAAGGAACAACATTCAAAAGGTAGAAGTCATGAGCTCTCATTTCTACCCCCAGGCCTTCAGTTCTGACCCAGCAAACCATCACTATTAACAGTTACACATAGTATTCTGCACTTCGCTTTTTTCACCTGTAACATTGGCACTTTGTATATCAAAATACATGGAATGCTATTATAATTTTAATAGCCTTATACTATCCCAGGGTTTGTATATGCCATCACTTATTTTTTGTACTGATAAAATATTATAAAATTATTACAATTTGGTTATTTTTAAACTTTTGCAGTAATAAGTAAAGTTACAGTGATTATCTTGTATATATGTTCTCTTACCTATATGGATAAACTTATAGAAATAGAATTGCTGTGTCAAAGAATGCATCTTAAGCCAGCATGGTGGTACATGCCTATATTTCTAGCTATTTGACAGGCTGAGGTGGGAGGATCACTGGAGACCAGGAGTTCGATACCAGCCTAAAAACATAGTGAGACCCCTTTCTCTTAAAAAAAAAAAAAAAGAGACTATATCTTACACATTTTTAAGATATTACTACATATTTCCATAATATCACCATATTTGATCCAAATCCTTTGGGGCTCAGTGGGCCCTTGGAGAGTCTCTATATTTGAATTCCTCATTTAATTTTTTTCAAATTTATTTATTTATTCATTGAGAAATAATTTTGTGTATATTTGTAGGGTATGATGTGACGTTTGGATTGATATCCACATGGGAGAAACACATAAGCTAATTAAGATAGCCATCACCTCACCAACTTAATTTTTTAAGGAGAATTACAAATTGATTCCTTTAGCAGTTTGAAAGATACAATACATCACTATTAACTGTGGTCACCGTGCAGTGCCATAGATCACTAAGACTCTCCAGCATAACTGAAACTTTGTACTCTTGGCTCAACATCTTCTCTTTTCCTATCTCACCCACCTGCAGCTTCTGATGACCACCTTTGTACTCTAGTTCCATAAAACTGACATTTTAACATTCCATGTGTAAGTGATATCATATAGTATTTGTCTTCCTGTGTCTGGTTTATTTCGTTTAGCACATTGTCCTTTGGTTCCATCCATGTTGTCATGAATGAAGAATTTCCTTCTTTTTTTTTTTTTTTTTTTTTTTGAGACGGAGTCTTGCTGTCGCCCAGGCTGGAGTGCAGTGGTGCGATCCCGGCTCACTGCAACCTCCGCCTCCCAGGTTCACGCCTTTCTCCTGCCTCAGCCTCCTGAGTAGCTGGGAGTACAGTCGCCCGCCACCATGCTCGGCTAATTTTTTTGTATTTTTAGTAGAGACGGTGTTTTACTGTGTTAGCGAGGATGATCTCGATTTCCTGACCTCGTGATCCGCCCGCCTGGGCCACCCAAAGTGCTGGGATTACAGGAGTGAGCCACCGCGCCCTGCCAATTTCCTTCTTTTTTAAGGCTATATGGTATACCATCTTGCATGTATACCATATTTTCTTTATTCATTCATCCACTGATGAACATTTAGGCTAATTCCATATCTTGCTTATTTTGAATAATGCTGAAATGGACATGGGAGTGCAGATTCTTCTTTGATACAGTGATTTCAATTTCTTGGGAGATATACCCAGAAGTGGGATTGCTGGGTCATATGGTAATTCTATGTTCAGTGCTTTGAGGAACCGCCATACTATTTTCCAAAATGGCTGCACTAATTTACATTTCCACCAATGGCCTACAAGGGTCCCCTTTTTTTTATATCCTCACCAACACGTATTATTTGTCTACTTGTTAAAAGCCATTCTAACAGATGATTACCTCTTTATGATTTTAATTTGCATTTCCCTGATAATTAGTGATGTCGAGTGTGTTTTTCATATATCTGTGGGCCAGGTTTATTGCCCTTTTTTAAATTGAGATGTTTGTTTTCGTCTTATTGAGTGTTTGAATTCCTTATATCTTTGGGATATTAGCCCCTTATCAGATATATGGTTTGCAAACACTTTCTCCTAGTCCCTGGATCATCTTTTTGTTTCCTTTCTGTGCAGAAGTTTTTTAGTTGATGTAACCTCCTTGGTCTATTTTTGATTTTGTTGTCTTTGCTTTTGGAGTCCTGTTGTAGAAATAATTGCCCAGAAAAATGTCATAAAGATTTCCCTCCATGTTTTCTTCTAGTAGATTTACAATTTCGGGTCTTTTATGTAAGTCTTTAATCCATTTTGAGTTGAGTTTTGTGTATAGTGTGGGATAAGTGTCCAATTTCATTCTTCTGCTTGTGGATATCTAGTTTTCCTTACACCTTTTAGTGAAGAGACTGTCCTTTCCCCATTGTGTGTTCTTGGCATCTTTGTTGAAGATCAAGTAATCATAAAGCCCTGGGTATAGTTTTGGGCTTTCTACTCCTTTCCTTTGGTTATTGTGTCTGCTTTTACACCAGACCATGCTGTTTTGCTTCCAATAACTTTATGATACATTTTAAAATGAGAGAGCATGATGCCGCTATCTTTGTTATTTTTGCTCAAGATTGCTTTGGCTATTCGGGGTCATTTCTGATTTCATGCCAATTTTAGTATTTTTTTAATTCCTGTGAAAAATTGCATTGGAATTTTGATGGGGATCTACAGATCACTTTGGGTAGTGTAGACATTTTAATAATATTAATTCTTCCAATCCATGAACTCAAGATATCTTTCCATTCATTTGTGTCTTCTTCAGTTTTATTCATCAATATTTATAGTTTTCAGTGTACAGATCTTTCACTTTTTTGGTTAAAATTACTTCTAAGAATTTTATTTTTGAGTGCTATTATAAATGAGATTGTGTGGGCTTCTAAACCTTTGTGCCAGTCCAAACTCCTGTCTTTATTCTTAGTGACTCCTACAAAATTAGAAAGTGTCAAGTCATGCTATTGCCTTGAGAGAGTGGGAGAGAAGCCAGACCTTTAGAATACAGTGGAGAGGTTGGGGTGTTTGATATGTGTTTCAGTTTTTTCTTTCTTTGCAGAGAAACTGATAGAGTTTATCTCCCACTTATTCTGCCTTATGAAAATGAGAGGATCTGAATTAAATCTGTAATATCTATAATATTTATTTGAATTCGTGAATTAACAGGGAGCCTGGGAGGGACTAATTTCCTGCATCAGTGATTCCAGGTTTCATGGCCCTTGTTTTGCCCTGGTGGCCATTTAGCACCAGGTTTTAAACCATCTGTATTTGTACTGCTTCTCTATTTCTCACTGGACATTGCTAAGTTTGTAGATAGCGTTCCACAATTGTTTCCTAGCCTCCGTCTCTCTGGCATTGTCTCTCTGAATCTCTAGCAATGACTGAAGAAACAATTTGGGACATTTTTGTTCCAGTTCTAACCTTTCTCCATGAATTCTCTCATGTGTTTGATCACCCAGAGTCCTTATTATTTGGAGAAATTGATATCTTCAGTCTCTCTTCATCCTTCTCTGACCCCAAAATTAATTGGGTGAGCAGAAAATCTGGAAAGATAAATGGGTGGTTTAAAAACCACTGTCCAGGCCCTGTGGTGTGAGAGGCAGAGCTGAGCACTGGCCAAGCCAGAAGATGCCCGGTGGCCCATCTTCCCAGGACCAGGCCCTCACCGGCAGCCCATTGCTCAGCCTTAGACACAACTCTGTTGCCAGTCAAGTTTCTCATTATCTCTGGCAGAAGTATTTCTAGAGAACTCCACTGGGCTGGGCGCAATGGCTCATGCATGTAATCCCAGCACTTTGGGAGGCCAAGGCGGGCAGATCATTTGAAGTTAGGAGGTCGAGACCAGCCTTGCCAACATGGTGAAACTCCATCTCTACTAAAAATACAAAAATTATCTGGATGTGGCAGCGGGTGCCTATAGTCCCAGCTACTCTGGAGGCTGAGACACGAGAATCTCTTGAACGTGGACAGCAGAGGTTGCAGGGAGCTGAGATTGTGCCAGTGCACTCCAGCCTGGGCAACAAAGCGAGACTCCATACCCCCACCCCCCCCAAAAAAAAAGAAAGAAAGAAAAAGAAAACGGCACTGACATTATGGAAAATAATTTTAGTTTCTTAATGCGTTTGTAAATAATCATTTAGAATAAAATGCCTTTCCTGTTCCCTTTTTTCTTTAACTGTAGCAAAGTGCCCATTATCTATTGTCCCCTTGACTTCAAACGTGCTGTCATTTAAAATAAAGTCTGAAAAACTATTTTTCTTGTCCTTTATTCTGAGTCCAATCTTGCCTCTCCTATACTCAGCGCTGGGACAAAAACAGGATTTCCATCCATAATATGGACATTCACTCTTAATTTCCATACATAATATGGACATTCACTCTTAGAAGGCATGTACTCCCTGGGCGATGATTTAATTATTTAACATAAAAATTAATTTAACTGTGCTAAAAACTAAAGGGCAAGGGAATTGGCCTGAAAGAAAATACTTCAGATAGCAACAGAATCTGGTTTTATAATAGAGGTTTTGTATTCCAGGATATTCCAGGGGACAAACAATGCTTAGATGTGTGTTTATTACTGGTAACAGTCAAGCAGATGGGAGACAGGGAGAGTGATAGGGGCCTTCATGAACGTGAAGAGCAGGTGTTTCAGTGCAGCTGCTGGATTGGAGAATCATCAAAGGTCTGAACCATCAACCCAAAGGATACCTCTATCCCACAGCCACGCAGGTTTGGGGTAGCTCATTGCCCTGGGATGCTGCTTCCTCCAGATATCACAGAGCTGGGGTCTTTTTACTCCCCTTGGTCCTCAGGCTCCTTCGGTCCCTTGAGAGACAGTGACCTCTAGGAGGCTCACAGCCCTGAGAGCCTTTCCCCTTGTCCTTCTCTGGAGCCTCTTGGAGAAAGCTCACCAGGTCCTAGCCTTGCAGCAGCCTGGGACAGAGGACCCAGATGTAGCTGTCCCCTTTGCAGGAGTGAAAACTGCATTATGGGCTTCGGGTAAGACAATGTGCTGTCTGTTGGGAGCTGCAGTCTCAGTGGTGCCATCAACTAGCTGTGGGATCATTAGTGCATGACTTCACCTATCATGGCCTCTGTCTTTCAACTCTAAATTGGGGGCAATAGAGTCTCTCCAAGGGGTCTTGGGTGCAAGACCTTGAAACCCTTGAAAGATTAATGTATGCAGTTCATCCCGCAGGCACGAGCAGACAACTAGGCAACAAATAACAGCCACTTAAAGCTTTCTTAGCCTAAGCTGCTTTCAGAAACAGCCTGTCAAAGTTTCTCCAGGCTCTACGGTGCCTTTGAATATCACATTTTTAACCCCAAAGTCCATGTAATTCATTCTGGCAATCACCCAATATTATTCAAATTTCATGTAGTTCATTCAGGCAATCACCCAATATTACTGAAATTTTAATCTTCTCTTAGAATACTCATTCTCCATGAAATCTTTTCCAAATGTATAGTGCTAAATGCTGTCAATTTCAGAATGATTCCTGCATTTATATCTTCAGCTCCAACCACCCAGCTGAATTCCAGACTCTGGAACACATTTCCTGTCGTGTGCGCTAGAATCTCCAACAGATTCCTCACCCCTAATGTCCAAAACTAAACTCTTCACTGTACATCTCCCCAGCTTGCAGGCACCACACACACATACAGGTGTTGTCATTTCAGAAAATGGCACCAGTGTCTCTGCAGTTGTTCAGGGCAAAAAATAAAAATATTCTTCAGATATCCTAATATTCCATATTCTTACATCAGCAACTTCTGTTGCTTCTGTACCTTCAATATAAATTTTGAATGGGGCCATTTCTTATCCCCTGCACTGCCAGCACCCTGGTGCAATATACACTGGCTTCTCATCTGGGCTTCCTCAGCCCCCTTGTAACTGGGCTCCCGCTGATACTGGGCTCTGTGCTGCCTCTGAGCACCCGTTTTCCAGAGCTGGTCAATACCCCTGTCTAGCGAGGTTCTTTCCCAGCCATTTTCAAGATGCAACACCCAGGTACTAAGTCCTGACAGGCACTAATCTCCACGGTTCTCCAGGAATGAACAAATAAGGGAATAACCACACATATCCCATGTATCCACAAACGTAGTGCCTTTTTTTTTTTTTAAAGAGGATGGGTAGCTCATTGTCCTTTCTTAAAGAAGCACTACGTTTGTGGATACATGTGGATACATAGCATGTCCCCAAAGCTATGCTCTTGCAATTGGTGTCCAGCAGCCTCTGAACAAGTGAGGAAGGTTCATCCAATAGTGCAAAACTGGGCTGTAGGTGCCCACCAGGAGGAGCCAGAGGTCCTCATGTTCATGAAGGCCCTTATCTCTCTCCCTGTCTCCCATCTGCTTGACTGTTACCAGCAATAAATATGGTCATGTCTAACCATCATTTGTCCCCTGGAATATCCTGGAATACAAAACCTCTATTATAAAACCGGATTCTGTTGCTATCTTATTTTCTTCCAGGCCAATTGTCTTGCACATTACTTTGTAACACAGTCAAGTTAATTCCTATGTTAAATAATTAACTCATCCGTCAGGGGAGTACATACATTCTAAGAGTGAATGTTCATATTATGGATGGAAATCCTGTTTTTGTCCTGGCCCTGAGTGACCTGGACAAGTAGATCTTTCTACCCTGAGATCCAGCTCCTCAGGGTAGAAAGTGCAGAGCTGACATCTCTATGAAAATGACCAGGGCAATAGAAACAAAAAGGTAAGAAAAAAGGTAAAGAAAAAAATAAGGTAAAGAAAAGGGGGGACTACATGGCCCAAATACATTGAGCTTACTGTGAAAACTCATTTTTGGAGATAGAGAGAAGATAAAGAACAAGGAAGAGAGACTAAATTGTTCGTTTCCAGGTTTTCAAATGGAATCTTGTCCTGATTTGGGTCTCAATTAACAAAGCACAAGGACAGCTGAGCCTGTAACAGGTGTTGCTGAGGATACAGGACCGAGAGTGATACTCAGTGGCAACATGCAGGTCTGCAACTGCAGGTGCCTCTCACCTGGTGACCTGCAGGAAGATGGAGGAGCATATTGGGCACAGTGCTCGGTTTGGGGGTACGGGAAATCAGATCAGAGCAGCCCAGAGGAGGACTGTGTTCTAATAGAGCAGGTTCTAATAGAGCAGAATAAAGAGATCATAACTGGCCATCTGTCGGCCATTCAAGATCTGGTGCTTCCTTTCATGTTTTCTGTCATTTATATCACACAGTCCCCACTCCCTGCACACAGGCACTGAGACTCAGAGACATGCACATGCACGTCTATAACACATACATCCCCAGTTTCCACCTCACAACACACTCCACTCACCACACAGGCGTGCACATACCTGCACAATATAAACATACAAACATATGCACAGGTGCACGCATGCACACACACCCTGAAGTGCAGACTCCAAACTCTAATATATCTGGTTTAGTCTCTGAGGCTGAAGCTGCTCAGAGGGCGCCTCCCGCGATGCGGGGAGTAATATCTCCCCCTCTCCCCCCCGGGCTATTACCAGCCACATCACAGGGGGGTGAGGGCGCCCCCCGCGATGCGGGGAGTAATATCGCCCCCCTCTCCCCCCTTGCATATTACGAGCCACGGTGGTCACACAGCGTGTTGACATTATTGTCAATAATATCTTCTCTCCCTCTGGAAATGACCAACTAGATCACAGACCGGTGTACATCCTCTTCACTATTTGTAGTAATAGCATCCTCTTCCCCCTGGATATTAAGAACAGTATCACAGGAGTCTTTCTACCCCCAGCGGCATTGGGTGTAGTATCGTCCTCTCCCACGTTGAAATTATGAACTATATCACTGGGGGTGTGTCCACCCCATGCGATATTGATAGTAGCATCATCCTCTTCTCTCCTGGATCAGGGGAGCAATGTCACTGGGGTGGTGTACACTTTCTGCGGTATCGGCAGTAAGATCATCCTCTCCGCCTTGGAATATGAAGGACCATATCACAGGGGGGCTGTACACACCCTGCGCTATGAAGACGAATATTATCCTCTCCCACCCTGCACATGAGAAAAAATATCACAGGGTGGGTGTACACCTTCTGCGATATGGGGGGGAAATATCTTCTCTTCTTCTGGATAGTAGGAACAATATCACACGGGTTTGTACACTTTCTGTGATATTGGGAGTAATATCAACTTCTCCGCCTTTGAATATTAAGAACAGTGTCACAGACTGGATGTACACCCCCTGCGATATTGGGAGTAAAATCAGCCTCTCCTCTCCATGGATATTAGGAATAATATCCCAGAATGGGTGTACACCTCCTGCTGTATGGGAAGTCATATCTTCCTCTCCCTTCCTGGCTACTAGGAACCATATCAGAGGGTGGGTGTACACAGCCTGCGATATTGCGAGTAATATCACCCTCTACCCCTCCGGATATTAGGAACAATATCACAGAAGGGGTGTACACTTTCTGCGATACTGGGAGTCATAGCATTGTCTTCTTCCGTGAATATTAGGAGCAATTTCACCGGGTGGATGTACACCCACTGCTCTATTGGGAGTGACGTCATACTCCACCCCCTGGAGATTATATTCGGATCAATATCACTGGGTGGGTGTACACCTACTGCAATATTGAACATAATATCATGCTCTCTCCCTCCCTGGACATTAGGAGCAATATCACAGGTAGGTGTACACCCACTGAGGTATTAGGCGTAATATTCATATTCATTATTCCTCATTTATTAGTCACATGAATATGAATTACCAATATTAATATTAATAACAAATTGCTGATAAAAAGTGTTCAAAATATTAATATTAATTATTAGGAGCTAATATTACTGTTTTCTAATGTATAAGATCAATATCAGTTATTAATATCAGGCATTATTAATCATTAATATTAATCATTTATTGTTATCATTCGTATAACTATTTAATATTAATTATCATTATTATTGGTATTGATGTTAAAAATTATATTTTCAGTTATTAATGTCGATAATTATTAGTATCAATTAATAATGGATGTTATTAATTGCGATAAGTAATATTGATATTAAAATCGATATTATTGATTATCAATTATTAATTGCGATAAGTAATATTGATGTTGAAATGGATATTATTTATTATTAATTATTAATTGCGATAATAATATTAATTGCGATAAGTAATATTGATATTGAAATTGATATTATTAATTGTGACAAGTAATATCGATATTAAAATGGATATTAGTGATTATTAATTATTAATTGCGATAATGATATTAATTGCGATAATGATATTAATTGCGATAAGTAATATTCATATTAAAATTGATAGTATTAATTGCTATAAGTAATATTGATATTAAAATTGATATTATTAATTGCGATAAGTAATTTTGCCCCATTCCACATAATATCTGTGATCTTGTTGCTAATACCCAGGCGGGGAGAGGACGTTATTAATCCCAATAATCCGGAAGGTGTAGACCTCCCCTGTGATATTGTCCCTAATATCCAAAGGTGGAGAGGAAGATATACCTCCCAATTTCGCAGGGGTTGTACACCACCCCTGTGACATTGTTCCTAATGTCCAGGGGTAGAGAAAATGACATGACTCACAATAAGGCAGGGGGTGAACACCCCGTCCATGATATTGTTCCTAATATTCAGGGGGGAAGAGTATGATGTTACTCCCAATATCACAGGCGGTGTACTCCCCATATCCCAGGTTGTGGATAGTATCCCGATCTGTGATAGACTCCGCCACGATGTGGGGAGTAATGTCATCCCCCTCTCCTTCCCTCGGTATTACGATACACATCGCAGGGGGGCGGGCGACCCCTACGATGCGGGGAGAAAAATCACCCCCCACCCCTGATATTACGAGCCACATCGCAGGGGGGTGGACACCCCCAGTGATGCGGGGAGTAATATCTATCCCCCTTCCCCATGGATATTAGGAGCCACATCACAGGGGCGTGGACACCCTCCGCTGATGCGCAGAGTAATATCAACCCCCATCCCTCCCTGCATGTTAGCAGTCACTGAGGACACACAGTGTATTTACCATATTTCCAGTAAGATCATCTTTTCAATTGAACCTTATGAACAAGATCACAGAGGGGTGTACACTTCCTGCGATACTGGGGGTAATAGCGTTCTCTCCTCCACTGCATACTGGGAACAATATCACAGGGGTGTGTATTCCTCCTTCCATATTGAGAGTCATATCATACTTGCCTTCCATATATTAAGAACAATAGCAAAGAGGGGAGTGGACACTGTGACGATATTAGGAGTAACATCATTCTCTCTACCCCTGGATATTAGTAGCAATATCACAGGGGGATGTACATTTCTTGTGATATTGAGAGTAGTAGTATTGTCTTCCCCGGTGGATATGAAAAACAATACCACAAGGGGCGTCAAACCACCTGCCAAATTTGAGGGCATGTTATCCTCTCCGCCCCCGGATATTAGAGACAATAACACAGGGGTAATGTACACCCACTGCTTGATCGGGAGAAGGATCATCCTCTCCCTTCTTGGATATTAGGAACAATATCACGGGGGTGGGGGGGGGGTGTACTGCCTCTGCGATATTGGGAGTAAAACTCTCCTGTCTTCCCCTGGATATTAGGAAGTGTATCAGAGGGGGAGGGTGCACATTCCCTGCGATATTCAATGTAATCTTATGCTCTCCCTCCCAGGGTATGAAGAACAATATTACAGGAGGGGTGTACACCCTCTGCGATATTGGGAGTCATATCATCCTCTTTCGCTCTGGATATTAGGAAGAATATCACAGGGCTGTGTACACCCCCTGTGATATTGGGAGTCATATCATCCTGTGGCCCTGAGGAGAGAAACAATTTCTCTACTGTCTCCTGTCTCTGAAGAGGAGGAGGAAGTAAAAGTGGGAAAACAACAGGAATGAAGTCAGTGGCAAGACCAGCCGGTGGCACTGATGAGCCGGTCTGCGGTGAAAAGATTAACCCCCCCTTAGATTAACCCTAAGCACATGTGCTCTGAATCCATCACGGCCCTTTCACGTGGAACCCCTTGGAGTTGTAAGCCCTTAAACGGGCCAGGAACTCTGTCTTCCTTGGAGGAGCTGGGTTCTTAAGACAAGAGTCTGTCGATACTCTCGGCCGAGTAAAAAAACCTCTTGCTTCTTGAATCTGCTGTCTGAGGGACTTCGTCCACGGCTCATCCTACTTCATTTCTTAGTGCCCTGATTGGGAATCAAACGGGGGCAGCAGCGGTAAAAGCACCGAATCCCAACCACTAGACCACCAGGGGAACTTTGAACCTTGGGGAAAATAGATTGCCCACCATTAGAAGTGGGTCGGCCATCAGAAGGAAGCCTGGACAGGTCCCTTGCTTCTAAGGTGTGGCACAAGGTAACTGGTAAAGGACACCTAGACCAGTTCGTATAGACACTTGGTGACAGCTGGTGCTAGACTCCCCACAGTGGCTAAGAGGGCAGGCAGCGGAAATACTAGTAGCAAAGGGACAGATAGCTAAGGAAGGATCCCGCTCCACCCGCCCAGGGAAATCAACTCCTGAAGCTCTATTCCACCCAGCGTCAGAAGATGCATTGCAGGAGATGGCACCAGAGATCCCAGTGGTGCCCTCCCCTTAGCAGGGAAAGAGGCTCCCCACTCTTGAGCCCACAGTGCTTGCGCCTCCGCAAGACAAGCGTATCCCTAGGCCACCTAGAGTAGACAAGGACTTGGGAGAAACCCCTCCCTTGGCAGCTCATTTACAACCCAAAACCGGGATCCAAATGCCCCTGAGAGAGCAGCGGTAGACTGCTATAGTTGAGGATGGTCACGTGGTGGAGAGACGTGTTTTTGGGTACCAGCCCTTCACCTCTGCTGACCTTCTCAACTGGAAAAATAATACCCCGTCCTATACCGAAAAGCCACAAGCTCTGATTGATTTGCTCCAAACTGTTATCCAGACCCACAACCCCACCTGGGCTGATTACCACCCGTTGCTCATGTTCCTCTTTAACACAGATGAAAGGCGGAGAGTCCTCCAAGCAGCAACTAAGTGGCTAGAGGAATATGCACCAGCTGATTATCAAAAACCCAGAGAGCACATAAGGACCCAGTTACCAGGAACCGACCCCCAGTGGAACCCACATGAAAGAGGGGATATGCAAAGTCTAAACTGAGACAGGGAAGCTCTCTTGGAAGGATTACAGAGGGGAGCTCAGAAGGCCACAAACGTTCACAAGGTCTCTGAGGTCATTCAGGGAAAACAAGAAAGTCCAGCACAATTCTGTGCGAGACTGTGTCAGGCCTATCGTGTGTATACTCCCTTTGATCCCCAGATCCCTGAAAATCAGTGCATGATTAACATGGCTTTAGTCCGTCAAAGCGCAGAAGACATGAGAAGAAAACTGCAGAAACAGGCTGGGCTTGCAGGGATGAATACATCACAATGATTAGAATAGCTAACCAGATGTTTGTAAACAGGGATGCAGTAAGCCGTAAGGAAAACCGCAAAGAGAATGAACGTCCGGCCTGGAGAAACACTGACCTGTTTGTTAGCTGCAGCAATCAGAGGGGCCCCCCGAGAGAGGCAAGGGAAGGGGGGCCCTGGGACAGAAACTCTGCTTGGCTGTCAGAGTTTGCAGTGTAACCAGTGTGCTTATTGTAAAGAAATAGGACATTGGAAGAACAAATGTCCTCAGCTCAACAGAAAACAAGGTGACTCAGAGCAGGAGGCCTGGGACAAGGAGGAAGGGGCCCTGCTCAACCTGGCAGAAGGGTTATTGGACTGAGGGAGACCAGGCTCGAGTGTCCCCAAAGAGCCTCTGGTCAGAAGGACAGTCTGGGATAGAGACATTGATTTTCTTGTAGATACCGGTGCTGAACAATCGCTAGTAACCGCCCCGGTCACCCCCTTATCCAAAAAGACTATTGACATCATCAGAGCCACGGGGGTTTCAGCAAAGCAAGCTTTCTGCTTGCCCCGGGCTTGTGCTGTAGGAGGACATAAAGTGATTCATCAGTTTCTGTACATGCCTGACTGTCCCTTGCTCTTGTTGGGAAGGGACTTCCTTAGCAAGCTGAGAGCCACTATCTCTTTTATAGAGCATGGCTCTTTGCTGCTAAAGTTGCTCAGAATGGGAGTCATTATGACTCTTATGGTCCCCCAAGAGGAGGAACGGAGACTTTTCTGAACTAAGCCGGGCCAAGAGATAAGACCAGCTCTGGCTAAGCGGTGGCCAAGAGTATGGGCGGAAGACAACCCTTCAGGATTGGCAGTCAACCAACCCCCTGTACTCATAGAAATGAAGCCTGGGGCCCAGCCTGTGACGGAAAAACAGGACCTGGTCCCGCAGAGAAACTCTTCAAGGGATCCAGGTCCATCTCAAGCACCTAAGAACTTTTGGAATCAGAGTTCCTTGTCAGTCTCCACGGAACACTCCCCTTCTGCATGTTCCCAAGCCACAGACCAAGGACTACAGGCCGGTACAGGATTTGCGCTTGCTTCATCAAGCTACACTGACTTTACATCCAGCAGTACTTAACCCGTACACATTGCTGGGGTTGCTGCCAGCTGAGAACAGCTGCTTCACCTGCTTGGACCTGAAAGACGCTTTCTTTAGCATCAGATTAGCCCCTGAGAGCCAGAAGCTGTTTGCCTTTCAGTGGGAAGATCCGGAGTCAGGAGTCATTACTCAGTACACTTGGACCAGGCTTCCCCAAGGGTTCAAGAACTCCCCCACCATCTTCGGGGAGGCGTTGGCTTAAGACATCCAGAAGTTTCCCACCAGAGACCTAGGCTACATTTTGCTCCAGTACGTTGATGACTTTTTGCTGGGACACCCCATGGCAGTCGGATGCTCCAAGGGAACGGATGCCCTACTCCGGCGCCTGGAGGACTGTGGCTATAAGGTGTCCAAGAGAAAAGCTCAGATCTGCTGACAGCAGGTAAGTTCCTTAGGATTTACTATCTGACACGGGGAACACAGCCTGGGATCAGAAAGAAAGCAGGTCATTTGCAATCTAGCAGAGCCTAAGAGCAGAAGGCAGGTGAGAGAATTCTTAGCAGCTGTGGGGTTTGTAGACTATGGGTCTCAAACTTTGCAGTATTAGCCAAGACTTTGTATGAGGTCACAAGGGGGCGGGGACTGGGAACCGTTTGAATGGGGATCCCAACAACAGCAAGCCTTTCATGAGTTAAAGGAAAAAATGTATGTCAGCCCCAGCCCTGGGGCTACCCGTTCTGACAAAGCCTTTTCCATTTTATGTGTCGGAGAGAGAAAAGATGGCAGTTGGAGTTTTAACCCAAACTATGGGGCTGGGGCTGAGGCCAGTGGCCTACCTCTCTAAACAACTAGACGGGGCTCCTAAAGGATGGCCCCCATGTTTGAGGGCCTTGGCAGCAACTGCCCTGCTAGTACAAGAAGCAAATAAGCTGACTCCTGGGCAAAACCTGAACATACAGGCCCCCCATGCTGTGGTGACTTTCATGAATACTAAAGGACATCATTGGCTAACCAATGCTGGACTCACCAAGTACCAAAGTTTGTTCTGTGAAAATCCCCGTATAACCATTGAAGTTTGGAACACCTTAAACCCTGCCACCTTGCTCCCGGTATCAGAGAGCCCTGTCGAGCCTGATTGTGTAGAAGTGTTGGACTCAGTTGATTCTAGCAGACCTGACCTCCGGGACCAGCCTTCGGCCATCCGTAGACTGGGAACTATACATGGATGGGAGTAGCTTCATCAACCCACAAGGAGAGAGAGGTGCAGGGTATGCAGTGGTAACCCTGGACACTGTTGTTGAAACCAGATCATTGCCCCAGGGCACTTCAGCCCAGAAAGCTGAACTCATTGCTTTCATTCGGGACTTAGAACTCCATGAAGGTAAGACTGTCAACATTTACACTGATTCTCGGTATGCCTTTTTAACCTTTCAAGTGCATGGAGCATTCTAGAAAGAGAAGGGCCTATTGAACTCTGGGGGAAAAGACATAAAATATCAACCAGAAATCTTGCAATGATTTGAAGCAGTATGGAAACCCCACAAGGTGGCAGTTATGCATCGCAGAGGACACCAGCGAGCCTCCAACTTGGTGGGCTTGGGGAATTCCCGCGCTGACTCAGAGGCTCAAAAATCAGCATCTGCCCCCTTCCGGGCATCAGTCACAGCCCCTCTGCTCCCTCAAGCACCTGATCTTGTACCTACTTCTTCTAAAGAAGAAAAGGACTTTCTCCAGGTAGAGGGAAGGACAAGTGATGGAGGAAGGATGGATTCGGTTACCAGATGGGAGAGTAGCTGTGCCACAGCTACTGGGAGCTGCAGTTGTACTGGCTGTGCAGGAAAAAACCCATCTAGGTCAGGACTCACTGGAAGAGTTGTTAGGCCGGTATTTCTACATCTTGCATTTGTCAGCTCTTGCCAAAACGGTGACCCAGCCGTGTGTTACCTGCCGACAGCATGATGGGAGTCAAGGTCCAGCCGTTCCGCCTGGCATATGAGCTTATGGAGCAGCCCCCTTTGAAGATATCCAGGTAGACTTCACAGAGATGCCAAAGTGTGGAGGTAACAAGTATTTACCAGTTCTTAGGTCTACCTACTCTGGGTGGGTGGAGGCTTATCCGACACGAACTGAGAAAGCTCATGAAGTAACCTGTGTGCTTCTTCGAGATCTTATTCCCAGATTTGGACTGCCCTTATGGATCGGCTGAGATAACGGGCCTGCATTTGTGGCTGACTTGGTACAGAAGACGGCAAAGGTATTGCGGATCACACGGAAACTGCATGCTGCCTACTGGCCTCAGAGTTCTGGAAAGTTGGAGCGGATTAATCGGACTATCAAAAATAGCATTATTGTCTTCTCCGCTGGTTATTAAAAACAATAACACAAGGGGCGTCAAACCACCTGCCCAATTAGAGGGTATGTTAACCTCTCCCCTCCTCCTCCACCGCCCCCATATATTAGAGACAGCAACACAGGGGTGATGTACACCCACTGCTTTATTGGGAGTAATATCATCCTCTCCCTTCTTGGATATTAGGAACAATACCACAGTGCGTGTATACGTCTGTCGTGAAATTCGATATAATGTCATCCTGTGCCTCCCTAGATATGAAGAACAATATCACAGGGGATGTACAATTTCTGAGATATTGGGAGTGATATCATCCTCTCCCCTCTGGAAGTTAGGGACAACATCACAGGGGTAGTGTACACCCTCTGTGATGTTGTGACTAATGTCATCCTCCCGCCCCCTGGATATTACAAACCATATCACAAGGGGCGTGTACACACACTTCGATATTGGTATTAATACCGTCCTCTCCCTCTTTGGGTATTCGGTGCCATATTTCAGGTGGGGTATACGCCACCTGCAATATTGGAAGTTCTATTATTTTCTCCCCCCGTGGATATTAGCAACTATATCACAGGGGGTGTGAAAAACCCCCTCGATATTTGGAGTAATATCGGTCGTCTCCCCTCATGAATGTTAAGAACAATATCGTGAGGGGGCTTGTACACCCCCTTTGATATTTGATATCATCCTGTTTCCCCCTGGATATTAGGAACAATGTCAGGAAGGGATGTACAGACCCTGCGACACTTGCTGTCATCTAATTGTCTCTCCCCTAGATATTAGGAAAAATGTAACTGGGGATGTGAACAGCCCTGCGATATTGGGAGGAGTATCATCCTTTCCCCCCTTGCGTATTAGGAACAATATCACAGGTGGGGTGTACTGCCTCTGCGATATTGGGTGTCAAATTATCCTCTCTTCCCCTGGATATGAGGAAGGGTATCAGAGGGGGAGGGTGTACATTCCCTGAGATATTCAATGTAATCTTATCCTCTCCCTCCCAGGGTATGAAGAACAATATTACAGGAGGGGTGTACACCCTCTGCGATATTGAGAGTCATATCATCCTCTTTCACTCTGGATTTTAGGAACAATATCACAGGGTTTTGTACACCCCCTGCGGTATTGGGAGTAATATCATCCTCTCTCCCTCTGGAGATTAGGAAGAGTATCACAGGGCTGTGTATACCCCCTGCAGTAGTGGGAGTGATATCATCCTCTCTCCCTCTGGATGTGAGGAAGAGTTTCACAGGGATGTGTGCACCCCCTGCGATACTGGGAGTAATATCATCCTGTCGCCCTCTGGATAGTAGGAAGAGTATCACATGGGTGTGTACACTCCCTGCAACGTGGGGAGTAATATCATCCTCTGCCCCCTGGATGTTAAAAAGCAAATCACGGGGGTTGTGCACCTGCTGCGATATTGGGAGTAATATCTTCCTCTCTCCGCCTGGATAATAGGAGTAATATCACAGGGGTGGTTTACATCCCCTGCGATATTGGGAGTGATATCATCCTCTCTCCCCCAGGATATTAGGAAAAACATCACAGGGGGGTGTCCACCCCCTGGGATATTGGTGTCAAACCCCCTGTGATATCAGGAGTAATATATCATCCTCTGGCCCTCTGGATATTAGGAACAATATCACGGGGTAGGGGGTGTACACCGTGCTATATTGAAAGTAATATCATCCTCTCCTTTAGAAACGAAATCACAGTGGGTTGTACAGCTCGTGCGACATTGGTAGTAATATCGTTCCCTCCTTGCCTGGATATTAGGAAAAATATTACAAGGGGGTTGTACACCACCTGCGATATTTGGAGTCATATGATTCTTTGCCCACCTGGATATTAGGAAAAACATCACGGCGCGGGGGTCGTGGAAAACCCCGGCTATTTTGAAAGTATCATCCCCTTTTTCCCCGGATACTATGAACAGTATCACAGGAGGGATGTACACCTTCTGCGATAATGGGAGTCATATTATCCGCTCCCTCCCTGAATATTTAGAAAACGTCACAGTGGGGTGTACACCCCTGCGATATTGGGAGTAATATCATCCTCTCCATCCAGGAAATGACTAACAAGGTCACGGGGGGGTGTACTCCCCCTGTGATACTGGGAGTAATGTCGTCCTCCCCAAACCTGGATGTTAGCCACAGGATCACAAAGGGGGTGTACACACCCTGCGATATTGGAAGTAATACGATCCTCTCCCCCCGGATATTGGGAAAAATATCACAGTGCGGGTATACATTTCCTACGCTGTTGGGAGTAATATCATTCTTTTCGTCTCTGGATGTCAGGACCAATATCACAGAGGTGGTGTACATTTCCTTCGATATGGGGAGTAATATCATCCTCTCCCTGCTGGGATATTAGGAACAATATCCCAGGGTTGTCCACCCTCTGCAATATTGGGAGTAATATCATCCTCTGTTTCCCTGGATATTAGACACAATATCACAAAAAGGTGTACACCCCCTGCGATATTGGGAGTAATATCATACTCTCCTTCCCTGGATATTAGAAAACAGTATCATCAGAGGTGAACACCCCCTGCGATAATGGGAGTAACATTTTCTCTTTTTTTCTTTTCTTTTTCTTTTTTATTTATTTGTTTATTTATTTTTGAGACAGAGTTTCACTCTTGTTGCCCAGGCTGGAGGGCAATGGCACGATCTCGGCCCATTGCAACCTCTGCCTCCTGTATTCAAGCGATTCTCCTGGCTCAGCCTTCCGAGTAGCTGGTATTACAGGCATGAGCTACCACGCCTGGCTAACTTTTTTTTTTTTGTATTTTTTTGTATTTTTACTAGAGACCTTTTTTCTCCATGCTGGTCAGGCTGGTCTTGAACTCCCGACGTCAGGTGATCCGCCTGCTTCGGCCTCCCCAAGTTCTGGGATTACATGCATGAGTGACCGCGCCCAGCCAGCACTTAACATTTTTATTTGACATCTGTTGAAGTTATAGATTTATACACACATTGATTGCTGTTTTATTATACACTCGCATATACATAAGATGGGAAATAGAAAAGAATAAAATGGGCACAGTATCCCTAAAGTTTCACGTTCTGAGACATTTTAAAACTATATGCTTTTTAGAAACTTGTTTCAATTAAGAAACTCTGGTATACACACACAATGAAGTATTATTCAGCCTAAAAAGGAAGAAAATCCTCTTCACTGCAGAAAAAATGGGTGAGATTGTAGGTCTCTATGTTAAGTGAAATAAGCCAGGCACAGAATGACAAATATTACATGTCCTCACTTCTTTGTAGGAACAAAAAAGAAAATCTTGCCCAGGTGTGGTGGTTCAGGCCTGTAATCCCAGCGTTTTGGGAGGCCGAGTCGCACGGATCACTTGAGGCCAGGAGTTTGAGACCCACCCTGCCAACATGGTGAGACCCCATCTCTACTAATAACACAAACAATGAGCCGGGTGTGGTGACGTGTGCCTGTAGTCTCAGCTACTCGGAAGGCTGAGGCCCAAGAAGCGCTTGAACCCGGGAGGCGGAGGTTGCAGTGAGCCCGGATTGTGCCTGTATACTCCAACCTGGGCAACAGAAAGAGACTCCATCCCACACACACCTACACACAGAAGGAATCTCAGGAAGGTGGAGAGTATAAAGGGGGTTAGCAGACGCTAGGAAGAAAAGGGGTGGGATGGGGAATGAAGACAAGTGGATAATTGGGCCCCAAAATACAGAAAGATGGAATAAATGAGTTCTAGTGTTTGATAGTACAGTATGAATATTTTAGTTCACAAGAATTTCTTGCATATTTCCAGATGCTTTGGTAAGAAGCTTCCTAACTTTCTCATTATGCTGGTTTTTAAGCTCTTCTCTTTCTGCTCTTGATATCGTGCTGGTTTTTTTGTTTTTTTGTTTTTTGTTTTGAGATGGAGTTTCACTCTTGTTGCCCAGGCTGGAGAGTAATGGTGCAATCTTGGCTCACCGCAACCTCTGCCTCCTGGGTTCAAGCGATTCTCCTGCCTCCACCTCCCGAGTAGCTGGGATTAGAGGCATGTGCCAGCATGCCCAGCTAATGTTGTATTTCTAGTAGAGATGAGGGTTTCTCTCTGTCGGTCAGGCTGGTCTTGAACTCCTGACCTCAGGTGATCCACCCGCCTCGACCTCCCAAAGTGCTGGGATTACAGGCGTCAGCGACTGTGCCCGGCACATGCTGTATCCTTATCTGTTGTCTGTTGTTGTTTGTTTGTTTTTGAGCCCAGAAATAACTTCTCACCTATATGTTCAAATGATTTTTAACATGAGTGCTAAGAAAGCTCATTGGTGGAAAAGCAGCCTTTTCAAGAAATGGTGTCGGAGAAACTTGATTTCCACATGCAGAAGAATGAAGGTGGACTCTAAGTCACACCAGGTGCAAAAATTAACACAAACCAGATCAAAGACCTAACCCCAAGCACTAAAAGTATCATATGCCTAAAAGAAAACATTGGCCACACTTTCATGACATCAGATTGGGCAATGCTCTCTGGGATATGACACCAAAAGCATAGGCAACAAAAGAAAATTAGATTCCTTGGATTACATCTAAATGACAGACACTTTTGTGCAGCAAAATCACGGCAAACTGAGTGAAAAGATAACCCATGGATTAGGAAAAATATTTGCAAATCATATATCTGAAAAGAGGCTGATATCCATCATATATAAAGAATGGCTAGAACTAAGCAACAAGAAACTCAAAGCATCCCATCAACAATGGTCAGAAGACTCGAGTAGACATGTCCCTAAAGAAGATATCACAATGGCCAATAAGCATCTAAAATGATGTTCAAAATCACTCATCATAGGGAAGCGCAAATCAAACCAAGAATGTGATACCACACATCAGGATGGATATGATAAACAAACAGGCATTGGTGAGACTAGAGGGAAGTAGGAATGCTCGAATATGATCGGAGGGAATGTAAAACCGTGAAGGAACGGGGAAAATAGTATGATGTGTACTGGAAAAATCAGAAGCAGAATGATCAGATGTTCCCGCAGTTGCATTTGTGGGTACCTACCAAAAACAATTAGAAGCCAGGAGTGTAAGACAGATTTGTGTACACCCATATTCATAGCAGCATTATTCACAACAGCCAAAATGTGGAAGCAACCCAAGGGTTCATGGACAGAAAAATGGAAAAGCACACTGCAGTTCATTCATACCGTGGAAGACTATTCAGCCTTCAAAAGGCAGGCACTTCTGGCCGGCGTGGTGGCTCACGCCTGGAATCCCAGCATCTTGGAAGACCGAGGTGGATGGATCACCTGAGGTCAGGAATTCAAGGCCAGCCTGGCCATCTTGGTGAAACCCTGTCTCTAAAGAAAATGCAAAAAATTAGATGAGCGTGGGGGCATGTACCTGTAGTCCCAGCTACTCGGGAGGCTGAGGCACAAGAATCGCTCGAACCCGGGAGGCGGAGGTTGCAGTGAGCCCAGATTGTGCCACTGCACTCCAGCCTGTGTGACAGAGTGAGACTCCATGTAAACACAAAACAAAACAAAGTCAAACTAACAAACAAACAAAAAACAAAATAAAAAAAAACAGACAGGCACTTCTGATGCAGGCCGCAACATGGATGAAACTTGAAGACATTATCGTCAGTGAAATAAAGAAATCCCAAAAGGATAAACACGACCAGGCTCAGTGGCTCACACCTGTAACCCCAGCACTTCGGGAGGCTGAGGCAGGCGGATCACTTAAGGTCAGGAGTTCAAGACCAGCCTGGCCAATATGATGAAAGCTTGTCTCTATTAAAAATACAAAAATTAGCTGGGTGTGGTGGCACACGCCTGTAATCCCAGCTACTCAGGAGACTGAGACACAAGAGTCCCTTGAACCCGCGATGTGGAGGTTGCAGTGAGCCGAGATCACACCACCGCACTCCAGCCTGGGTGACAGAGAAAGACTGTCTCCAAAAAAAAAAAAATTAAACACGGTATGATTCCACTTATCTATCAAGTGTCTAGAGTAGTTAAACTCATAGAGTTGCAAACTAGAATGGTGACCCCCAGGGGTGGGTGAGAGAGAGGAGTGGAGAGGTTGGAGAATGGGTGCAATTTCCATTTTGAAAGATAAGACTCTTTCAGAGATGATGGCAGTGATGGTTGCTAAACAATGTGAATGTACTTAATGTCATTAAACTGTAAACTGAAAAAGAGTGGAAATTGTAAATGTGTATACTGGCCATTCTATATGAACTAATATATATTTATAATTTTTAATATTTATACGTGGTATATTTTCCCATAATAAAAGATGAAAATTAAAACAGTTGGATCTTTAAAAAGAAAAGAAAGAAGCGAATAATACACACCAGCTTTCTCCTGATTAGAGGAAGAGCCCCAAAGCTTCTATGCACATTCACTTTTCTCTTCTTCTTCTTGCATTATTATGAGGAAATTCTTAGAGGTTGGGGAACTTGAGCGACTTTGGCTAATGAGGAGCTCTGTGCCTTGAGCCCCCGAGGCCACAGAATAGTAAATATTCAGTCTGTGCCTCCAGCCCTGCAGTGTGAGGTTCCAGTCCTGTGGGCTCCACACCCATCACCTGTATTAGGAGGCTCATGTCTCACCCTGTCTTCTGGCCAGCCTTGAGGACGGAGTCTGAGCCTCAATCGTGCAACACCCAGGGAGGACAGTGGACCTGTTCTCTGTGGTCATGGCCCAGCAGAGGGGAAGGGCAGTTCAGTGAGTGTAGGGAAAAGAAAGAGAGATCAGACTGTTACTGTGTCTATGTAGAAAGGAAAGACATAAGAGACTCCATTTTGAAAAAGACCTATACTTTTAAAAATCACTTTGCTGAGATGTTGTTAATGTGTAGCTTTGCCCCAGCCACTTTGACCCAACCTGAAGCTCACAAAAACATGTGGTGTATGAAATCAAGGTTTAAGGGATCTAGGGCTGTGCAGGACATGCCTTGTGAACAAAATGTTTCCAAGCATTATACTTGGTAAAAGTCATCGCCATTCTCTCGTCTCATTAAACCAGGGGCACAATACACTGTGGAAAGCGGCAGGGACCTCTGCCCTTGACAGTGGTATATTGTCCAAGGTTTCTCCCCATGTGATAGTCTGAAATGTGGCCTCGTGGGATGAGAAATACCTGACCGTCCCCCTCCTGACACCCGTAAGGTCTGTGCTGAGGTGGATTAGTCAAAGAGGAAAGCCTCTTGCAGTTGAGAGAGAGGAAGGCCGCTGTCTCCTGCCTGCCCCTGGGAACTGAATGTCTCGGTATAAAACCCGATTGTACGTTTGTTCAATTCTGAGATGGGAGAAAAACCTCCCTATGGTGGGAGGTGAGACATGTTTGCAGCAATGCTGCCTTTACTCCACTGAGATGTTTGGGTGGAGAGAAACATCAATCTGGCTTACATGCACGTCCAGTCATAGTACCTTTCCTTGAACTTCATTATGACATAGATTCTATTGCTCACATGTTTGTTGCTGACCTTCTCCTTATTATCACCCTGCTCTCCTACTACATTCCTTTTTGCTAAAATAATAAAAACAATAATCAATAAAAACTGAGGGAACTCAGAGGCTGGTGCCAGTGCAGGTCCTTGGTGCACTGAGCACCGGTCCCCTGGGCCCACTGTTGTTTCTCTATTCTTTGTCTCTGTGTCTTATTTCTTTTATCAGTCTCTCATCCCACCCAACTAGAAATACCCACAGGTGTGGAGGGGCAGGCCACCCCTTAAAGTGAGTGCTGAGGGGCGGTCAGGAGGCTTGTTTTCTTTCCTCCTCATCAGGACAAACAGGAGAGTGCGGTGGACAGATGGGAGGAGATCAATGTGCAAACTGTCTGCTCAGCAGACTGTGGAGTTTCTGTTCTTCTTTGTGGTGGGGTCTCAGAAATCTTATTCAAAGTGTTGCTTTCCTCCCCCACTGGTTGCCTTTTTCACAGACATCTCACCCATGATAGCAGGGAATGAGTCCCTCTAAACTATTCCCTCAGAACAACAAAAAGATGATGAAGGTGATGATGAGGATAAAGAGGATGATGACAGACACCATGGCATCATGAACCCTTACTGAGGGCTTCCTAAAGGCCAAGCTCTGAGCTCTGTGCTCTATGCAGCTTGTTTCATTTCATCTGCATAGTCTCCCAGTTATTAGTGCACATTTCATGATAATTTTACAGACTAGAAAAGGAGCAACGCATTTTCATAGAACTCGTACCAGATCATGAAGTCAAAAAGGGTGAAGTCCAATTTGAACCAGGCAGTCTAAGTCCAGACACATGGCATTTGGCCAGTCCTCTCCCTGCATCCAACCTGCCCTCTCAAATCCTTGTCACTCAGGCGGTTGCCCCTGCTCACTGTGCCCTTCCCTTTGGGGGTTCCTTGTAGACCACAGCTAGACCAGTGGGTGCCGCAGTCACTGTGTCAAGTATGGAAAGGACAGCTGAGATCACATCAAGGATTCCAGAAAGAATTGGCACAGGATCATTCAAGATGCATCTCTCCGTTGCCCCTGTTCCTGGCTTTCCTTCAACTTCCTCAAAGGGGACATCATTTCGGAGTTTGGCTTCCATTCCTACTGAGGAAGCTGGAAAGCATTTCAAAAATTCTCCTCCGATGTTCCTGTGGTTAAGACCTCTGAGCTCTGCTTAAAACTTTTTGAAGCTGGGCGCGGTGGCTCACGCCTGTAATCCCAGCCCTTTGGGAGGCTGAGGCAGGCGAATCACAAGGTCAGGAGTTCGGGACCAGCCTGGCCAACATGGTGAAACCCTGTCTCTACTAAAAATACAAAAAAAAAAAAAAAAAAAAATTAGCCAGGCATGGTGGCGTATGCCTGTAATCCCAGCTACTGGGGAGGCTGAGGCAGGAGACTTCTTTGAACCCGGGAGACAGAGGTTGCAGTGAACCGAGATCACACCACTGCACTCCAGCCTGGGTGACAGAGCAAGACTCTGTCTCAAAAAAATAAATAAATAAAAATTAAGAAAAAAAGTGCTTGGAAGGGCTTGGTAAACTTTAGCCATTAGCTCACGTACCACTTTGGAAGGGCAGATCTTCAGTCACTTCACCCTTGAATCCCTTTGCTCAAGACTAAAGTTCTGAGAGGAAGTCTAATCGGCTGAGTTGTGTCCATGTGGGCAGTGCAGGAAAGGATGCAGCGGGAGGCGGCTCCAGGGACGTCTTTGGCTTCCATCGTGGGGAAGCAGGCGCCTGGATTATCCACCCTAACAAATCTGGACAAAGGAAAACGAGGTTCTCTCAGGAAGGAGACATAGAGCCCAAGGAGCTCACCAAGAGATAAATAGTCATCCTGTCTTGTCATTTTCTTTTACACATGTGTGTACATTATCTTACAGTTATCACTTTGTTTTCTTTCTCTCCTTTAATTGCACCCTGCTGCCAAAAGTTAAAATAACATGAAAATGTTGAGATAGCTCAGTAACTGACTTTTGGTCAATTGCCTTTTCATATAGTGAACAGCTGCCCAAATAGTTGCCTCTGTCACTGTGCAAATTTGCAAGTGTTTGCATGATCACTCCCAATCCCCCAAGACAGGGCTGTGTTACAGCACAATTTAGTTCAGTGTTTTGCTCTCCGCAACAGGGAGGTTCTCATCCATTACAGGTTGCAGTAAAAACAGGGGTACCATAAGCAACCACCGCTTTCCTCAATGATGTGATGAAAGCAAAAGCCAAGTAGCTTGATGTATGCAACTTAAAAATATAAAAAGTTACGACCATGGGTTGCAGTTGGAGCTATGGCGGCGGCAGCTGCCACTGGCACTAGCCCGGGGTCTGGACCTGGGGACTCCCCAGAAGGGCCTGAGGGGGAGGCTCACGGAGCGTCGGTGGAAGGCGCACAGAATGCTAAAGCTTTACTAAGGCCTCTCGGAAGGGGAGGCAGCGGGACTCCCCGCGGGGCCCGACCTCCTGGACCGCACTGATCTGAACAGGGCGCACTTCGACCCGGAAGTTTACCTAGACAAGCTGCATAGAGTGTGCCCTCTGGCCCAGCTGATGGACAGTGAGACGGACATGGTGCGGCAGATCCGGGCTATAGACAGCGACATGCAGACCCTGGTCTATGAGAACTACGACAAGTTCACCCCAGCCACGGAAATTGACAAACAGCATAAAACTGTATGAGGAATTGCAGGAGACCCAGAATTTCCCAAATAACCTTGTAAAAGAACAAAGTTGGAAGATTCACACACACACACACACACACACACACACACACACACACTATATATATATATAAAAATAAAGTTTTGTTTTCATTCAGTTGTAAATATTTAGTAATTTCTATTGTGATTTTTCCTTTAACTCATGAAAGGATATTTTTAATTTTCCAAATGTATGCTTGTGTTTAGCTATCTTCTTGCTGTTGACTTCGAATTTTGTTGCATTATGGTCAGGAAATTGTGGTCTGGACAATGTCAATCGTATAGTGGATTTTGTTGAGACTTCTTTAGGGGCCTAATATGTGGCCAGTTGTTTTTTTTTTTTTTTTTTTTTTTTTTGCAAATGTGCCACATATGGTTAAAAGGAATGTGGATTATTTGTTTGTTAGGGGAGTTTTTATTTTTAAATAGATAAGGTTCTCAGTGTAATTGAAATCTAGCTTCAATTAACAATATGCTAGATCTCTCAAACCTTAGGATGTTAGTCAATGTAACACTGGACAATGCTGCTGAGACAAATAAACCCTGAATTCTGAGTTGGTTGGCACCCATAGCATAATCTGGTGCAGGGCAGGGGTTCTCCTTGGGGGCCCTTGTCCAACAGTGATTCAGAGATCTTGGAGGTTTCCATGTTTTAATTCTGCCATCTCAGAGTTTTTCACTTGTAGCCATATGGATAGGAAGAGAGGGAACATAGCTCACACTTGCCTTTGGTAACCTTGGCCCAGAAGTGATTTCTTCTTTTCCTATTTGTGGAAATGCAGTCACATGGTTCCAAACTAACTGCAAGTGAGGCTGGGAAATGTAGTCTTTCTGCATGTCCAGGAAGAGGAATGGTGTGAACGCAGCATTGTCTTTGACACACTAAGCATATGCTGAAGAGTTCTTACTCTCATAGGAGGTTTGTCTGTCCTGTGTAACTGTCTCAGTTTTTGCTTAGATAGTTTCAGGCAATGCTGTTTGGTGCATTCAGCTTGATGATTATTATGTCCTCTTGACAAAGTAGTCAAGATTCCCATCAGTTTGAATGAAAGTGTCTTACAGAGAGGGCAGGAAATGTTAATACTTTAAAGGGCCCTTCTATTCCTCCACTGTACAGATAAGAACAACAGAGTCCTAGAGAGAGGAGGTCATGGGTCTCACTCATGAGTGGCAGAATTGAAACCAACATGGCAGTAACTTTGTCTTTCCCCCATCATGTTGTTCTCCGTCTATCTTCACTCTGCTGATTTCTTCACTTGCTCCATACAGACCCCCCAGTGCCAAGTATATAAGGAGTGATTAATCTGAGCTTCTCCAGAAAGTCCATTCCTGGTAGGCACTGGGAATAAGAAATCTCAGAATATGAAATAACATCAAGGGGTAGCACTTTTGTGAATGGCTTCCAAATTAGTTCCTTTACCTTTTTCAGGCTTAGCCTGAGATGAAGCACATATTACAGAAATGTTCTCTCTATAGCATTACCTATTAGTCTAATGAGCATGAAAAAGAGGAGAGGGGACATGCTCTCTCTAGCTATTATTACCTCCACTATAGAGTTGACATACACAAACTCATTATTGCATTATGTTTTATTCAACAAAATAAATTTAATGTTGTAGTTTAAATTAAATTCGCTGAAACATCTTTATCTCCAGCATAATGTGCCTCAAGTGCCTTCTTGGTGACTGCATTTTCTCCAGAATTAGAGTACTGAAGCTATGTAATGGTGAAATTATATGCAATCTGCAAAACGGTGTGGCTATAACATCATATTTGGCCTTCCACGTAATTAAAGGAACATTTCCTCCTCAGAGCTTTTCCATCAGAGACCCAAAGGCTATCATTGTACAAATCACCCACTTAGGAAAACCTTTATTCCCAGTAGCCTATAAAAATCTGGTTATGCAAACAGATTTGCTTATTCAGTAACATTAATAGCTCCTCATGGTTAAAAAGTCCTATAATCTGTTTCCTCTGTGACCAAGTGTCGTTTTTATTTTGACATTTGGGAGCCTTTTGACTCCTTTACAGCTGGCAAGAAGGCACAGGGAGGGAACTCTCAAAAACCAACAACCTATGTATTCCCAGCCTATTAATCAATAGAAAATCACTTCAACTGGATTAGGGTCTTGTACCTGGCAGAAAGGCTCTTATGGACATAGGAATTGGATTTTAACACTTGGTATGACAACTCCTTGAATCAGATCAGATTCGTGTTTGATAGACTCTTGCCAAAAAATTGCTCCAGGTTCTGTGCAGTAGCTAAAGACTTTTCGTTGTTGTTGTTTTAAAAGCAGCATTAAATGTTTTCGTGAAGACCTTCCCAGCAGTGATTTTATTGTGAACATGGTCTTTAGCTCTGGTCCTGTATAACTCACACTGAGGAAACCTCTAACAAGTGTTTTATTGGAAGATGTCTGATGGATGGTTGCTTTTAATAACAAATCTCTTCCCTTTTTCTGTCCCCTGTGTTCTATTCTCCTTTCTCTACACGTTATTCAGGGAGGATTCACCTATTCCCAAAGTCCTTTCCTCTTTATTTCCATTCCAGAGCTCTCTGTATAACTCCAGGTTGATGAATCCAACTGCCCACTGTTTAACTCCACTTGGCTGTCTGTCTTGCATTGATCTCATCTTACCTTGCCTCTCCTGATTTCCTCTTCGGCCTGGGCTCACCACATCAGATCCACACCACCATCCACCCAGCTTCCAAAACACCTGGGCCTCCTCCTTCATTCCTCCCTCTTTCTCAGTCAAGTTAGTCTACTGTCTCCTCTCCATCCTCACTGCCACAGCCTTGGTCCAGCCAACCATCTTGTCTCACTTGGTGTATTGCAGCCTCCTACCTGGTCTACTCACCTCCCACTCTCCTTCAGCCAGACTGCTCTTCTTCTAGCACAAAGTGGATCATGACTCCCCTGCCTAAAAACATCTACTGTCTCCCTTTGTCTACAGGATAAACACGACAAAGAGCCTTTAAGATTTGGCTCCAACTTACCTCTACATTAGTCATTTTTTACAATTATATGAACATCTCTCAGCTCCTCACCCTCTCACGTCTCGATTTTTGCACATGCTCTTCCCTCTGCTGAGAATGATCTTCCACACCTCTCCTATCGACCTGGCTAGTTCCTACCATTTTCTAGTCTTCAACTGAGGAGTCCTGTGGTGGAGAAGGATTTCTCACCACCTGATAGAGATTGCATGCCCACCCACCTCCGGGCTTTTTTTTTTTTTTTTTTTTTGATGGACTCTCGCTCTGGCCACCCAGGCTGGAATGCAGTGACGCGATCTTGGCTCACTGCAATCTCCGCCTCCCGGGTTCAAGCAATTCTCCCACCTCAGCCTTCTGAGTATCTGGAATTGCAGGTGACCACCACCACATCTGGCTAATTTTTTTGTATTTTTAGTAAAGACAGGATTTCACTATGTTGGCCAGGTTGTTTTCGAACTCCTGGCCTCAAGTGATCCACCCACCTTGGCCTCCCAAAGTGCTGGGATTACAGACATGAACAACTGCACCTGGCCGATTGGGTGCCCCTTCTATGTGCTCCCATTGCCCCAGGCATACTGTCACCATAACTCTTACCATTCTGAGTTGAAAATGATTTTTTTTTTTTGCTTTTTATTTCTCTCATTAAATGCAAAGCTCATTGAAAAGAGGACAGTGGTTGTTCACTGTTGTACTCCTAACCTTTGACTCAGTGTCCTGAGGTTGGCTCTAGAGCTGTGCACACATGTTCAGACATTGGAGCACATCTTGTCTAGCACCTCTTTTGAGGTGGCTTAGAGAAAAGTCAGTAGGTACCTCCCCAAGGATGAAACAGAAGCTTCACCTAAACCAGTTCTTCAACTTCAGCCTGCATTAGCATTCTCTGAGAGCTTGTTAAAAATGCAGTCTCCTAGAGCCCACTCTTCAAGAGTCGATGAGTTGCTTCATCATCAAAATATATACAGAATTCAGCCAGTCTTCAGCGTCAGCCTGGTCTGAGCCACTGTGGACTCCCACCTGCAGAATGTCCCTGCTGGTCTCCTTGCTTCTGCTCTTACCTTCTAATTACCCATTCAAGTAGCCAGGGTGATCCTTTTAAAATTTTTTTAAATTTTTTTTGAGATGAAGTCTCACTCTGTTGCCCAGGCTGGAGTGCAGTGGTGCTATCTCAGCTCGCTGCAGCTCTACCTCCTGGGCTCAAGCCATCCTCCCACCTCAGCCTCCTGGGTAACTGGGACCACAGACATACACCACCACACCCGGCTAATTTTTGTATTTTTTGTAAAGACGCGGTCTTGCTATGTTGCCCAGGCTAGTCTTGAACTTCTGTGTGCACCCACCTCAGCCTCCTGCATTTTTAGGAGGCCCCTCTTGTAGGGATTTTGATCCAGAGGACTGGGTGCCTCATGTCTCCTCCCATCTCTCTCTTCTTTCTGTCTCTGTCCTCTCTCTCTTTCTCTTTGCCTTATAGCTGCCCTGGGAACTAGACTCTGCCTTAGGCATCCCTCTGACTCTTGTTTGCTTTTACACTGAGGCTGTTTTAAGTTGCACCTTGATCTGAAGCCTTGGGCTTCTGTTCCTATTCCTTGCTTTTGTTGGAAGGGCCGTGCAGCTTCTTGACAAATTGCAAAGGTGCCTACGAGTTTCCAAGTCCCCAAGAACCAAGCCAGATGACAAACAAAGATGCAGCCCACAGCTGGGGAGACAGATTTCATGTCCACACAGAGACTCCAAGATGCTGAACTGAAATCCACCCCGAAGCCTGTTTTCTCTCTCATTTCAGTTCAATGTCAGCTGGGGGCTTGCAGGGCAGGGCTGGTGACCATTCACAGGGCAAAGATGCTTTGAAATGTCAACTGAGAATGGTGTGGTGGTTGACAGATGGCACGACAGAACATAGATTAACATGGAAAGAGAAACTCATCCCTTGGGGGGAGTGTGTGAGGCTGGCAGCCACACAGAGGGCTTTTGCTGTGAGCTCTTGCAGAGACGTAAACAGCCAGGAGGTTTTGCTTTCTGAGCCTGAGTGGAAGCATGTTCCTCCCTGCACATTGCCGCTCTGCTGCAAATGTTTATTCCCGTTGCATTGATTAAAAGTGCTTACCAGGCCGGGCGCGGTGGCTCACGCCTGTAATCCCAGCACTTTGGGAGGCCGAGGCAGGCAGATCACAAGGTCAGGAGATTGAGACCATCCTGGCTAACACGGTGAAACCCCGTCTCTACTAAAAATACAAAAAATTAGCCGGGCATGGTGGCGGGCACCTGTAGTCCCAGCTCCTTGGGAGGCTGAGGCAGGAGAATGGCGTGAACCCAGGAGGCGGGGCTTGCAGTGAGCCGAGATTGTGCCACTGCACTCCAGCCTGGATGACAGAGCAAGACTCCGTCTCAAAAAACGTGCTTACGAAGGGGTTTGAGGGCAGTGGTGACAGTGTGAGTTATGGCTCTGCCGGCTGCCAGTGGAGCCAGTCGCTCTGCGCAGCCGTGCAAGGGTGTTTTGAAAAGTGGCTCAGCCGGCCAGGAGTGACTGGGTGTAAATATTGCTGCCACTACATACTGTAGCCTGACTGGGGCCGTGTTTGCAGAACCCCTAAACCACTACACTTGTTCAGGCTTAAAAATAAGCTTACTTTTTTGGTTGTTTTGTTTTGTTTTATGAGATGGAGTCTTGTTCTGTCACCGGGTTGGAATGCAGTGGCATGATCTCGGCCCACTGCAACCTCTGCCTCCTGCGTTGAAGTGATTCTCCTGCCTCATGCTCCCGAGTAGCTGGGACTACAGGCGTGTGCCATCATGGCCAGCTAATTTTTGAATTTTTAGTACAGACAAGGCTTCACCATGTTGGTCAGGATGGTGTGATCTCTTGACCTCGTGATCTGCCTGCCTTGGCTTCCCAAAGTGCTATGATTACAGGCGTGAGCCACCATGCCTGGTCAAACATAAACTTACTTTCTTACCTCTTCTGCTGAACTCTATTTGCTTCTTTTCTCAACTTCTGCTGAACTCTATTTTGCTTCTTTTTCCTGGATAAAGCTCTTCTTTATCCAGAAGACTTTTAGCAACAAAGTTACCCAATGCCCTTCCCTAGTCTCTCCTTGCAACTGGCTCTCGGGTTGGGGTGGGGGGGGTGTGTAGGAGGAAATCCTTGACAGAACCAATTTACATGACTGTTTGGAGTACTCTGGCTAGCCCCAGGAGGTGTTTGCATTTTTAAATTGGTTAGTAGTGTCAGAATGTTTCATGAGTAAGAGCCCAGCCTCTAAGTTGGATACCCTGAATTTAAATCTCAACATGGCCACTTTGTATATAACCAGAGGTTGGATTTGGGGACCCAATGGATCTACCATGACATGAACTTGCACCAACATTCACCTGACCTCCAAAATGCCTATTCTGACTAGTAGACCCTAGTCTCACCCTAGTGCCAGTTCAGAGCCTGTGTCCAGTGATCCTGCACAGGTCCCATTAGTTCCTTTTCTCCTATTCAGTCATCCTGGTAAAAGGCTGTGTATTCCCTTGGGGGCAGGCTGGGAGAAAGATGGACAGTATTAATTTTTGGCAGTGTAGCAGAGTCCTTTCTGGAGGGAACCTGGCTTCCCATTCAGACAAGGGACTCCGGGTCTGTGAACTGGCTCACATCTGGGAATTGACGGGAGACTGTGACTCTGTTTTTATGATTCAGATTACACTTCTGCTCACCTGACCTAGAACTCTTCTGCAAACACAGATCAAGTAAAAATGTGGCAGGCTTCTTATCTCTTTCACTTCTAGGAAAGCCACGATCAGCTGGCACCATAGGTCTCTGCGAGTCAGGCTATTCTGGTTGCAGCTTTGACTCTGCTGTCTTTTATGGTAACTGCATCCACCTTGCCTTTGGGGATTGAGTGCTCTGACCACTTGGCCCCAGCCCCTGTAGTGTGCCTATGTCATTTACCCTCTTTATATGTCAGTCTCCTCCTCTATAAAATGGGAATCCTCATTGCACCCACCCCCAGGGCTGCTGTGAGGTATAGATGGATTAGCATTTGGAAAGTAATAGAAGAGGGTCTCAAAGCCCATGTGTCGTTATCAGAATTATTTCGTGACAGGGGAGAGCTGGAGGAGAGAGGAAAGAGTTGAGCAGACCCACGTGCTCTCCCACCAGTGTTTCCTGAGCACCTACTATGTGCTGCCCACTGTGAGAGCTGTTAGGGTTGAAATAGGGAGCACAGCAGTGTAGGGGCTGCCATCAGGAGCTCAGTGGGGAGACCATTGTGCAACATGGTTCCAGCGCTTGCGGTGGGGAAGCTCAGGGAGTACAGGGGCCTAGGATCCTGGGCAGAATCATGGAAAGGACACAGCCTCCCCAGCCTGTCCTGCCTCCGCTGCCTCCCTGGCCTCCTCTGCATCCCTGGCCTCTCCTGACTTCCTGGCTTCCCCTTACTCCCTGGCCTCCTCTGCATCCCTGGCCTCTCCTGCCTTCCTGGCTTCCCCTTCCGCCCCGGCCTCCCCAGTCTCCCCTGTCTCTCCTGCTTTTGAGGTGGGCCAGGAGCTGCTGGTGCTCACTTAGCCTGTCCTGGACTCTGGGTGTAGCACTTCGATGTCCAGAAAATACGCCCGGGTTCAGCTCATCACACAGCCAAGGAAGGAGCTCCACACTGACACTAAGGGTGCATCCTGGGCTCATTCATCAGGGCATGCCTCCAAAATATTTCTCCATGTCTCCTCCCTTTGCCCACCTGCATTGTGTCTGTGCCTCAGCCCCGGCTGGGGGCCTGCAAGGATCCTCTATCTCCTCTGCCCCTGCACAGCTGGGTCCCAGGCAATCTGTCCCCCACCACACCTCTCTCCCCTTGCCCACCACGCTCCAGCCCCACAGTCCTCTTTCTGCTTCTTTCCCAGCCTCTGGGCTTTTGCACACGCTGTTCCCTCTGCCTGAACACCCTCCACTGGGCTGAGAACAACTCTCTGAGACCTCTCTCAGCTGTTGCTTCCTTTGGAACAGCCGCTGCTGCTGTCCCTCTCCCAGCTGCAAGACCGGCTGAGCCTCCTGTCTTTTTCAGTTCCCATGCCCCCAGCACTTCTCCTTGGCCTCCTTTGGCCGAATTGACAATGTCCATTCTCAATGCCTTCTCACCCAGCGCTGAGCCCCACTGGATGAAGGCTATGCCTGTCATGTTCACCGCAATATCCCCTCCCCCATCACCACGCCTGGTCCACAGTGATGCTCAAAAAAGATCTGTTGGTAGGCAATGCGAAGGTGCATTCATGTCATCCTGCAGGCGGAATTCTCCACGAGTTTTGAGCAGCCTCGGGTTTCCCACCCCCTCCAAATCATGGAAGAAACAGGGTAAGAGCAAAGACAAGGTGGCTGTGGCCGATATCCACCCTATCCGGGCGTCCCTTGTCTTCTCTCCTCCTTGGGCAGGGAGACTATCGGGGTGCAACCTGGCTGGGGCGGGGAGGAGGTGCAGGGCCTGGCCAGAGCGGGCCTGGCCACGGGCAAGGGACAGCGACCGCCTGGGCCAGGACAGGTGAGAGCGGCGCAGTCCCGGGCCCGGCGTGTCCGCGCTGCGCGGGAGAGGCCAGCAGAGGGCGCCAGAGAGCCAGGAGCGGCCCGCGGAGGAGCCCGCGCCAGCCCGATGCCCAGCTCCGCGCCGCGCGGACCCAACGAGCCCGCGCTCAGACGCCCCAGCTCCGCCGAGAGGCCGCTCGCGCCGGGTGCTTCTTCTTCCCAAGTGCAGGCAGAGCCCCTGGAGCCATGGCCAGCCCTTCCGGCAGCTCCGAAGCCACTGGCAAGCCCCGAGGCAGGGATGGCCGGCCCAGGAGGGAGGAGGACGACGTCCCTCCCGAAGAGAAGAGGCTACGGCTGTTGCTGGAGGGGGGAAGCGCACAGCCCGAGGACTGCGAGGACGGGGAGGACGCGCTGCGGCCGGGCAGGGAGGAGACCGGCACGTAGACAGGTGGCGACGGCAGAGGAGTAAGTGACGCGGGCGCGGGGGTCCGGGGCTGCCGGGGGCGCGGAGGTGCCGGGGACGCGGGGTAGAGGCGGCGGGAGGCTCCGTGGCCGGTCCCGGGTTGAAGTTGGTAATTGAGCGGCAAGTCCGGCGGGCGCGGAGTGACAGCTCGTGACGGCCTCCGAGACGCCAGCTGCCCCTTCTCGGCTGTGTGGCTTCGACTTCCTGATTCTCCCACGAGGTCCCTGGCTGGGATACCCGCTGGACTCTGTGGCTGGCCAAAAGGGGAGGGGCAGCCCCGTGTCCTGGGGGCCCCCAGCAGGGGAAGTGGCGGGTGTTGCGCTGGGCATCCTGTCTGGGACATCTGTCTGGGAGTCTGTCGGTGCCTCTCACCTGGCGAGGGGCATGTGGTGGGGGCAGGGGGGAAGTCCCTGGCGCCAGGCTTGGCCAAGCCCTGCTCTGCTGGGCTGCGGGCTGGTGGCGCTCACCCAGCTCCTCACCTGTCCCGCATCTTCCTGTTTTTTTTTCCCTTTCTAGTTGGGCAGCCAGAGTTGAGAGGAGGCAGATGGCTTCCATCCCAGAAATTGTTCTCTTTCCATCCCTACAGAGAGGGACAGAGAGGCAAAGTTCCTTGCATCCCCCGGGGCGCTGTCCCTATGAGCTCCCGGTGTCCTGCACACGTGGGCCCCTGAGTCACCGGGCCTGTGTGTGTGGGATGGGGCTCCGTGGCCAGCCTGGCCTCCTGGGGTTCACTTTCTGCTTTCCTACCCCAACTCTTCCTGTGTGGCTTTGCTGGCCTTCCACTGGGGAGGCACGTGAGTTTGGAGGGCAGATGAAGGCCTGCTGGAGAGCTGTACCCCTCAGTGAGTGCCGCCACCTTGATGGTTTTTGATGGATAATGGGGTTGACCTCTTTGTTCCTTCCACATGTTTTTATGTTTGACCATTTACTTAACTGAGCTTGTCTTAATAATTGGATTCGTGGTTAATGAGCCCCACATGGGAGAGAGGGCGGTCTTCATTCTGAACCCATTTAGGCAGCATGGGCAGCCCTCCTCGCCGTGGGTTGCATCAGAGCCCCCCTGCCCAGTCTTGGGGTTGCTCCTGGATGCTGTCTGGGAGGCTTGCTCATGGTGACATCCTCATCTCCCTGTGCACGTTACCGCATTCAGAGCTTGGGTCACCTGGACACTGAACTCAGGTGAATTTTCTCTGAGATCCCGGGAGAAGGAGGACAGTTCTCTGGAAGGTTTTCCAGGGCCGATCACGGAAAGGATGAGAAGGGAGAGGTACTGGTCGGGAACACAATTACGGTGGCAGTGTAACACCAGGAAACTTTATTGCGTAAAGTCCCTGTCACTCCCTCTACCTCCTTCTTTTACGTGGACTCTGCCAAAGACCAGGATACCATAATGCAGTAGGGTGACCAAGCGTAGTGGGACCTTGGGAACAGGAGTCTGGAGTCAGGCGGCTGGGGTTTGGATCCTGGTTCTGCCCCTCCTTCGCTGGCTGACATGGCACAAGCCACTTACCCTCTATGAGCCTTACTGTCTTCAGTGGCAAATGGATCTGTCTAGAGACCCCAGTGCCTGCGGTTGTTACTGCTGAGATTAAGGGAAACTCGTCCATAGAAGCACTTAGCGTTGTGCCTGGCACATAGTGTATGGCGGATAAATGGGACTTAGGACTGAAACTCATGCCTTAGTGTGTTTTTGCAGTGATGTTTTGTTCTGGGGTGCATCACAAGAGACAAGGTCCTTGGCCTGGCGTGGTGGCTCAAGCCAATAATCTCAGCACTTTGAGAGGGTGAAGGGGGGATCGCTTGAGCCCAGCAGTTTAAGACGAGCCTGGGCAACGTGGTGAAGCCTCATATCTACCAAAAAAACAAAAACAAAAACAAAACAAAACAAAAGCCAAGTATGGTGGTGTGTGCCTGTAGTCCCAAGGACTTTGGAGGTGGAGGTGGGAGGATTGCTAGAGCCTGGAAGGTCGGGCTGCAGTGAGCTGTGATCATGCCACTGCACTCCAGCCTGGGTGACAAAGTGAGATCCTGTTTCAAGGAAAAGACAGAGAGAGAGAGAGAGAGACAGACAGACCCACAAGAGTCTTAAGCCAGAATCTTCATGTTAAAATGCTTTCTGGAGGCTAAAAGGATGATATGTTGATAATGAAATATTTAAAAGACAGAAACCCCACTGAATTGTTTGGTCCACAGAGGGTAATGGGAATCGCATGACCTGAAGCATGATGGAGGAACTGAATAGAAACCATCCTTGTTTCCTGAATCTGAACATGGTACCCTCTTTTCACGGTGTCTGTATCTGCTCAGTCTAGCGGCCCCTCGAAAAGAGGGAATCTTGATTTTCAAACTTAAAATTTGGCCCAAAGCCCACTGCTGCCCACAATGCCCGCCAGACACATTCCTCTTCCTTTTTAGTTTCTATGGGAATACTCTTTCTGAAGAACCCATGAAGCAGTGTCAGGCTGGTACGAGGATCAGCAGTGATTTCTTTGAGGAGGAGAGCCCGTTTCTTCACTCACAGGCCATGTCTGAGTGGATCAAGAAGAACAGAGTGCCCTTTTATGAGATTTTGTCTGCGTAGACCACTAGCTTGGTAAAAATGTCAAAACCATCCTCGTTCCTTAATAGCAGATTATTTTGGACTTTTCTCTGTAAGAAGCAGCATGGGCATTCAGATGCTTTTAAGGATAAAATGTTCTTTCTCATCACCAGGCCTGGTGCTCAGGATGGCTGAGGTTTTAATGTGACTTGGTGTCCCTTGGAGTGGCTCCCAGGGTGTGATCTTGTGGTTGGGTGGCAAGGGGTTGCTTTATTCGATGGTGTCTAGAGGATGTTTTAGTAGATAAATCGGGACCCCAGGAGCCCCTGTGTTGCAAGTCCTGCTGCAGGGCATGTGTTTATAGTGGGGATGTGGGGGGATGGAGGGTGGGGGGCATTGATTTCCTGCCAATATCAGAAGTTTCACAGGCTTCTTGTGTATCCACAAACACCGACCCCATTGAGAAGGCCTAGAAAACCTAGCCCTCCCCAAGCCTTTATTGACAACTTGTGAATGATCCCAGGGTGTGTCTGACCCACAGCTCCTCCTGGAGGGAGAGAAAAGTCTCTCCTAGATATTTGGTTATCAACCTCAACCACTTGCTGAGCCTTCCCCAAGACCAGGCATCTTGTCAGAGATTTCTGGGTTGTCAGGCAGAACCGAGCATTCAAGGGTAATAACTCACTGGAGTCCCTGAAATCCTTGATGGACGCACCAGTTGAAAGCATCCAGGGTTGAAACCAGATCAGGAAGGTTATTCTCAGCTTGGGGCTCCTGCAGAGGGCTTCCTGCAGAGGTGCATCCACGTTGCAGGGATTTCCCTTCCTGCTGAGGAGAAACCTGGGTTTCTCAGCTTTGGCACAGTCACAACATTTGGGGTCAGACCATTCATGGTGGTGGTGGTGGTGGGGGGGCTGTCCTGTGTATTGTAAGATGGTTAGCAGCATCTGTGGTCTCCATCCTCTAGGTACCATTCTACCCTCCCAGTTATGGCTACCCCAGATGTCTCCAGACGGTTTCAAATGCCGTGGAGCAAGGGAGTTGTATGTGAGCCAAACCACTCCAGTTGACAGCCATTGGTCTACACTTGTGGAAATGTTTGAGGGTGAGAGTGTCAAGCTTGGGTCCCTGCTGTACTCTTTATCAGCAATGCAGTCTTGGAAAATTAATACAACTCCAGGGGCCTCAGGTTTCTCATCTATGAAATGGAGATAAATGAGATACACTTTCATGGGAAGGTTACATGGGATTTACTGAGATAATAAGACAGTACATTGAAAATGCTGGGCATAGCCTTTATTTATCTTTATTTTTTTTTTAAGATGGAGTCTTACTCTGTTGCCCAGCCTGGAGTGCAGTGGCATGATCTCCGCTCACTGCAACCTCCACCTCCTGGGCTCAAGTGATTCTCGTGCCTCAGCCTCCCAAGTAGCTGGGAGTACAGTTGCCCACCACCACACCTGGCTAATTTTTGTATTTTTAGTAGAGATGGGGTTTCACCATGTTGGCCAGGCTGGTCTCAATCTCCTGACCTAAGGTGATCCACCCAGCTCGGCCTCCCAAGGTGCTGAGATCACATGTGTGAGCCACCACCCTGGGCTGGGCATAGCATTGTAACACAGACAAAGCACAAAATACTTGGGCAATATGTTTCTACATTTGGGTTGTCTAGACTCCATCCTCCATCCCCTCATGTACTGGTGTGGTGCAGAGCAGAATATCACCCACCTAGACTGCAGAGTGGATTTGGGTGGCATCTTGGCTTTCTGCACAAGACTTGCCTGTTCCCCACCATGTCCCCCTGGTTCTCAGGGTCCAGGATTCCAGGAAGCAGGGATGTGGACAGGCAGGGCAGGTGGCCCACCCGGTTCACTCCCACGCTGGGGACCTGCAGAGCCAGATCCCTGAGACAGGGTGTTTGGACCAACATCTGGGTTTCTGGATTTCCATTTGAGCACAGCTGGACTACACAGGCTGAAGCTCTCTCTGCCGAGATATAGATATTTCCCTGGTGATGATCTTTCAAGCTGACATGAAGACATGGCCACCTGCTGGAACGTGTTGTGTCTGCTGTGGCGCTCTTGTAATTTGTGGGGCAGGCTCCTGAGGAATGCAGTGTGTAAGTGGGAAATGGTGGGAAGTTCTCGCATCCTCCCCTGGCCAAAAGTGCTGCCTGCACAGGTTGGTGGATGGTCCTTCGAGCAGGAAGAAGACATGAAGCCATTCCTGTTAGCTACGACAGAGAGGGGCAGGGTACACACTGGACATTTCGAGCCCATCCAGAGAAGCAAGTCTTACTATGCTGGGAGTACTTTGGAATGGGGGCTGTGTTGCCCTGGGCTTTAATTATTTCAGGAACATTTAACCACAGGGCTGGCAGGCTGGATCTTGATATGTGTTTCTCAGTTGGAAAGACTTTGGACCATACGGAGATGTCTTCTCAATTCTTTTAATTTCATTATGGTTGTCATTTTTCTTCTCGTGGCCTCTGGATTGTGACACAGAACTCAAGGGACAGGAGGGAGATGAGTTGGAGGCTGGGACAGGGGTCCCTGCCAGGGATGCTGGTGACTCACATGACGGTATTGATGTGCGGAGTCCGGTGCCTGGTTTGGGGAATGTTCGTGGGATATGTTCCAAAGGACTGGCAGACCTATCAGGTACTGGAGGTGAATGGTCAGGTCTGATCTAAGGGCTGGCAGTGTCAGGCAAGGACAGGAAGTTGACGTTGGACTCATTGGCTGAGGTTGCTTGGGACCCAGGGGGCAATGTGTGCCAGGACAGATGGGTCTGGGGCTAGAAAGGCAGATTTGGGCTGGATACTCGGGCTTGGGAGGCATCCCAGGTAGATAGTGGTTGAGGCTGTGGAAATGACCGCAATTGCCTGGGATGAGCATGGAGACAGACAAGATGGGGGTTTTGCTTTAAGCCTGGGGAGCCCACCTCCCAGGTTCAAGCGATTCTCCTGCCTCAGCCTCCCAAGTAGCTGGGAATGCAGGTGTGCACCACCATGCCTGAGTAACTTTTGTATTTTTAGTAGAGATGAGGTTTAGCCAGGCTGGTCTCAAACTCCTGATTTCAAGTGATCGGCCCACCTTGGCCTCCCAAAGTGCTGGGACTACAGACATGAGCCACCATGCCTGACCATTTTTAAATATTAATTGTTATGAAATATTTTCAAGCACATTTTACTATACATTGGAAAAGTCAATCATGATTTGAAAACTTCATCAAAATCCAATCAAATCTCAATTAACCATTTAATTGTGGATAGGTAAGGAGACTATTTTGACCAAAACATATTAGAACAATTAACACTTATAGATATAATCTATGTTTTAATGTTTTAGTTGAATTAAACCATCTTTTATATTCTGGCCGGGCACAGTGGCTTACAGTTGTAATCCCAGCACTTTGGGAGGCCGAGGCTGGCGGATCACCCAAGATCAGTAGTTCGAGAGCAGCCTGGTCAACATGGCGAAACTGTCTCTACTTAAAATACAGAAATTAGCCAGGCATGATGGCACACACCTGTAATCCCAGCTACTTGGGAAGCTGAGGCAGGAGAATCATTTGAACCTGGGAGACAGAGGTTGCAGTCAGCCGAGATCGCACCACTACACTTCAGCCAGCCTGGGTGACAGAGCGAGACTCTGTTTCAAAAATAAATAAATACAATAGAATTCTGAATTTTATTTTTAATAATTATTTTTGTAAAGAGAATGTCTTGTTTTTTGGAGTTGTTGAATTTATTGAATTGGCAACAATTATGTACAAAAGGGTATACAACATGATGTGATTGAAGTATGTATACATTATGAAATGGCTAAATCAAGGTAAATAACATATCACCTCCCAGACTTATTTTTTTGTGGTGAGAACACTTAAAAAATCTACTCTCTTAGTGATTCCCAAGTGTATGATATGTTGTTATTAACTATAGGTACCATGTTGTCCCACGGATCTCCTGAATTTATTCTTCTCTAAAAATGACATTCTGTGTCCTTTGGCATCTGCCCACTTCCCCACTCTGGCAACCATCATTCTACTCCGCTTCTATGAATTCAACTTTTTTCTTTTCTTTTTCTTTCTTTTTTTTGAGACAGTCTCCTTCTATTGCCCAGGCTGTAGTGCAGGGGTGTGATCTTGGCTCACTGCAGCCTTGACGTCCCAAGTTCAATCAATCCTCCCACCTCAGCCTCCTGAGTATCTGGGAGTACAGGCATGCACTACCATGCTCCAATAATTTTTGTATTTTTTGTAGAGATGGGCTATTGCTATGTTATGCAGGCTGGTCTCGAACTCCTGTGCTCAAGCAATCTGCCGGCCTCAACCTCCAAAGTGCTGGGATTACAGGCATGAGCCACCATGCCTGGCTGAGTTCAACTTTTTTAGATTCCACATGTAAGTGAGATAATGTGGTATTTGTTGTTCTGTGCCTGGCTTATTTCACTTAACATAATATCCTCCAGGCTCATCCATGTTGTCTCAAATGGCAGGATTTCCTTCTTTTTGAAGGCTGAATAGTATTCCATTGTGTATATACACCACATTGTTGCTGGAAGTTTAATGGAGGCCAGTTGGGGGAGGAGGGGGAGAAGATTCACTCTAAGTCTAGATGCTCCAGCACCCACCCAGGATGTGTGCAAGGAAGTGCAGGATGCTCCTGGTCTTGCAAACTGTGGTTTGTGGGACTCCAAAGCCCCTATCCTTCCACGATGCTTTCTGTCCTGTTATCACATTTCCTTGGAGGAGAACCCCGCCTTGGTGGAGAGCCCTGCTCTGGCTTTGTCCCTCGGCATGAGATGGCAAAGGATGGTGCCGCTGGGAGACCCTCACGTCTGCATACTGGGGGCTGTTTGCCTTCTCCATTCCTCCTTCAAGTATCTGAGCAGCTCCTGTGTGCCAGCTGCTGGTCTACAAGACGGATCGGTCCTTGGAGATCACGCTGTAGCAGAGGAGGCAGGCTGTAGCCCACAGGCCAGAACCAGCTCCCTGCCTGTTCATACATATAAAGTTTTATTGGAACACAGCCACACCCATTTCAGTGCCTATTGTCTGTGGCTGCTTTCCTGCTACAATGGAGAGTTGAATAGTTGGGACAGAGACCTATGGCCTGCAAAGCTGAACTATTTACCATCTGGCTCTCAAGAAAAAGGAAAAAAAATGCTTATCTTTGTACCCCGACAGTCTTAGATTAAGAGGACTTTGTACCACCCTGACGTCCCAGGCGGCCATGAGTCCAGCCACCCCTGAAATGTACACAAGTCTGGGCTAGGGTTGCAGCAGATGAGTCCCAATTTTGCAGATCTTTGGTATCAGGGGCACAACCCAGGATTTTGAGTGGGGTTTCCTCATCACTGTGGCTGGGCACGGGGCTAGTGTGCTTTCTGATTTTTGTATGGGGAAGAGAAAGGAGGGAGGAAATGGCAACTTGTTGCCCTGTTCTAACGTTTTCCTAGGATGGGTCTCCAGGCAAGGGCTTGGGATCTCACCTTGCACAGCTTACAAAACCCAGTGAGGCCGGCTGTCTTGGCGCTGCCACTCTGAGGGATGGAGCCCACAAATGACTAGGAAGGGAGATAAAAGAATGGTTTCTGCAAGCACAAGAAGTGGCGTTATTGAAATTAACATTTCCCCCAAGTTTTACAATGTCTAGGCATGCATATTTAAGTGTCTGCCTCAAAAGCTTTTGCTAATAACCAGATGGTGCATTTAATTTCCTTTTTTTGTTCTCTCAGCAACTTGCAGCTTCCTGCACAGCCCTACTTGCAGGCAACTGCACTGAGGTGACAGTCCTCCTGACTGCCAGCACAGATCCCCAGGGCCTCTGAGGGCCCTGTATTCTGGGGTCAGCCTTTCCCCCTTCTATTTGGCCCCAGCTGGAGGGGGGCAGATTACCCACATCCCAGCACAGGGCTCCTGCCTTAGCTTCTCTAAGGAGTCTGGCTCCCTCTGACCCTCTAGACCTCACCAGCTGAGGATCAGAGCCCCAGGGCAGGAGCCAGGGCCAGAGGGCATTGGGGGTGGTTTGAGAGTGCAGCTCTGGAGGGGGGCAGTGCGGACCAAGGAAAAGCTGCTCAGGGGAGACTGCAAAGAGATGGCAGAGTTAGAACAAGAGGGCCAGGCATGGTGGCTCACACCTGTAATCCCAGCACTTTGGGAGGCCGAGGTGGGCGGATCACCTGAGGCCAGGAGTTTGAGACTAGCCTGGCCTACATGGTGAAAACCTGTCTCTCCTAAAAATACAATAATTAGCCAGACATGGTGACACCTATTATACCAGCTACTCGGGAAGCTGAGCCACGAGAATTGCTTGAACCCGGAAGGCGGAGGTTGCAGTGAGCTGAGATTGTGCCACTGTACTCCAGCCTGGGCAACAGAGCAAGATTCCATCTCAAAAAAAAAAAAAAAAAGTCAGGACAAAAGGAGGAGGGAAGAGAAGGGAGCTGTGGGGCAGCAACAAGGACCTTAAAGGCACAGAAGAGGAAGCTTGGATTTCCAATTCCAAAGGACATGAAGACAAAGTCGCACACCTTTATTTAACCTGTTCCAGGTGAGGCTGGGCTTTGTGTATTTTCCTTGTTTTCCTTTTCCTTGTGTTCAGGCTGTTGTAGAAAGAGGTACACAGGGGCTCTGTGTGATGCCCTGTTCTGGTGGCCTTCAGGAAGCATGGGGTGCCCTGGTTTCCTTGGCTTCGTGTCCCCCTTTCCTCCTGCTACCCCTGACTGTGCACCCGACCTTATCCCTCAGACCATCCTCCTAAAGGGGCCTGGCCAGGGCTAGTGTCCTTGCTAGTCTCTAGGAAGGAAGACTCTGTGGCTTGAAAGCTTGTTGGCTTAAGTTGCAAGGTGTAGGTGCCTGGGAGGGCATGTGCATGGCCCTTTGACTGATCCATTCATGTTTTTCTTTTTTGACTCTGTTCTATGTTGTCCTGATGGAGGGGTAAGCCCCTGCCTTCTGCCTTTCCTGCCTTGGACTCTTGCAATTGGACCAGATGAGAGGGTCCATGTGGTCTGAGAATTCAAGCAATGCAGGCCAGGCATGGTGGCTCACACCTGTTATCTCAGCACTTTTGGAGGCCAAGGCGGGTGGGCCAGGAGTTTGAGACCAGCTTGGCCAAAATAGTGAAACGCTGTCTCTACAAAAAATACAAAAGTTAGCCGGGCTTGATGGTGCGCACCTGTAATCCTAGTTATTTGGGAGGCTGAGGCAAGAGAATCACTGGAACCCAGAAGGAGCAAGTTGCAGTGAGGAGCAGGTTGCAGTGAGGAGGAAGTTGCGGTGAGGAGGAGGTTGCAGTGAGGAGGAGGTTGCAGTGAGGAGGAGGTTGCAGTGAGGAGGAGGTTGCAGTGAGCCGAGATTGTGTCCCTGGACTCCAGACTGGGCAATAGAGCGAGTCTATGTTTCCAAATATATATATATATATATATATATATATAAAACAAAAAACTGAACATCCTCTTGATTTGCTTTTCTTGGTCCTGCTTCTCAGAGGTAACACTGGGAAGGGTTGGGGTATACCTCTCCACACCTTTTTCTTTGATTTCCTTTTATTTTTTATTCTATGTTTTGCAGAATGTGCAGGTTTGTTACATAGATATACATGTGTCATGGTGGTTTGCTGCACCTATCAACCCGTCATCTAGGTTTTAAGCCCTGCATGCATTAGGTATTTGTCCTAACGCTCTCCCTCCCCTTGTCCCCCACCCCCGACGGGCCCCGGTGTGTGATGTTCCCCTCCCTGTGTCCATGTGTTCTCATTGTTTAACTCCCACTTATGAGTGAGAACCCGCAGAGTTTGGTTTTCTGTTCCTGTCCACACCTTTTTCCTCTGTGCACACAAGCACATGTATTTGCATATAAGTGTTTATTGTAACTTTTTTAAAAAGTAAAAATGGAATAATGCCGTATTTATTCTTTGGAAAGCCTGCTTTTCAGGCAGCATGTCTTTGACATTGTCTCACGTTGGAACCTGGGTACCACCTTCTTCTCCCAGCAGTTATTCTGACGTGTGGATGCACCTTGCTTCATTTAACCAGCCCTGCACCGATACGTCTTTGGATGGTTTCCGCCTTTTCCCAATCACAGACGGTGTTCTGATGAATTTCCTTACACACATCACTTGGTGCTCTGTGCCTGCATTTCTGTGAGATGTTCCTGGAGGTGGGCTGTCTAGGTCAGAGGGGGATCTGTGCTTAATTTGCATCCTGTGCAAAATTCCATCCAGTCATCCGGCTCCCCAAGGGCTCACATGGTACTGTCCTCTGTAGACATCATCTTCTGCAGATGATGGCACGACCGCCTCTCTTTCTTTTACTCACACCAGTCTGCATCCTGGTGTCCTGGGGGTTCCAGCCCCTACGTGCTTGTCTGCCCTCACCCCACAGTCCCCCCAGCCCCTGCTAACAGGTATTCAGGCTTCTGAGCTGTGGCAGACTGCCTCACTCTGGAGAAGTTTGCTTTCTCAAACATTCCTGGCAATGTTACTGCAATTCTCGAGGCCTGCATTTGCCGCCTTCAGGCCTCAGTTTCCTCAAAAGTAAAATGGGAATAATGTGATGCTACTGTCTGCATCCTAGAGCTGCCATGAGGGTTCAGTGAGATCACTGTTGAGAGCACGTTCACAGTGCCGGCCTTGTGCGCAGTCAGCACGTGTGGGGCAGGGCTGTTGCTGATACGTGGTTGACTGTCATTGCTAGACTGTGGCTTTACCAGGGGCATTGTCTTTAGTGCCGAGCCCAGAGCCACCTCTAGTACCTGCTGTGTTTATAGAGTGATTGAGTGTCAGGGTCAGAGACTGGGGCAATGGCAGCAGAAACAGAGGAAAGAAGTGGGGCTTCTAATAGGTCCTGCACCAGTGGCCCTTGAGATGAAGGCTTCTTGCCAAGGTCTGGGGCTGTGCTGTGTGTTCTAGGCCCGAGACTGGAAGCTAGGCCTGGCTGCAGCCCCGGCTTAGCTGGGGAAGTGCATGTCAGCATCCTGCTTCATTAGGACACCTCCAAGTCCAGCTTAGACCTGGATGCCAGGTGACCCTCTGTTTACTCTGAGCCCAGACAGAGGACAGGGAAATGTGCAAGGGTGGGGACCCTCATCACAGCCCTTGACTCTGTAAGGCATATGGGTTTGTGCACATGTGTGAGCACGGCCGTGGCTTTTCTGTGAGTTTCAAGCTCGAGGTTGTGTTTATGCAGGGTTAGGCTTGCCAGGTAACATACAGGAGGTCCAATTAAACCTGAATTTCTCATTAACCTTTTTTTTTTTTTTTGTGCAAATATATCCCATGCAATATTTGGGACCTGCTTACCCTAAAAAATGATTTGTTGTTTATCTGAAATTCAAGTTAAACTGGCATCCTGTCTTTTCACTTGCTACGTATGAGAGTTCCGTGTGGGGGTTATCAGTGTGCATTTGTGAGTTCCCATGTGAAGGACTCTCTCCAAGTGTCTGTAGGTGCCAGGATGGAGATGGACAGAGAAGGTCCTCTTGGGCTGCTTTAGTGGCACCTAGAGGCTCTGGGGTTGGACACTTCAGCCCAGGGGCCTAGGCAGCACTGCCCAGCACCTGTGTGCTCCTGTCTTCTTCATGGGGGCTGACTTCCCTGCCATCTCTCTCCAAATACGGTGGCAAGAGCTATCCCATCCGCCCCCATCTGGAGCTCGGCTGCCCAGCCAGACAAGATGGCAAACAGTGTGCAGATGGCTGCAAAGCTTTCCCCAGCTCTTTCTGCAAGGGGCCTACAGATGAAATGGAAGCCCTCATCCTCACCGCCTCCCCCTTCCAGAAAACCTAGGCAACAGCCACCTCTGAATGCTGCTTTAGAAGCTTCTCCCTGCTGGTGATTAAACCACCACAAACAAATAAAGCACTGCATTTCCACCATAGGCTTGTTCACATGCACGCAGCCAATTGTCTTGTATCAGCCTGTGTGCCTGATTCATCAGGGTGAGGGGTTCTCCTCTGAGGTGCTTGCAAAGAGCTGCTTGCAAAGAGCTGCTTAATTTTCATCTGAAAGGGCTTTGGAAGAAAGCCCTTTCTCCCCCTTTAGCAAATTCTGTGTCATTATTTTTTTTTTCTTTCTTTTTGAGACGGAGTTTCACTTTTGCTGCCCAGGCTGGAGTGCAATAGTGCAATCTCGGTTCACTGCAGTCTCTGCCTCCCGGGTTCAAGCGATTCTCCTGTCTCAGCCTTCTGAGTAGCTGGGACTACAGGCACCCACAACCATACCTGGCTAATTTTTTTGTATTTTTAGTAGAGAGGGAGTTTCACCATGTTGGCCAGGCTGGTCTCGAACTCCTGACCTCAGGTGATCTACCTCGGCCTCCCAAAGTGCTGGGATTACAGATGTGAGCCACCATGCCTGGCCGGAATTCTGTGTCATTCTAGATACTTATCGTGACTTCAAGCATCCAGGACTCTGTCCTGGGTATCCTGAGCCTGAGGCTGTATGTGTGTCCAGCTGGCTTGGAGGTTGTCTACAGGCAGGTTGAACTTGGCCTCTGAGTCCATGGCAGCCTCACATGGGAAATACCACCAAGGAGTTTCATCCTGTGCTTTTAGGAGATAGTTTCTATTTAGTCATTGCTGAATCTGTTACAGACAGTGTCTCAGTTTCTTGCAAGTCCTCTATGAGGTGGGTGCTGTGATTATCCACATGTTCACTTGTTCTTTCTGGCCTCTTTCAGGCTCTTGCACTTCCTTTGCTCTTTTCCTGCCACGGGGCCTTTGCACATCCTGCTTTTTCTGCCTGGAACGATTTTCCCTCTCCCTACCTGTTCACCTGGTCACGGTCTCATCTGACAGTGGAGTCACTACATCCTCAGGGACACCTGGCCGCCACACTGACTCAGTCACAGCAACCCCCTGTTAACTGCTTTCATGACACCAGATGTCATGAGCTCAGCTATGGCTTCCTATTTCTGTGCGTGTCATCCTTCCCCTTCAAGACTGTGGTCACCATGAGGGCCAGGGCCATGCCTGTTCCTGATTCTCATTTGTGTCTCTGGTGTTTAGTATATGCTCACCTAGAATTTGATTAATGAATGATGGCATAGCCATTTTACAGATGAGAAAGTTGAGGCTCAGGGACATTATGTAACTTGCTCGGTATTAGATAGTGATGGTTTGAAGCCATCTGGCTGGTCGCTGGGTGCACACTCTTAACCACTTCACTATGGTTCTTCTGTCATGGTAGTTCTCCAACAGCAGGAGTGAGAGACAACTTTAGGACAGGTGTAACCAGAATCCCAGGGGTTATCCTAGAAGGTGGTGTCAGGAACATGCTTGCCTATGGGCCTTCTTACTGTATTGCATAAAATACCCCGTTTTTCTGACTCGCCTTTAGTAAAGACCTTAGCAATATTTGAAGCACAGTTGTCAGTAGGAAAGGGTGGGTGTTTATACTTTTTTAAAAAGGAGTCTATATCATATTTATCTTGTGGTCTGCCATGCCCCCCGATCTTCCACAGCTTCAGTTATGCAAAATTAACACTTCTTCTCTTGACTGCCTCTCTCTTACCTGTTCAGTTTCTTTTCTGTGTTCGAGATTGCTTAGAATTTTTCCCCATTACTACAGCCTGCTTCCCACCTGTATCTCCCAGCCAACTTGTTCTGGATTTTGTCAACAACAGTTCCAGCGTTTAGTGAGGGCTGGACTGAAGGAAAGCCTTGGAAAAGGCTGTGTGATGAATGGTGAAGACACTTAATGGGCAGACAGTCATCAGGGTTAATTCAAAGGCTGGAAGAAGGGCTGACCTGGAGGACTGGAAATGTCTTTGAGCTGAAGGTCATGTGCAGGTGGAACGAAGAGGGTGAGCCTTTTGGGGTGAACTGCAAGCATTTGATAAGATCCCTGTCCCCATGGTTGGGGAAGTCTTGATAAGCAACCTCAATGTGATGGAGGGATCAAGGAACCCGTGACTCAACCTGTCCAGCATGGCAGCAACATGACACAGCCAAGTTATTGATTATTGGTTGCTCAGCTGTCATCACTCAACATCTTCTGTTAGTTATAGCTGTAATTTGCATTAGTTGTCAGTGCCAGTTTTGACTTTCCTAGTCAATAAAGTGTTCTGAGAGTGGCGACTAAGGCTGAGCACTACCCATAATCATGAGTATTACAGAGGCAAGCCACCTTGCCCACACACCTGCAGGTGATGACACACCCTAGGAAATCACTCAATTCTTTGGAGGACCCTGAATAAATGCTCAAGTCCATTTGTTCATCTGTCCATCCATCCATCCACCATTCCATCCATCCATGCATCCATCCATGCATCCATCCATCCATCCATCCATCCATCCATCCATCCATCCATCCAGACACGCATACATCCATCCACACACCTACCTATCTGTCCACCCACCCACCCATCTATCCATCCAACCCACTCTCTTATGCACGCAGCTATCATCCACCTACCCACCCACCAACCCATCTATCCATCCACTCACCCATGACTCTATCCACCTATTCACTCATCTACCCATCTATCCACCCACCGGTCCATCCATTTATCTATCCCTCCACCCCCTCACCCACTCATCCATTTCTCCACCCACTCAGCCATCCCTTCACCGAGTCAACCATCCATTCATTCATCCATCTGCCCACCCACCCATCTTTCCATCCACCCATCTATCCACCTACCCACCTACGTATCCATCCACTGCTTGTCCTTCTGTTCATTTATTCCACAAAGACTCATTAACCACCTACTAGATTCTGGGGAGGTATCTGTTCTAGTAATTGAGAACATGGTTTCTGGAATCTGATTCCCTGGGCTCAAATTGAGCTGCCTCCTAGCTAGCTGCTTGGGTAAGTTATAGAAACTGTGCTTTGATTTTCTTATCTGAAAATTGGCTATTAATAGCTTCTACTCTTGCAGATATAGTGAGGATTAAATAAGATGACACATTAAAAGTGCATCATCGACACTCAATAGAGATTAGGTTTTGCCATTCATTATTATTCTTGGCAGATGCTGCAGATAACGTGGAGAGCATATGAAAGACACAATGTTTGAACCAGTAGTGACATACAGGTGCTAAGTTCTGCAGTAGGGGAAGGGCAGAGAGCCATGGAGAGGGCGTGGCCCAATCTTGGAGCGTCAGAAAAAAGTTCCCCGTTGAATTGCTGTTTTAGCTGAGACTTGTGGGATGGGTAGTAGTTGGAGATCCCAGACAGGAGGTGACCGAGTTAGCCAGGGAAAAATTGGGTCCTGGCACCCATGGCAGAGTTGAGTGATCCAGTCCTTCTGTCTCCTCTGGCTGGAAGTCCACCAGATCTGGGAATGTCCAGCTGGGGCAGGGGGCTGACAATGATCATGACCTTCACCTGTCCTCACATGTCCTCTGTGTATCTGCAAAGCCTCTGCCTCAGTCTCCTCTTCTGGAAAGTGGGATTGAAAACCACATCTGCTTCTCTCCCAGGACTGCTAGGAAGACAAGATTAGATGGCAGGTGAGAGCTCCTTGAAAATGAAAACATTCTGCTATTTGAATGCAAAGTGTTCTTCTTTGCCTGTGATGTTTCCTAATCTGTGAAATCATACTGGACCTCGAAGGTGTGTATTAAAAAAAATTAGCAAAGTGGCTGGGCATGGTGGCTCATGCCTGTAATCCTAGCACTTTGAGTGGCTGTGGGGGGTGGATCACTTGAGGCCAGGAGTTCGATACCAGCCTGGCCAATATGTGAAACCCCATCTCTATTAAAAATACAAAAATTAGCCAGGTGTTGTGGCGTCTACCTGTAGTCCCAGCTACTCGGAAGGTTGAGGCACAAGAATCATTTGAACTGAGGAGGCAGAGGTTGCAGTGAGCCGAGATGGCACCACTACACTCCAGCCTGGGCGACAGAGCGAGGCTCTGTCTGAAAACAGAAAAAAAAAAAAAAAAAAAAAAAAAAAAAGCAAAGTTAACACTTCCTCCATCTCTCCCCTAGGGGAGGCAATTTGTCAAATATTGTTGTTGGATTTTACACACAGGGAAATCTAAGGAAGGGTGGAAACCAGATCAGGAATCCAGACTCTCATCTCTCTGTTTACAGGGTCTTAAATGGGGGAGCCACTTTGGGTTCTTACCACAAGATTGCTTTGTAAAAAAAACAAGAAACAAACAAACAAACAAAATGCTCAAAAAAACAGCCCTGACCTAAATATTCACAAGGGACCTTAGGCAATATCTGCAAACAAAAGTGAGTGATGAGTGGAATCTGTCGTCTTTACAACTAAGACAGCTCCAGAGTTGAAGCAAGTGGAAACATCTCTAGAGACAGAGATTTGGGCGGGTTTTGCCAGTTAAAAGCTATGAGAACCTGGGCAGGTTTACCTCTCTGAGCTTCTGTGACCTTGTAAAATAGGCTGCATTGCGCTAAATGTGCAGGAGGAATCCCAGCATCCTCCTGTGCACAAGGCTGGTTTCTTCCCATCCTTTTCCTTGTTCTGCCTCTCTCCTCCTCTCCAAGAGACGAATACATTTGGGCCCAGTAGGGACCTATGTTTGCAAAAGCTCGCAGGCGATTCTCATGCAGACAGCCTGGCTCTGGCACTGAGTTCTTGGACACTTCTGGAGGCACATTTACTAGTGAGGAAGATCACTGTGTGCTGAAGGCATGACTCATCTTCCATTCCTTTCTTCCATAAAGCAAGGCGCATGGGTCGACTGAGCTGGGAGAGTCCACGGTGTCAGCCTCCCCCACGCTTCCCTCCCTCCTTATTCCTTGTGTGCTGTACTTTGTCTTGATTTCCTGTACTCTGCACCAAGCCAGGAGATGGTAAGCTCTCAAAAAAATCATTTTTTTGGGAAATGGGATCAAGAGGGTTTTGGTTTGCTTGTTTGTTTGTTTGAGACAGGGTCTGTCGCCCAGGCTGGAGTGCAGTGTCATGACCTTGCTCACTGCAGCCTTGACCTTCTGGGCTCAGGTGATCCTCCCTCCTCAGCCTCCTGAGTAGCTGGGACTGCAGGTGCACACCACCATGCCTGACTAATTTGTCTATTTTTTGTAGAGATGAGGATTCACCATGTTGCCTAGGCTGGTCTCAAACTCCTGGGCTCAAGCAGTCCTCCATCCACCTTGGCCTCCCAAAGTGCTGAGATTACAGGCATGAGCTTCTCTGCCTGGCCAAGGTTTATTATTATTATTATTATGAAAAATTGTCAATATACATAAAAGTAGAGAGACCAGTTGAATGAGCTATCATATACCCATCACATAGGTTTAAAAACTATTAACATTTGCAATATTTACTCTATTTGTTTTTCTGAAGTATTTAAAAAATAGTTCACAGTAGTTATGTAATTGCATCCTGATATTCACCCCTACGTAATTTACTTTCCCTCTAAAAACATGAGGGCATTTTTTATATGATCATTGTCATACCTAATCAAATTACCAATAATTCCTTAATATCCTCTAAGATCAAGTTTACATTCAGATGTCTTGTCCTCAAAATGTCAATTGTGATTATTTTTTTCTTTGAGCAAAGATAATAAGATCTCAAGATTTAATGACAGAGATTCCATGTTAGCCCTGATGTCTAAGCTCTGTGGTCCATTGTGGCTTTACTTGAAAGTCTCAGGCGAGGCGTGGTGGCTCACACCTGTAATCCCAGCACTTTGGGAAGCCAAGATAGGTGGATCATGAGGTCAAGAGATCAAGACCATCCTGACCAACATGGTGAAACCCTGTCTCTATTAAAAATACAAAAATTAGCCAGGCGTGGTGGCGGGTGCCTATAGTCGCAGCTACTCAGGAGGCTGAGACAGAAGAATCGCTTGAACCCGGGAGGCGGAAGTTGCAGTGAGCTGAGATTGCACCACTGCATGCCAGCCTGTATGGCAAGAATGAGACTCTGGAAAAAAAAAAGGTCTCTCACCGTGGTCTCATAATAAAAGGACACTCCATTTCCCATCTGGCCCCTGCTCCTTAATATTAGCCCCCTGCTGTGGGGAGAAGGGGGTGACCTTCATCGCAGGTTCAAGCATTCCCAGGGCTGGCTCTGATCCCGATAAAGCCCATCATGAATGAATGCCTCCCTTGCAGGTTATTCTAAGTATTGTAAATAGTGCACGTGGAGCACCCTCATGATGCCTGGGATGGTAGTGAATATTTATAGGTTTCTTTTAGTGCCTTTTTTTTTTAGTGTTTTCCATAGTTCCATGTTTCTACAACCCTTAGGAACATCAGAATCATGTGTGTGTGGGTGCTTATTAAATACACCAATTCCTGGAGCTCACTCCCAGTGACTCCCAGTCTGATGATTAGGGGCTCAGCTAGGACCTATGTTTGCAAAAGCTCCCAGGTGATCTCATGCAGCCAGCCTGTCTCTGGCTCTGGCTCTGGCTCTGGGAGCTGGGTTGGGAACTAGTCTTTGGTGCTATTCTGCTGAAACTTCAAGTTGGGCTCTTTGACTCCGTCTTGTATTGTCACCCCTTGTATTCAGATCTGTTTTTCCCCTGTATTGTAAATTCCTTGATGTCTGGGTCATCTCAGCTCATGAGCTGAGCTTTCAGTGGGTGCTCAGTGGAACAGGTGCTGAGTGGAGTCAGGCTCTAGGGAGGCCAGCGTGTGCTGGTAAGTGAGAGACAAAAATCATTTTAAAAAGAATCTTTTTGCCCTTCAGTTGTGTTTACCATGAGTTAATGTGACTTACTCTAGTGGAAGCCAGTGCAGCTTAAGTGGAAGTCTTGCCCTGAAATGGAGCAAGGTTATGGATCAGCAAAGCTGCCAAAAGCATTTTGGGGGAATTGTTTCTGTGTCACCCTCAGTTGATTGAACTCAAGTTTTCACTCCCTTTTAACACCACGTGGGGGCCATTCTGACTTCTGCGGAGTGGGTATGATCAGGTCTTCTGTAAAAGTGTCAGTGAGGAGGCTGGGCACGGTGGCTCACATCTGTAATCTTAGCACTTGGAAGGCTGAGGTGGTCAGATCACTTGAGGCCAGGAGTTTGAGACCAGCCTGGCCAACGTGGTGAAACCCTGTCTGTACTAAAAATACAAAAATTAGCCAGGCATGATGGCGCATGCCTGTAATCCCAGCTACTCAGGAGGCTGAGGCAGGAGAATCGCTTGAACCTGGGAGGTGGAGGTTGCAGTGAGCTGAGGTTGCACCACTGCACTGAACTCCAGCCTGGGTGACAGAGCATGACTCTGTCTCAAAAAAAAAAAAAAAAAAAAAAAGTGTATGTGAGGAAACTGGGATAGAGCTTGGGGATATTGGGGGATGGAGATACTTCATCTACTGAACAAAAACCATGGGATACCAATGCTGGAGGAAGAAGCATCATCCTCAGTTTCTACTAGCTCAACCACGCATGAGATGGGGACTTGGTGTCCAAGAGCAGAGCCTCTTTTTAGGTCTTCAGCCTTGATCAAACCATTTCTGAATTCCTCATACACATATAATCAGGTACTATGAGTGCTACTGATTGGATAATCTTTCTGTCGTTTCCTGTGCTAGGAAGGAAAATGCATGTACAGCTAACTTCCTTGAGGGTTCGTTCTTTTGCATCAGGGTGTCTCAAGCTCCTGCTCTTAAAACACCTGCAAGAGAATCATCCAGGCGGCTTGCTCGCTCTGCATGCAGACCCTTTAGAATCAGAATCAGAATCCCTGGGGCTGGAGCCACAAAATGAAATGACATTTCAACAAGTTTGTCATCACGTAAGAGAGAATAGGTGAGTATTTGGATACCTATAATACAAAGTAGATTCAAAAAGAATGATGATTATTTTAAATGTTATGTTTTTAAAAATTTAATACAGAAAAGGCTGGGCACGGTGGCTCACGCCTGTAATCCTAGCTCTTTGGGAGGCCAAGGCGGGTGGATCATTTGAGATCAGGAGTTCAAGACCAGCCTGGCCAACAAGGTGAAACCCCACCTCTACTAAAAATATAAAAATTAGCCAGGCGGTAGTGGTGCGCGCCTGTAATCCCAGCTACAGGGGAGGCTGAGGCAGGAGAATTGCTTAAGCCTGGGAGGCGAAGGTTTGGTGAGCTGAGATCGTACCACTGCACTCCAATGTAGGTGACAATTGTTTAACCACCACCAAAATGGTTTCTGAGTCCAAATATTAATATGAAGGACATTGGTGACATTGTCTCAAAAAATTAATACAGAAAAGTACAAAAAGGGAGAGAAATCACCCCAAATCTCACGACCCCAAGAAATAAACCTCCTAATATTAAGTGAACAACATTCCTTGCTATGCACAAAGATGGCTAGAGACATGAACAGACACTTCTGATAGCACAAAATCAGATTTTAAAAAGAAGTAGCAAATTGAATGCTGTGTAAATTTATCAGAAGAAAAAGAAATGGAAGTGAAACTGAAGGAACTGGTCAACTCAGATAAATGTAGTTTTTCCTCACTAAAAATCAGTTTCTAGAACGTCAAAGAAATCAAAGATGATGAAAACTATTAAGATGTTTTATATATATGTAGAAGTCTTTACAGTTTATTAATCATCTCATGAAAAATTTGTACAGTCACTGCAAATAAAGTCATTGCAAAATCTTTACTCCTTTTGCTTTTTGCCAGCACTGACATTGGCCTTTGCAGTCTCTTGACTTCTTTCTGCCCTTGCATTCCTGTTGCTGTTTTCTTGAGGTCATCTTCTTCTCATGCCAGCTGTGTCTTGCAAGTCTATGTTTGAGTTCATTTTTCTTTGCATAATTCAAAGAACCAGATAGCATGCCAAAGCCCATTGTTTAACCACCACCAACATGGGTTCTGAGTCCAACTATTAATATGAAGATGACACATATTGTGGTCTTGTACATTTTCTTGTCTTTCCGGGGTGAAGGACATTGGTGACCATTTGTTTCCTCTGGAGTGGTCGATTGGTCATGAACTTCCTGGTCCAGATAGTTACTGTGCCATTCATGATGGTGGTTGATCCTCAGGTAGTTAGGGAGGAAAATAAACAAGAAGTTATATATTTAAAACCACGTTTCAATTTTAGACCTGATTAATTAACTTAATAAAGGGCATTAACACTTCTACTTCCTACAGTCCCTCCCTTTACCTCTGGAAACTAGTTATTTCTAGGTTGTTTTATGTTGTTAAGGTTGACCACCTTCTCTTTCTGTTCTGCAATCATAGTCCTATTTTTAAATGGATTCACCTCTCATCATTAGCCTTTTGTCATGGTCATTCAATTCACAAGTTGCTTATTTTTTAATTTCTTGGCTGACTAAATTTTATTATGAAGACTTTTTTTTTTAAAGAGCTCAGAAATACTGTATTCTTTAAGTTCTTGAACTTGTGATAGTGTCTATTGCCTATTTTGATTGGGCAATAATTTAGCTGGCTATAAAATTCTTGGATTATACTCTATTTCCCTTAGAAATTATAGGCACCCATCCACTGACATTTCATTGTGCTTTATTTATTTATTTATTTATTTTTGAGATGGAGTCTTGCTCTGTCACCCAGGCTTGAGTGCAGTGGTGCAATCTCGGCTCACTGCAAGCTCTGCCTCCCGGGTTCACACCATTCTCCTTCCTCAGCCTCCCGAGTAGCTGGGACTACAGGTGCCTGCCTCTGTGCCTGGCTAACTTTTTTGTATTTTTAGTAGAGACGGGATTTCACCGTGTTAGCCAGGATGGTCTCGATCTCCTGACCTCGTGATCCGCTGGCCTTGGCCTCCCAAAGTGCTGGGATTACAGGTGTGAGCCACTGTATGAGCACAGCCTCATTGTGCTTTGTACTAACCCCCTTTCCCTGGTCTCTTCCAGCTTGTCTTCTTCTCTCCCAGTAGTTTCTTCATGAAGAGGCCATGTACTATATTCCATGAGATATTTCAAACTCAAAGAAGACTTCTTTTATACTCTTTTGATAATTTGTCTGGGAATCACTGTCTTGATTTATAAGAGGGTTTATAATAAATACAGTAAAAGAGAAACACAACATATTTTGAGACATCAGAGAAGGGAGAAACCAATTCTATTAATATTTGGGGTTAGCAGGGAAGGCTTAGTTAAGAGGTAACATTTGACCTAAGTCTTGAAATAAGGGAAGGATTTGGACATGCAGTAATGTGGAGAGAGTAGAAGCAAGACATGATGGTTAGTGTTATGTATCAATTTGACTGGGTTGTGGGGTGCCCAGATATTTGGCTACACATTATTCTGGGTGTGTCTCTGAGGTATTCTGGATGAGGATAACATTTAATTGGTAGACTGAATAAAGCAGATTGTCCTCCCCAATGTGGGTAAGCCTCATCCAATCCACTGAAGGCCTGAACAAAACAAAAAGGTAGAGTCACAGAGAATTTGCTCTTTTTACCTGATTATATTTGAGTTGGGACATCAATATTCTCCTGACTTTAGATATGGACTCGAGTTGGAACTCTATCATTGGCTGTCCTGGGTCTCCAGCTTGCTGGCTGCAGACTCCAGGACTCCTTAGCCTCCATAACCATGTGAGCCATCCCTTAAAACAAATCAGTCTGTCTCTGTCTATGTGTATAGCTCTACCTCTATCTCTCTGTTCTTTCTCTGGAGAACCTAGAATAATACACAAGGTTATATTAGAGAAGAAGATGACCCAAGGAAAAGCATGGAGTCAGAAAAGTGCAAAGAGGGTTTGGGAAGACTGTGGTCCTGATGGGGAGTTTGGATTTCTCTGTGTGTAGCATGGAGAATCCTTGAAAATAGTCAAGAGGTGAAAATTGTATCTGTGGAAGAACACCAGGAGTATGTGAAAAGAAAAACATTTACTCCGTTTTAACTCCACTGAAGGGGGCATCAAAAGGATACACTGGGGACATGGGTTGGAGGGTAGTTGAGGCCATATCTGGAGGATCTTTACTTCTAGGCTGAGTCTGAATTTATCTTTCTGGGGAGTGGGAGATTAAAAATCTTTGAGCTCCACTCAAGAGATGGTTTTGCTAACAATGGCAGGGCGACGGTGGTGGTGGTGGTGGGAAACTGGTAGCATGAATTCTAATTGGGCTTCTGTTATTCCAGCCGAGAAAGTTGGGGAATGGACTTTCAGTAGAATAATACAGACCTGGGAATCAACTGCATGGAGGAGGTAGTTATAAGTGATGAGATGGCTCAGGGACAAAGTTGTGTAGAAGGAGAAAAGATACTAGTCTGGTACAAAAATAATTGCTGTTTTTGCCATTACTTTTAATGGCAAAATCCACAATTACTTTTGCACCAACCTAATTAGGATGCAGACTTCAGAGCCATCTGCATCAGAGGGATTGATGAAGATCAGCAAAGTTTGGGAACACAGGAAAGGAGAGGGGAGGGTAATGACTTGAGGGCATAGCAGGGATAATCAAGGTTTTTCCTGTTAGCATGTGGAGACTTAAGCATGATTATATGTTAATCGCCTGGCACATACATGGTGCAAAATATTTATGAGTGAAATGACAAGTGAAGGTGGTGAGTCATGGGAGTTCCAAGGGAATGGGTGATAAAGGGAGGTCTCAAATGAGGCACAAGTGGAGAAGGTAGCTTGGGAAAGGAGAATGATGCTTCTCCTTATAAGATGGGAAAGGCAGAGGAAGAGGGTCAAGATACAGTGATCTAGGGGTGAGATGGAAGTGAGTTGAGAGAACTCAACTCTGGGCTCTGAAACCCCTAGGGATGGGTTTGGGGGGCTTTGAGATATGGAAGAGGTTTAAAGTTAATTATTATAGCAAATATGGTTTGGAATTTATTTGTCATGCTTAAAAATATTGCTGAACAGAAGTGAAGTCTACCCTAGAGTTGGATGGTGAGATTATTTAGTGGAACTACCAGATCCATGTTGTGATTCTTCCCAGTATCATTCAGCAGCCCTTGGGCAGTTGCGAGGCAAGTCATCAATGGGGTATGGAGATTTTCCAGGTGGGTGTGGTTGAAGGCAGGGAAGAACGCGTTTAGGAGCACATTACAAGAAGGTGACTGTAAGGTCCAGGCTGAGCAGGAAGGTAAAGCAAGAAGGAAACATGAGGTTGTGAAGAGAAGTTTAGAGGGATGAGGAGGCAGGAGAGGTGAACAGTTGCAGGATGTAGCTAGAGTGGCGATGTTAGATCTAGGGGCCAGACAGCTTTACAATGATGATGAAGATCAAAGGGCATTAGAATCAAGCTACAAAGAGCCACTGTTTGATGTTGGGATGTGAGGATGCTGCAGGTGGATGTCTGCACATTGATGGTGAGAACATGGTCACCCTGGCCCTGCTGGGTCTTTGCTAAAAAGACTGTGCTCTGTTCTTGGGGCCGTTTTCATCACCTGATTAGAGCAGTGGTCCCCAAATGGTGTTCTTTGGACCATCTGTATAAAATGTTCATAGGTCAAGGATAAAATGGAAAAACAGAGACTATGTCACAGAAATGTACCCACTGGTGAAAGACCACCAGCTGTCCTTTTTGGAGGATTGTTCTTTATTCTAAAAATGTATATATTCTGTTCTATTAAAACATTTTTGTATTTGCATTTTTTTCTCTTTTATGAAATGCCATGGGGTAGAACTTTGTAATGTATCCAATTCTCCTGTCTTCATGCATTGCCCTGTGGTGGGGGAGGGGATGTGGCTAGTACTGGCCAAGAGGCTGGGGGCAGAAGTGCAGTGTTAGACTTCTAGCCTGGAGTATTTAATTCCTAGTACAAGACTGTCTAGCATTCTTCTCCCTCTGTTCCCTGCTTGGTGATACTTGAGGTATTGCAGCCCCCATTAGCCTTAGTCTTAGGGCAAGTTTGATGGGAAACAGAGCACCCCACACCTCCCTGCAGATGAAGCATGAGTGAGAAAAACAACTTCTGATGTTTGAAGTTACCAAGATTTAGGAGTTGTTTGTTATTGCAGCAAAACCTCACCTATTCTGACCAATCATGGTGGAATTTCTGTGTGTATGTGTGTGTGTGTGTGTGTGTTTGTGTGTGTGTGTGTAAAACTGGTAGTTTAAAAAAGTTCCTTCTTACCAAAAAGAAAAAAAAGTAGCAACCTTATGTTGGTTCTCAAATTAATAAAATATTTTTACTGGTTTATAAAATAGAAAAATCTGAGAATCTGTAGCTTAGAGAACTACAGTGTGGGATGCCTATAAAGACCAGGTTATTTTATCAGCTCCTAACACCCCTTAATAGAAGCTTAGCCAAGACTTGGACTATTTCAGTCTTTCCCATTCCACATTCCATGGACTCTTGAAGAGACATTGATGAAACGGTGCAGCCATGAACCACCCTCACTCAATCCTAGTGGCAGAATCCCCCTTTTACTGCAGAATGAGCTTCTTGCTACAGTGATACTTGAACCCCTTAGATATATCCTGTACTAATTATATTAAAACACGACCAATGCTTTTGCTTTGTTGTCCCCCAAATTAAACACCTTAATCATGAGAACCCAGAGAATTGGATTTAGTGTGACCGATTCCAAACTGTCAGTAAGAACACAATTAGGTTATATTTTTCTCCAGTTCAAATAAAAGAAAATTGACAATAAAATGCTGATCAATATGTGTAGCTCAGGAGGTAGAGCCTGCTTTGAGATGCAGAAGTGTTTGTTTTTTTTAGATCCATATTCTTCAGTAAAGAAAAAATCCATCTCTCTTTCCTAGAGGGGAAGACTTTCAGAGCTGGGCTTGGCAACAGCCTATCAGAGGCTGAATTAAACAAATAGGTACCTCCCTGGAGTGAATGGTGCATTTCTCCTATTCGGGGAACCGTGCTTTTATGTTGGAGTTTGCTTTCTGTCTTGGTCTCCGGATGTGTGTATCTGTGGATTGATGTCTGCATGTAAATGGCAATGTATACCTGTGTGGGTGTGTAGAAAATTCCCATGTGAATCTCAGGTTTGTGGGGATCTCCAGGTCTTGAGCCCAGAAGATGCCAGTTGAAGAAAAGTCACTTGAAAATGAGACAGAAAGAACGGAAACTAAATCCTAGCTCTAAAGGCACCAGGCTGATTAAAAACAAAACTCTGGATCTTCTTTGTTTTGGACTCTACCTACCTCCAAATGACATTTCTGTTTCCTATGAAATGATTAGAATGACAGAGATCCTGAGCACGAAAGAGCAGATACTGTGTGATTCTGTGTATGTCAGGGTGTCAGCTGTGAGGCTGCTGACATTTCGGCTCAGCAATTTCTCTGTTGTATGTGTGGGGGTTCCCTGTGCATTTTAGGATGTTGAGCGGCATGCCTGGATCCCTGGAGTCACTGGATGCAGTAACACAACTTCCTCCAAGTACAGACAACCCCCAGTGTCTCCAGATATTGCCTAATGTCCCCAGGGAGCAAAATAGCCCCATCTGAGAACTGCTGCTTTCATAAAGTACAATGTCTGGTGAAATAGGTAGAGGCTGTTTGTAGTCAGGCGTTAGTAGAGATGGAAGAGACCCCAGGAACATCCTGGAAGGGGCTGTAATGTTCTGTTTCTTGAATTGGGTGTCGGTAATATGGAGACGTTCAATTTTTTTTTTTTTTTTTTTGGCAGGATCTTGCTCTGTCACCCAGGCTGGAGCACAGTGGCACCGTCTTGGCTCACTGTAGCCTTTGCCTCCTGGGCTCAAGCAGTCTTCCCACCTCAGCCTTCCTGAGTAGCTGGAACTACAGGCAGGTGCCATCACTGTTGCCTAATTTTTGTATTTATTTATTTTTTGTAGAGAGGGGGGTCTCACTATGTTGCCCAGGCTGGTCTCGAGCTCCTGGGCCCAAGCAGTCTGCTCACCTCGGCCTCCCAAAGTGCTGGGATGATAGGCATGAGCCACTGCGCCTGGCCAGTATGTTCAGTTTGTAAGAAAAGTACTGTGTTGACCTCTTCTATGTGCACATTTCTTTAAGTAATAATTCAATAAAGCATTTAGAAAAATTGGTCATAATAGGAGTGATTTGTAGAGTGATTGGCATGAAAGCTGATCACCTTAATTTGAACTACTCTGAAATGAGCACCAGGGGCCACCAAGTGGAACTTTTCAAGGTGTCATAGCCAAGGATAGGAGTGTGTTGTGTACATCTCTGCATAAAGGATTTGCTGGTTACATGGAAGGATGAAGCCTCCTTCTGAGGACAGAGGCAGCAAGGCAAGTGGAAGCCGAAAACATTGAGCTTTGTAAATGGACTTTGCTAAAATCTTGTGGATGACTCATGCTCTTAACATACACCCATGTACATATTGTCCATATAAACATTAATTCTGTAACAAGCCCCACACATAAGGGTATTTTTTTCTTTCGAGACAGTCTTGCTTTATTGCCCAGGCTAGAGTACAGTGGCATAATCGTGACTCACTGCAACCTCCACCTCCTGGGTTCAAGCAATGCTTGTGCCTCAGCCCCCCGAGTAGCTGGGACTACAGTTGCACACCACCATGCCTGTCTAATTTTTGTATTTTTAGTAGAGACAGGGTTTCAACATGTTGGCCAGGCTGGTCTCAAACTCCTGGCCTCAAGTGATCTGCCCACCTCAGCCTCCTAAAGTGTTGGGATTACAGTTGTGAGCCACTGTGTCTGGGGCCACACTTAAAGTTTGAGTTTAGATAGAGAAACTCTGGCAGGACTGAGGAATTTGGCCACAGTCTCTGGGAAATATGCACAATTTCTGAAATCTTCTCTACTTGCAGAGTTCCCACTTTCTATCTGTCTCCTATTTATTCAACAAATTTGTATGGAACCACAGTGTGTCTAGAACTTGCCAGGCGTGGAGGATAAAAGATGACTGAGGTCGGGCATGGTGGCTCATGCCTGTAATCCCAGCACTTTGGGAGGCCAAGGCAGGCAGATCACTTGAGGTCAGGAGTTTGAGCACAGCCTGGCCAACATGATGAAACGTCTGTAATAAAAATACAAAAATTAGCCAGGCATGGTGGCACGCACATGTAGCCCCAGCTACTTGGGAAGCTGAGGCAGGATAATCACTTGAACCCAGGAGGCAGATGTTGCAGTGAGCTGAGATCACCCCGCTGCATTCCAGCCTGGGAGACAGAACGAGATTCCATGTCAAAAAAAAAAGATGACTGAGATACAGACTCCATCAGAGTTGACTCTGACACAAATTTGGTAAGAGCCCAAGGTCTGGCTGGGCAAGGACCTTCATCGGCTTCATCCTGCAGCCTCTACTAGAATGAAGAGCACTTTTTCCTTTACTCATGAAAATGTTTTGTGCTTCGTACCTACAAGTACAATTTGTGTTAATTCTGCAAAATATGCCACATAACTCTGCCTGTATTCTTAGCATTTTTCCTTTGAGAGATTTCTCAGCACATCATCTTTGGACTATGTGGAATTGGAAATTTACTTAGAGTCAACAACAAGTACAGGAAAGTCAGTTCTTAGTCAAGAGTTAGGTTTTCAAAGACAGTGGATAAAATAAACAATCTAGTACAGTCAAGATTATACGTGCAAATCCCCTCATCATTCATAAAGTTTAGCCGTCAGTCTTACCGTGGCTCACCAGGTCCAATCCATACTTCTTCCTCCACGATTGGAGCAGAGGGTGATTTTTTTTTTTTATGAGCAACTGCTGAAGTCATTTAGAGACCATTTGCAGTAGGAGCCCTGTGTACTAGAGACCAATCAATGTGCCCTCATGGCACCATTTCTGCCTCTCTCCCTCTTTGTTCTTGCCAAGTACCCATAGTTCATTTTCCATAGATTAAAAGAGCCCAAGTTGGGCCTATACCTAGGAGTACAATTACTGGGTCATTTGGTAACTCTATGTAGAATTGTTTGGGAAGTTGTTAAACTGTTTCTCACAGTGGCTACACCATTTTAATTCCTACCAGCAGTGTATGAAAGTTCTAGTTTCTCTGCATCCTCACCAACACTTGTTATTTTCTGTATTTCTTTTTTTTTGAGACTAAGTCTTTCTCTGTCACCCAGGCTCGAGTGCAGTGGCACAATCTCAACTCACTGCAACCTCTGCCTCCCAGATTCAAGTTACTCTCCTGCCTCAGCCTCCCGAGTAGCTGGTATTATAGTCACCTGCCACCATGCTTGGCTAATTTTTGTATTTTTTTAGTAGAGACAGGGTTTCACCATGTTGGCCAGGCTGGTTTCAAACTCATGGCCTCAGGTGATCCACCTGCCTCGGTCTCCCAAAGTGCTGGGATTGCAGGCATGAGCCACCACTCCACGCCAATTTTCTCTATCTTCAATTCTAGCCATCCTTATGGGTATGGAGTGGTATCACATTGTGGTTTTGATATCTGTTTCCCTGATGATGAATTTCATTGAGCATCTTTTCATGTGCTTATTGGCCACTTGTATGTCTTCTTTGGAGATGTGCCATATTTTCATATTCAAAAAGGAAAGCACAGGTCCACACAAAATTTTGTACATGAATAATTACAGTAGCATCACTCCTAATAACCCACAGAGGGAATTAATCCAAATGCCCATCACCAGATGAAGAGATACACCGATTGTTGTCTACCCACATGGTGGAATATTATTTGATCACAAAAAGGAGGAAAGTACATACGCTACAGCGTGGATGAACCTTCAAAACAGATGAAAGATCACATTCTACATGATTTCATTCAGATGGAAATCTATAGAAATAGGAAGTCGATTAGTGGTTGCTTAGGGCTGGTAGGGGCATGGGAGGATAGGGGGTGATAGCTAAAGGGTATGAGGTTTCTTTTTGAGGTCATGAAATGTTCTAAAATTGACTGGTAATGTTTGCGTGTATCTCTGAATATATTAACCATTGAAATGTAAAAAAAATGCAAAGAAAAAACAGCCCAAGATGCAATTTTATTCAACACTTGATTGGCTTTAGAAATAGATTCCAGGCTGGGCATGGTGGCTCACACCTGAAATCCCAGTGCTTTGGGAGGCTGCGGTGGGAGGATTACTTGAGGCCAGGAGTTCCAGGCCAACCTTGGCAACATGGCAAGACCCTGTCTGTACAAAAAAGAAAAAATAAATATCAGCTGGGTGCAGTGGCTCACACCTGTAATCCCAGCACCTTGGGAGGCTGAGGCAGGCAGATCACCTGACATCAGTTCAAGACCAGCTTGGCCAACATGGTGAAACCCCTTCTCTACCAAAAATATAAAATTTAGCCTTTTGGTACTCTGAGCAGCACCATGGCGGTTGTTAAGAACAAGTGCCTTATGAAAGGTGGCAAAAAGGGAGTGAAGAAGAAAGTAGTTGGTCCATTCTCTATGAAAGATCAGTATGATGTGAAAGCACCTGCTATGTTCAATATAAGAAATATTGGAAAGACTTGGTCACCAGGACTCAAGGAACCCAAATTGCATCTGATGGTCTCAAGGGTCTTGTGTTTGAAATGAGTCTTGCTGATTTGCAGAATGATGAAGTTGCATTTAGAAAATTCAAGCTGATTACTGAAGATGTTCAGGACAAAAGCTGCCTGACTAACTTCTATGGCATGGGTCTTACCTGTGACAAAATATGTTCCATGGTTGAAAAATGTTCAACAATGATTGAAGCTCATGTTGATGTCAAGACTACCGATGGTTACTTCTTTCTTTTGTTTTGTGTTGGTTTTACTAAAAAACACGACAATCTGATACTGAAGACCTCTTATGCTTAGCACCAACAGTCTGCCAAATCCAGAAGAAGATGATGGAAATCATGACCTGAGAGGTGCAGACAAATGACTTGAAAGAAGTGGTTAATAAACTGATTCCAGACAACATTGGAAAAGATGTAGAAAAGGCTTGCCAATTTATCCTCTCCATGATATCTTCATTAGAAAAGTAAAAATGCTGGAGAACCCTGGGTTTGATAGGCATGGAGCTTCGTGGTGAAGGTAGTAGTTCTGGAAAACCCACTAGGGACGAGACACATGCTAAAGTTGAATGAGCTGATGGATAGGAACCACCAGTCCAAGAATCTGTTTTAAGTTCAGACTTAAAACAGTGGCAAATAAGAAGTCCTATTTGTGAAAAACAAACAAGAAACAACAATGAAAAAAGCAAAATTAGCCTGGTGTGGTGGTGCATGCCTGTAATCCTAGCTACTCAGGAGGCTGAGGCACGAGAATCACTTGAACCCAGGAGACAGAGGTTGCAGTGAGCCAAGATTGCACCATTGCACTCCAGCCTGGGCAACAGAGTGAAACTCTCTCCAAAAAGAAACAGGAAAAAAAAAAGTATCGGGGCTTGGTGGCATGCGCCTGTATTCTCAGCTACTCTGAAGGCTGAGATGGGAGGATAGCTTGAGGCCAGGAGTAATTTGAGGCTGCAGTGAACTATGATTGTGATACTGCACTCCAGCCTGGACTGGAGAGCAAGACCCTGTCTCACATACATACATACATACATGCATACATGCATACATACATACACACATGCGCACATACATACATATCCAGGCTATACCTCTGGTGATTCTGACTCAGTAGGGTGGGGTATCCCCTAGGGATCCTGCTGTTCAGCCTGGTCTGGGATCCACTTTTCATTGGGAACTGAGACACTGGCTGTGAGCCTTTCTGTCCTGTGATGTAGAGGTCATGGCGACGCAGGTTCAAGCTTAAGGAGACCTGACTGTGCGTTAGGTATTGTGCTGAACATCATCTCTTACTCTCACAGCAACATCCTTAGAAGGTTAATGATGTGTCCCCGCTCTACAGATGAGAAACTGAGCTTTGAGAGGAGTTTAGCTTGTTCAAAACTTATTCTTCCTATTGGAAAATTTGTACCCTTTGAGCAGTGTCTCCTATCCGCTACCTTTCCTCCACCCCAGCCCCTGATAAACACTGTCTTACTCTCTATTTCTGTGAGTTCAACTTCTTTAGATTCCACATATAAGTAAAATCATGCAGTATTTGTCTTTCTGTGCCTGGCTTATTTCACTTAACACAATGTCTTTCAAGTTCATCTATGTTGTTGAAAATGACAGGCTTGCTTTCTTTTTTAAGGGTTAATAGTATTCCGTTGTGTGTATATAGTACATTTGCTTTATCCTTTCATCCACTGACGGACACGTAGGTTGATTCTATATCTTGGGTATTGTCAATAGTGCTGCAGTGAACATAGGAATGTAGGGATCCCTTCGACATATTGATTTCGATTTTTTTTTGTCTATACCCAGAAGTTGGGTTGCTGGATTATATGCTTTGAAATCTATAACACAGCAGCGTGACTATAGTCAATAATAACGTATCTTTCAAAATAACTAAAAGGCTACATTTCAAGTGTCTCATCATAAAAATTGTCAATAAATTAGGGGATGGACATGTTAATTAGTTTGATCTAATCATCCCACATTGTATACACATATCAAAACATCACATAAATGTGTACAATTATGATTTGTCAATTAAAATAAAGTTAGTTAAAAAAATAAGTAACTTGTTCAAAGCCCCAGTTGGGATTGATGGAGCCGGGACATGCACCAAGGCTTATGCTCTCAGGCTCACAGAGTCCTTGGTCCACAAATGTTGAAGCCCTACCTGAGATTTCTACTGAGATCAGTGTAGGGATTCGATGTCTCAGAATCATCCCATCCTCCAGGGCCCACAAGTCCATGACCGTTGGCTCTACCCCCGACCCTGCTGACCTGAAATGTGGCACCTGCTTTCATTTCCAGGAGCATACAACACTTACACCAAGCATTGATGGGTTTTATTGACTTCATTTGAGATTGGGGCCGTGGAGAGGGTCCCATGATCCTTGCTTGGTGTTGGCCAACTCATTGACTTCGCTCTTTGACTTCACCCTTCCCTTTTCTACTCACCTCCTCTGTCATGGATTGCTCTGGGAATTCTGAGCCCTAGTTCCTTTATTTTGCAGATAACCTTCACTCTTCTCTGCAACGAATCCCAAAAGTATGTAGTTGAGCTGACTGCAAGGTGCTTGACATGCAAGAGGCTCCACAAATGGGATTCGGCCTCTGGAAAGTGGTGGTAGTTCCAGATTTATGTGTATGTTACTTTGTTTTTCCCTATAAAATATATTCTTTAAACTATCAAGCTCTTGGCTCCTGGATGCAGTCCTTTGCTGGTGGCAGTTGGCTGGGTACTGTCACTGGGGAGAAATGCTGCCCACTTAGAGAAAGAGTAACTGGTTCTCTTTAAGAGGTAGAGGAAGGTTTCCAGTGCCAGTTTGTTTGGAGGCAAAATGGCTGTTGTATTAAAATTGCCCAAACTTGGGCTGGTGCCTTGTGTGTTTAGAGCTCAAAGCCATGATTGTTTTCATTTTTTTTTTGGTGGTCGGTTTTACATCCTTTTGCTTGGTAGGTTTCTGCTAATAGCTTCAACCTCAAGAGTGCCATTATACAGACACTAATAGCACCTACTATGTGTCAGGCATTGGAGATAATATAATGATGAACAAGATAAACATGGCACTTGGAAAAGAGAGTCTAGTTCCCACTCTCAGCCCACCCCAAAGAGAGGCCAGAATTGGGCTTCCAAAGATCTCAGATGCCCTTGCAGCACCTCCCTGTAGAGGGCGGGTGAAGCCTTGGTGTCTGAAGAGAATTTGGCTGGACAATCCCCGAGGTTTGGAACGATGGGAAAGAGCTGCCATCTGTGTTTAAGGTGAGAAGGGGGGAGTGGCTGGATATCAGAGGAAGCCAAGATTAAGAGAAGGTTTTTGTGAGTTCCTATGCATAGTGGAGACCTGTTCTAGTGAGGGTCCCTGGGGCTGAGCCTGTGGTTCAGTGGAATGATGCTGTGAGGAGGGTCTTTTTATAGCAGATGGCCCAAAAAAGGCTGATGGATCATGAGCAGCTGGAAGAATGGAGAGTTCGGGGGATGTAGTTCCTACCTGGCTTTCCAACAGTGTGTAAGCCCAGAATTCTTACATAAGCCCATGGAGAAGGGAAAGCAATGATGGTAATGACAAGATTGAATTCTCCACCTGCCAGGCATCCAGGGACTCAGAGCAGATTTAACTGAAGTTACAGAAATAGGAATGTGACATTTCCTACATCCGGATGTGCTGGAGCAAAATGTATTCCCTCTCTGGTTTGTGAGGAAGGAGAATGCTAACAGACAAGACTCCAGGTTTTCGCTCTTAAACCTGGTGCCTAGAAATGCATTTTCTACTGGATGCAGACAGAAGCTCCATATAGACATATCCATCGCTGCATCTCTCATGCCTTGTGTTCTCCCTAATTTTCCCTTTTTAACCCACAGAGGAAGAAAGTTCAAGCACCACTTCTGGCCTCTCAAGAGTGAGTTTGGTGGCCAGGTGGGGTTATTCATGCCTGTAATCTTATAATGAAGGGGTGGCCTGCCCCTCCACACCTGTGGGTATTTCTAGTCAGGTGGGATGAGAGACAAAAAAGAAATAAGACACAAAGTATAGAGAAACAACAGTGAGCCCAGGGGACCGGCGCTCAACATACCAAGGACCTGCACTGGCACCGTTCTCTGAGTTCCCTCAGTTTTTATTGATTATTATGTTCATTATTTCAGCAAAAATGAATGTAGTAGGAGGGCAGGGTGATAATAAGGAGAAGGTCAGCAACAAACATGTGACTAATAGAATCTATGTCATAATGAAGTTGAAGGGAAGGTACTATGACTGGACGTGCACGTAAGCCAGATTTATGTTTCTCTGCACCCAGACATCTCAGTGGAGTAAAGAATAACAAGGCAGCATTGCTGCAAACATGTCTCACTTCTCACCATAGGGCGGTATTTCTCCCATCTCAGAACTGAACAAATGTACAATCGTGTTTTATACCGAGACATTCAGTTCCCAGGGGCAGGCAGGAGACAGTGGCCTTCCTCTATCTCAACTGCAAGAGGCTTTCCACTTTGACTAGTCCACCTCAGCACAGACCCTTTATGGGTGTCGGGCTAGGGGACCATCAGGTCTTTCTCATCCCACGAGGCCACTTTTCAGACTATCACATGGGGAGAAATCTTGGACAATACCCAGCTTTCAAGGGCAGGGCTCCCTGCGGCTTTCCACAGTGCATTGTGCCCCTGGTTTATTCAGACTAGAGAATGGCGATGACTTTTACCAAGTATATTGCTTTCAAACATTTTGTTAACAAGGCACGTCCTGCACAGCCCTACATGCCTTAAACCTTGATTTCATACAACACATGTTTTTTGAGCTCCAGGTTTGGTCAAAGTGGTTGGGGCAAAGTGGCTGGGGCAAAGCTACAGATTAACAACATCTCAGCAAAGCAATTGTTTAAAGTACAGGTTTTTTTCAAAATGGAGTCTCTTATGTCTTCCCTTTCTATGTAGACACAGTAAGAGTCTGATCTCTCTTTCTTTTCCCTACATATCCCCCTTTTCGTTTTGACAAAACCACCACCATCATCATGGCCCCTTCTCGCTGGTCGCTGTCTCTCTGGAGCTGCTGGATACACCTGTAGACTAATAATAGAAAAGACAGACAGACAAGGATTAATACAAAATTTACAATAATGGAATTTCCGGTGGTTTTAACCCAAGTGACGGGGGCAAGAGGACGGTGTGGGTACTTCGGTACCCGGGCAGTCTCCCACCTCCTTTGTGTCTTAGTTGCTGTTTCTCATAGTTTTCAGTCTTTCTCCTCACCTGCTCACTCGCACCTTTTATCTCTTTGTCTCCCTTCTCTTATGGTCTCTCTCTCTCTCTTTTACACTATCTCTCTCCCCAGTCTCACTTTTTGTGTCTGTCTCTGATCTCTGTCTCTTTTTCTTTCTATTCCTCGTCCTGGCTCTCCACATGTGCCATTTTCTTGGTGGATGGTAACTTCATCTCTTCTTCTGATATCACCATTTTGTTCACCCTGCGAGTCGATGATGCTCGATTGCGTGTTTTCTGTCTCTGCGGAGGCACTTTCATTTGCATCTCTGATAGGTTCATTGTAGAACTTCAAATGTCTAGTGGGTATCCAAACAGGAAGCTGATTTTCTTCTGGTGAAACACGAACAAAACCTCTCCCCCATGTTATCACTTTACCTATTTCCCATGTTTTGTTTTGTTGTCTTTCCACCAAATCAATTTTCACTCATGTGGGCTGTTCTTTTCACCAGTAAAATGTTCTGCAGAAGTAGTGGTCTCATTTCTATGTATGTTTAGAAAATTTAAAGTATAGAGTGTTAGATTAAGTTGCATCTGGGAAGTGTTATACTCCTTACTGTCTGTTTCCTTTTTTTGTTTAACCAATTGAGCTTTGAGTGTTCTAAGCAGGACAGGTAAGATCTGCGTCTGGCACAGCCAGCCAGGTCTCCTTACCCTCGGCCTCCCTTTCTGCCTGTGACTGAATGGGTATGTCATGGTCTAGTAGGGGATCCAGGAGGAGGAAGCCTCATTAACTTCTATTCTGCAGCAATTGATGGCCACCCAACTTGAACAGTGGGGGCTTATCACCTCATGTATTAAGACCGGAGATAGCTGATGCCAAGGTTGGCTAAATTAGTAGCATGAGATGTTAGGTTTTTCATTTGAGGTTTCTATGGTGCTATTGCCTTCTGCTCTTGGTCACAGAGGCTGCCACAATCCGCATGTCAAGTCCTCATGTGACAATATCCAGACACAGCAAGGAAGAGGTACAGTGTATTCCTGCATGTTTCTTAAAAAAATATTTTTGATAGAGAATAATTGTACAGATTTTTGGGTTCCATGTGAGGTTCCGGTACATGCATGCAATGTGTAATGATCAAATCAGGGTCTTTAGGATATTAATCACCTCAAACATTGATCATTTCTTTGTGTTGGGAATATTTCAAATCTTATTGCTATTTAGAAATATACAATAAATCCATTTATCAGGATACAAAATCTATGTACACACATCAGTAGCAGTGCTATACACCAACATCTACCAGGCTGAGAATCAAATCAAACCCTTTTATAATAGCTGTAAAAATAAAATACTTAGGAATATACCTAACCAAGGAGGTGAAAGACTCCTACAAGGAAAACTACAAAACACTGTTGAAAGAAATCATAGATGACAAAACAAATGGAAACACATTCCATGCTCATGGATGGGTAGACTCAATATTGTGAAAATGACCATACTGCCAAAAGCAGTCTACAGATTCAATGTAATTCCTATCAATATACCATCATCTTTCTTTATAGAACTGGAAAAAAAAAATGCCAAAATTCCGTTGGAACTAAAAAAGAGTCTGCACAGCCAAAGCAAAACTAAGCAAAAAGAACCAATCTAGAGGCATCACATTACCCAACTTCAAACTATATTACAAGACTATAGTCACCAAAACAGCATGGTGCTAGTATAAAAATAGGCACATGACCAATGGGACAGAGTAGAGAAGCTAGAAATAAAGCCAAATAGTTAACAGCCAGCTGATCTTCGACAAAGTAAACAAAAACAAAGTAGGGAAAGTACACCCTATACAACAAATAGTGCTGGGATAATTGGCAAGCCACATGTAAAAGAATAAAACTGAATCCTCATCTCTCACCTTATACAGAAATCAACATAAGATGGATCAAAGACTTAAATCTAAGGTCTGAAACCATAAACATTCTAGAAGATAACATTGGAAAACGCTTCTACACATTGGCTTAGGCAAACAGTTCATGACCAAGAACCCAAAAGTAAATGCAACAGAAACAAAGATAAATAGATGGGACTCAATTAAACTAAAAGCCTCCTGCACAGCATAGGAAATAATCAGCAGAGTGAACAGATCACCCACAGAGTGGGAGAAAATTTTCGCAAACTGCATCTGACAAAGGACTAATGTCCAGAATCTACAGGGAACTCTAATCAGCAAGAAAAAATAATCCCATCAAAAAGTGTGCCAAGGACATGAATAGACAATTCTCAAAAGAAGATATACAAATGGCCAACAAACATATGAAAAAATGCTCAACATCACTAATTACCAGGGAAATGCAAATCAAAATCACAATGCAATACTACATGTAAAATAAACAAAAATAGGGCCGGGTGCGGTGGCTCACGCCTGTAGTCCCAACACTTTGGGAGGCCGAGGTGGGCTGATCAGGAGGTCAGGAGTTTGAGACCAGCCTGACCAACATGGTGAAACCCAGTCTCTACTGAAAATACAAAAATTAGCCGGGCATGGTGGCAGTTGCCTGTAATCCCAGCTACTCAGGAGGCTGAGGCAGGAGAATTGCTTGAACCCGGGAGGCAGAGGTTGCAGTGAACTGATATGGCACCATTGTACTCCAGCCTGGGAGACAGAGCAAGACTCCGTCTCAAAAAAAAAAAAAAAAAAAAAAAAAAACAAAAAAAGCAAAAATTGGTGTTGACACGGACATGGTGAAAGAAAACGCTTTTACACTGATAGTGGGAATGTAAGCTAGTACCGCCACTATGGAAAGCAGTATGGAGATTCCTTAAAGAACTATAAGTAGATCTACCATTTGATCCAGCAATCCCACTGCTAGGTATCTACCCAGAGGAAAAGAAGTCATTATATGAAAAAGATACTTTTGCACACATGTTTACAGCAGCAAAATTCACAGTTGCAAAACTATAGAACCAGCCCAAATGCCCATCAATCAATTAGTGGATAAAGAAAATGTATATATATATATGTATACACACACACACACACACATATATATACCATATACACAAATATACACATACACAAATATACACATATATATACCATAGAATACTACTTAGCCTTAAAAAGGAATGAAATAATGGCATTCATAGCAACCTGGATGGAGTTGGAGACCATTATTCTAAATAATGTAACTCAGGAATGGAAAACCAAACATTGCATGTTCTCACTCTTAAGTGGGAGGTAAGCTATGATGATGCGAAGGCACAAGAATGAAACAGTGGACTTTGGGGGCTCAGGGGGAAGGTGGGAGGGGTTGAGAGATAAAAGACTATGCATTGGGTAAACTGCTTTGCTGATGGGTATGCCAAAATTTCAGAGATCACCACTAAGGAATTTATCCATGTAACAAAATACCACCTGTTCCCTAAAAACTATTGAAATTAAAAATATATATACACAACAAATTGTTGTAGTCACTTTCTGTGATAATGAACACTAGATCTTATTCCTTCTATTATATATTTTTATACCCATTAATCAACTTCTTTTCAAACCCCTCCTAATCCCAGCCTCTGGTAACTATCATTCTATTCTTTATCTCCATGATATCAATTTTATATAGCTCCAGGGCACACAAGTCCATAATTGCAGTCTCTATCCCTGATCCTACTGACCTGAAACATGGCCCCCACTTTGATTTCCAGGAGCATAAACTGCTCATATAAGTGAGAACATGAAATAGTTTTCTTTCTGTGCATGGCCTAGTTCACCTAACTTTATGACCTTTAATTCCATCCATTTAGCTGAAAATGACAGGATTTCATTCTTCTTTATGGCTGAGTACTATTCTCTTGTGCGTATATTCCCATTTTCTTTATCCATTCATCCATTGATTGACACTTAGATTGATTCCATATCTTGGCTACTGTAAATAGTGCTGCAGTAAATATGGGGGTACAGATATCCCGTTGATACACTGATATCCTTTTTTTTGGGTATATACCCAGGAGTGGGATTGCTGGATCATATGGTAGATCTGTTCTTAGTTTTTTGAGAAATCTCTGTACTTTTTTTCATAGTGGCTGTACTAATTTACATTCCCACCAACAATATACGATAATTTTCTTCTCTTCACATTCTTGCCAGCATTTGTTGTGCTTTGTCTCTTTAATAATAGCCATTCTAACAAGTGTGAGATGATATCTCACTGTGGTTTTGATTCGCATTTCCGTGATGATTAGTGATGTTGAATATTTTTTCATAAACTTGGTGATTTGTATATCCTCTTTTGAGGAATGTCTGTTTATTTTTTGATAGTTTCTTTTGCTGTGCAGAAGCTCTTTCATTTAATTAGATCCCATTTGTCAATTTTTGCTTTTGTGGCAATTGCGTTTGGCATCTTCACCATGAACTCTCTGCCCATCACTATGTACCGGATGGTATTGCCTAGGTTGTCTTCCAGGGTTTTTATAGTTATGGGTTTTACATTTAAGTCTGTAGGCCATCTTGAGTTAATTTTTGTATATGGTGTAAGGGAGGGGTGGTGTCTTTTCACTCTGTTGATTGTTTTCTATGATATGCAGAAGGTATTTAATTTAATATAATCCCATTTGTCTGCTTTTGTTGCTTGTACTTTTTAAGTGTTAGCCATACAATCTTTGTTCTGAAGCGTTTCTCCTGTGTTTATTTCCAGTAGTTTTATAGTTGTGGCTGTTACATTTAAGTCTTTAATTGATTTTGAGTTTATTTTTGTAAGTGATGAGAGATAAAGGTCTAGTTTTATTCTTCTGTGTTTGGATATCTAGTTTTCCTGGCACCATTTAATGAAGAGGGTGTCTTTTATTCAATGTACGTTCTTGACACCTTTCTTGAAAATCAGCTGTAAATATGTGGATTCATTTCTGGGTTCTTTAGTCTGTTTCCTTTGTTTTTGTGTGTGTTTTAATACCAATACACGCTGTTTTGGTTACTATAGCTTTGCAGTATGTGTATATATATATATATATTTTGTTTGTTTGTTTGTTTTTTTGAGACGGAGTCTTTCCTTGTCACTCAGGCTGGAGTGCAGTGATGCAATCTCGGCTCACTGCAAGCTCCGCCTTCCGGGTTCACGCCATTCTCCTGTCTCAGCCTCGGCTAATTTTTTTGTTTTTTTTTTTTAGTAGAGACGGGGTTTCACCGTGTTAGCCAGGATGGTCTCAATCTCCTGACCTCATGATCCACCCTCGTTGGCCTCCCCAAGTGCTGGGATTACAGGCGTGAGCCACCACGCCCAGCTGCTTTGCAGTATACTTTTACGTCAGGTAGTGTGAGACTTCTAGCTTTGTTCTTTTTGCTCAGTTTTGCTTTGGCTATCTGGGGACTTCTGTGGTTCCATATGAATTTCAGGGTTTTTTTTTTTTTCCTGTTTCTGTGAAGAATATAATTGATAGGGATTATACTGAATCTCTAGATTGCTTAGGGTAGTATGGTCATTTTAACAGTATTAGTAATTCCAACCCATGAGCATGAGATGCTTTTCCATTTGTTTGTGTCTTCTCAATTTATCAGTGTTTTGTGGTTTTCATTGCAGAGGTCTTTTTTTTTCTTTTTCCCCATCCTTGGTTAAGTTTATTCCTAGGTATTTTATTTTTGTAGCTATTGTAAATAGAAATTCTTCCTTGGTTTCTTTTTTCGCTAGTTTTTTACTGGTATATAGAAACATTACTGATTTTTGTATGTTGATTTTGTGTCCTGAAGCTTTACTTATACATCTGTTTTTTTAAAAATTTTTTGTTTTTTATTTTTTGAGATAGAGTCTTTCTCTGTTGCCCAGGCTGGAGTGCAGTGATGCAACCTTCACTCACTACAACCTCCGCCTCTGGGTTTCAAGCGATACTCCTGCTTCAGCCTCCCAAGTAACTGGGATTACAGGCACCTACCACCATGCCTGGTTAATTGTATTTTTAATAGAGACAGGATTTCACCATGTTGGCCAGGCTGGCCTCAAACTCCCAAGCTCAGGTGATCCGCCCACCTTGGCCTCCCAAAGTGCTGGGATAACAGGCATGAGCTACCATGTCCAGCCTAATTTATCAATTTCAAGAGTTTTTGGTGGAGTCTTTAGGTTTTTCTGTTTACAAGTATAAGATTATGTCATCTGCAAAGTGAGACAATTTGACTTCCTCTTGTCTAGTTTGGATGCCTTTTATTTCTTTATCTTGTCTGATCACTCTGGCTTGGATGTCCCATATTGTGTTGAATAAGAATGGTGAAAGTGGGCATCCTTGTCTTGTTCCAGTTCTTGGAGGAAAAGCTTTTCAGTTTTTCCCAGTGAGTAGGATATTAGCTGTAGATTAGTCATATATGCCTTTTCTTATGTTGAAGTGTTCCTTCTATGCCTAATTTGTTGAGAGTTTTCATCATGAAGGAATGGTAAGTTTTACCAAGTGATTTTTCTGCATCTGCTGAGATGATCAGATAGTTTTTGCCTTTCATCTTGTTGATGTGATGTATCACATGCACTGATTTTGTGTATGTTGAGCCATCTTTGCATTCCTGGGATAAATCCCACTTGATCATGGTATATTATCTTTTTCATTCATCATTAGATTTGGCTTGGTAGTATTATGCTGAGAATTTTTGCATCTGTGTTCATTAGGAATATTGGCCTGTAGTTTTCTCTTTCTGTTGTGTCCTTGTCTTGATTGGATATCAGGGTAATGCTGGCCTTATACAATGAGTTAGGAAGAATTCCCTCCTCTTCAATTTTTGGGAATAGTTTGAGAAGTATTGGTGTTTGTTTTTCTTTATAAACTGGGTAGAAATCAGTATAAAAGCCTGGTCTAGGGCTTTTCTCTTTGGAGAGACTTTTTGTTACTGATTCAAACCTGCTATTCATTTTGAGTCAGTTCAGGTTCTCTCTTTCTTCCTAGTTCAATCTTGGTAGGCTGTGTATGTCTGGGAATTTATCCCTTTCCTCTAAGCTTTCCAATTTGTTAGGGTATGGTTGTTCGTAATAGCCTCTAATGATCCTTTTTATTTCTTTGGTAACAGTTGTAATGTCTCCTTTTTCATTTCTGATTGTATTTATTTGGGTCTCCTTTCTTTTTTTTTGGTTAGCCTCACTAGTGGTTTATCAATTTTGTTTAACTTTTCAAAAAAACAACTTTTATCTTGTTGATTCTTTGCATTTCTTTTTTGTCTCTGTTGCATTTGGTTCTGCTGTTATTTTTTTTTTCTTTCTACTAATTGTGTGTTTGGTTTGTTCTTGCTTTTGGAGTTCCTTTAGGTGCATCGTTAGGTTGTTTATTTGAGATCTTTCTACTTTTTTAGTGTAGACATTTATTGCTATGAACTTACCTCCTAGTACTGCTTTTTTCTGTATCCCATAGGTTTTGCATGATGTGTTTCCATTTTCTGTTTAAAAAATTTTTTTGATTTCCATCTTAATTTCTTCATTGACCCAATGATCATTCAATAGCACATTTATTGTTCATGTATTTGTACACTTTCCAAATTTCTTCTTGTTATTGATTTCAAGTTTTATTCCATTGTGGTCTGAGAAGATAGTTGATATGATTTTAATGTTTAAAATTTTGTTGAGCCTTGTTTTGTGTCCTAACATATGGTCTATCCTGGAGAATGTTCCATGTGTTGATGAGATGATTGTGTATTCTGCTGCTGCTGGATGAAATATTCTGAAAATATCTGTTAGGTCCATTTGGTCTAAAGTGCAGCTTAAATCTAATGTTTGTTTGTTGATTTTATGTCTAGATGAACTGTCCAATGCTGAGAGTAGGATATTGAAATTCTCAACTATCATTGTATTGGACTCTATCTCTCCCTGTAGATTTAATAATATTTGCTATGTGTGTCTGGATGCACTTGTGTTGGTTGCATGCACATTTAGAATTGTTATATTTTGCTGCTTAATTTTTCCCTTTATTACCATATAATGACCTTCTTTGTCCTTTTTACAGTTTTTGACTTAAAGTCTGTTTTATCTGATGCAAGTTTAGCTACTCCTGATTACTTTTGATTTCTGTTTGTGTGGTATATTTTTTTCAATCCCTTCACTTTCAGTCTGTGTGTGTCTTTACAAGTGAAGTGAGTTTCTTGTAGATGTTGTTGGGTCATTTTTTATCCATTAAGCCTGTCTGTACCTTTAGGTAGGTAATTTAACACATATTCGAAGTTATTATTGATAGGTGAGGACTTATTCGGGTCATTTTGTTCATTGTTTTCTGGTTATTTTGTATATCCTTTTGATTTGGTTTGGCTGTGTCCCCACTCAGATCTCATCTTGAATTCCCATGTGTTGTGGGAGGGACCCAGTGGGAAGTAGTTGAATCATGGGGGCAGGTATTTTCCATGCTATTCTTTTGATAGTGAGTAAGTCTCCTGAGATCTGATGGTTTTAAAGGAGGAGTTTCCCTGCTCAAGCTCTCTCTTTGCCTGCTGCCATCCCTGTAAGATGTGACTTGTCTCTCCTTCACTTCCACAATGATTTTGAAGCCTTCCCAGCAACAAAGAACTGTAAGTCCATTAAACCTCTTTCTTTTGTAAATTTCCCAGTCTTATATGTGTCTTTATCAGCTGTGTGAGAATGGACTAATACAGTAAATTGGTACCAGAAGTGGGGTGTTCCTAAAAGATACCTGAATATGTGGAAGTGACTTTGGAACTGGGAAACAGGCAGAGGTTGGAGGGCTCAGAAGGAGACAGGAAAATATGGGAAAAGTTGGAAGAGATTTCCTAGAGACTTGCCCAAAATGCTAATGGTTATATGGACAATAAAGTCTAGGCTGAGGTGGTCTCAGATGGAAATGAGAAACTTGCCGGGAACTGGCACAAAAGTGACTCCTGTTATGTTTTAGCAAAGAGACTGGTGGCATTTTGCCCCTGCTGTAGAGATTTGTGGAACTTTGAACTTGAGAGAGATGATTTAGGGTATCTGGTAGAAGAAATTTCTAAGCAGCAAAGCATTCAAGAGATGACTTGGGTGCCGTTAAAGGCCTTCAGTTTTATAAGGGAAGCAGAGCATAAAAGTTTGGAAGATTTGCAGCCTGACAATGCAATAGAAAAGAAAATCCCATTTTCTCAAGAAAAATTCAATCTGGCTGCAGAAGTTTGTTGAAGTAACGAGGAGTCAAATGTGAATCTCCAAGACAATGGGGAAAATGTCTCAAGGGCATGTCACAGAGCTTCATGGCAGCCCGTCCCATGAAAGGCCCAGAGGCCTAGGAAGAAAAGATGGTTTTGTGGACTGGACCCAGGGACCCCTGCTGTGAGCAGACTCGGGTGCCTGAGTCTTAGCCACTCCAGCTGCAGCTAAAAGGAGCCAAGGTACAATGTGGGCTGTGGCGTCAGAGGGTGCAAGCCCCAAACCTTAGCAGCTTCCAAATAGTGTTGAGCCTGTGGGTGCACAGAAGTCAAAAATCGTGGTTTGGGAACTGCTGCCTAGACTTCAGAAGGTGTATGGAAATGCCTAGTTGTCCAGGCAGGAGTTGGCTGCAGGGGCAGGGCACTCATGGAGAACCTGTACTAGGGTAGTGCAGAAGGGAAATGTGGGGTCAGAGCCCCCACCTAGAGCCCCTACTGCAGTACCACCTAGTGGAGCTTTGAGAAGACGGCCACAATCCTCCAGACCCCAGAATGGTGGATTCACTGACAGCTTGCACTGTGTGCCTGGAAAAGCTGCAGACACTCAATGCCAACCCATGAAAGGAGCCAGGAGGGGGTTTATACCCACAAAGCCACGGGAGTGGAGTTGTGGCCTTTTTTCTCCCAAAGCCATGGGAGCCCACCTCTTACATCAGCATGACCTGCATGTGAGACATGGAGTCAAAGGAGATCATTTTGGAGCTTTGAGATGTCAGTGCCCCACTGGATTTTGGGCTTGCATGGGGCCTGTAGCCCCTTTGTTTTGGCAATTTTGTCCCACTTGGAATGACTGTATTTACCCAATGCCTATACCCCCATTGTATCTAGGAAGTAACTAACTTGTTTTTGATTTTACATGTTCATAGGCGGAAGGGATTTGCCTTGTCTCACATGAGACTTTGGACTGTGGACTTTTGAGTTAATGCTGAACTTAGTTAAGACTTTGGGGGACTGTTGGGAAGGCATAATTTGTTTTGAAATGAGATTAGGCAAGGGCCAGGGGCAGAATGATATGCTTTGGTTGTGTGCCCACCCAAATCTCATATTGAATTCCCACATGTTGTGGGAGGGACCCGGTGGGAAGTAATTGAGTCATGGGGGTAGGTCTTTCCCATGCTGTTCTCGTGACACTGAATACGTCTCACAAGGTCTGATGGTTTTAAAAAGGGTAGTTTCCCTGCAGAAGCTCTCTCTTTCTCTGCTTCCATCCAGCTGAGACATGACTTGCTTTTTCTTGCCTTCTAACATGATTGTGAGGCTTCCTCAGCTACGTGGAAATGTAAGTCCATTAAACCTCTTTATTTTGTAAACTGCCCAGTCTCAGTCAGGTATGTCTTTATCAGCAGTGTGAAAACAGACTAATACACCTTTGTTCCTTTTTTCTCTCATTATTTATTGTTGCAGTTTGGTGGTTTTCTTTAGTGGTGACGTTTGAATCCTTTCTCCTTTGTGTGTCTGCGCTACCATGAGTTTTATACTTTCATGTATTTTCATGATGGTAGATATTGTTCTTTTGCTTCCCAGTGTAGGACTCCCTTAAGCATTTTTTGTAGGACCACAACAAACAAGACACAAACAAACAGTCTTTTGCTTATCTGGGAAATATTTTTTCTCTTTTTTAAGCACTGGAGTCTCACTCTGTCACCCAGGCTGGAGTACAGTGGCATGATCATAGCTCACTGCAGCCTTGAACTCCTGGGCTCAAATGATCCTCCTTCCTCAGCCTTCTGAGTCTCTGGAATTGCAGATGTGAGCCACTGTGCCAGTCTTCTTCATTTGTGAAGGATAGCTTTGCTGGTTTTAGCAATTTTGCCTTACATTTTTTTTTTTTTTTAACTTGTAGTATACATCCCCTTTTCTCCTAGCCTGTAAGGTTTCTGCTGAGAAATTCCCCGTTAGCCTGATGGAGATTCTCTTATAAGTGCCTTGATGCTTTTCTCTTGCTGTTTTTAGCATTTTCTCTTTGTCTTTTGACAATTTTACCATAAAGTCCTTGGAGAAGACCTTTTTGAGTAGTGTTTATTTGGTAATCTTTGAGATTCCTTTATTTGGAAGCTTTCAGGAAGTGTTCAGTTATTATTTTATTAAATAGGTTTTCTATGCTTTTACCCATCTCATCTCCATCCAGAACTCCCAGAATTTCAGTTTTTGGTCACATATGTGTCCCATATGTCATGTAGCCTTGCTTCATTCTTTTTTCTTTCTTTTTGTCTGACTGGATTATTTTAAAAGACTAGTCTTCAGGTTCAGAAATTCTTTGTTTTGCTTGATCTAGTCTATTGTTAAAGCTGTCAGTTGTCTTTTGTATTTCTTTCAATGATTTCATCTCTTCCAGGATTTGTGTTTGGTTCTTTGTTATGCTGTCTATCCCTGTTGAATTTCTCATTCAGATCATGAATTGTTTTCCTGATTTTTTTGTATTCATTATCTGTGCTCTCTTATATCTCCCTGAGTTTCTTTAATATCATTATTCTGATTTTTTTTCAGGCATTTCATAGATTTTCTTTTCATTGAAATCTGTTGCTGGAGAATTATTGTGCTTCTTTGGAGATTTTATGTTTCCTTTTTCATATTTCTTGCGTCCTTATGTGACTACTTGTGCCTCTGACATAGCAGTCACTTCTTCCAATTTTCTGGGTTGGCTTTTATATGGGAAAGACCTTTTCTTATAGCTGTATCTACAGCGTTCATTGGATATCACACTTTGGCTTTGATTCTGGGTGGGTACAGTGGTATAGGCTGCATATGATTTCTTCAGCTGTAATTGGCATGAGTGGTGTCTGTGAGTTATTCAGTGGCTTAGACAGCAGTTTTTTTTGTTTGTGTGTTTGTGATTGAGATGGAGTCTAGCTCTGTCACCAGGCTGGAGTACAGTGACACAATCTAAGCTCACTGCAACTTCTGCCTCCCAGGTTCAAGCGATTCTCCTGCCTCAGCCTCCTGAGTAGCTGGGACTACAGGCACCTGCTACCACGCCCAGCTAATTTTTGTATTTTTAGTAGAGATGGGGTTTCACCACGTTGGCCAGGCTGGTCTTGAACTCCTGACCTCGTTATCTACCTGCCTCAGCCTCTCAAAGTGCTGGGATTACAGGTGTGAGCCACTGCGCCCAGCCAGACTGCAGTTGTTATTGGAGGCTGTGGTGAGGCTTTGCTGAGGATGGGGATGCCTGGAAGTCTTGTCCTTCAGCATCAGTGGTAGTGGTGGTAGAACAGGTGTGTCAATACTAGTGACCATGTGCAGTGTATGTGGGCACTGATGATAGCCTGTCTGCATGGGCCAATCCCTGGGCCTCCAGGTGGCTTCTTTGGTTGCTGGCAGTGGCAGCACTGGGCCAGGTGGGCGGGTGCGCCACTGGGCTCCTGGGTTGTGTGTGTGGCAGGCTGATCTCTAGTTCTCCAGGTGACGTGTGCAGGTTCTGGTGGTGGGTAGGCAGGTGTTTCCTCAGGCCTCTCAGTAGTAAGTGTGAGCGCCAGCTCTGGAGGCAGTGTGAGTCAGTCTCCAGGCCCCCAGATGGTACATTCAGGCACCAGCATATTCCTATGCATTTCTAGATAATAGTATTTTTCAGAAAACCTGAGCATATGTCCTATTAATACAACTTTCCCTCATCAGCTCTGCATGAGAAGAAGGGGGATTTCCCTCAGTAGAACAGTCACAATGGAATCATAGACTTGTTTTGAGCCACTCACTGGTATGTGGGGGTAGGCTAAAATGATAAGCTCAGAATCTAAACCTTAGACTAGGGAATGGCTAACTTTTTCCATAAAGAAGCAAACGGTAATATTTTAGGCTTTTGGTCTGAATAACCTCTGTTGCAGTGACGCAGTGGTGCCATCGTAGTTTAAAACATATGTAGACAAGGCATAAATGAATGGACCTGGTTTTATTCCAGTAAAACTTAATTTATACAAACAGTCAGAGGGCCAGATTTGGCCCTTGGTCTATAGTTTGCCAACCCTGTTTAGACAAGTCACAATTTATTCCCTGGGGCTGGGCCAATTTTTTCTAAAAAAAAAAAAAAAAAAAAAAAAGAAAGCAACCCGCTTTCAGAATAAAATAGGGTTTCTATTTAAAAAGAAGAGGCTGGGTGTGGTGGCTCATGCCTATAATCCTAGCACTTTGGGAGGGTGAGGCAGGAGGACTGCTTGAGGCCAGGAGTTTGAAACCAACTTGGGCAATATAGTGAGATCCTGTCTTTGCAAAGAATAAAAAAATTAGCCAGGCATGGTGGCACATGTCAGGAGTCTTAGCTACGTAGGAGGTTGAAGGGGAAGATCAGGGGAGCCCAGGATTTTGAGGTTACAGTGAGCTCTGACTGTGCCACTTGTACTCTAGCCTAGGCAAAGAATAAGACTCCGTTTCAAAAAAAAAAAAAAAATGGTTGGTTGGGGTGGGTTGGAGAAGAAAGTATTTCTGAATTTCTGGGTAGGTAACTGGTAGTGTCAGGGCAAACTAGCTCTACAGTCTTATTCATTATAAATAAAGGCAACTAGAAGATCTCCATCTAGCTATTAAAAATTGGTTAAAATCTACAGAGATAAAGTATGGTGACCCTTGTATCAGTTAGTTATTGTCACAAAATGCTGCATAACAAGTCACTCCAAATCTCAGTGGCTTAATACAACAGTTATTTATTTTCATGGATCTATGGGTCAGCTGAGGATTGGTTAATCTAGCATAAGCATGTCTGGGAAGCTCTACTTTGCTCTTGGTGTCTCTTATCTTCTGCTGGAAGCAGCAGGCTGGCCTGGGCTTGTTCTCATGGTGATAGCAGGAGTGAGCGAGCACAAATGAATGCACACTTTCCAAGTTTTTGGTCATGCAGATTAATATTCCAGTGGCCAAAGCTAGACACATGACTAAACCCAACATTAGGGGCTGGAGAAATATACTCTGATTCTTCAGTGGGAGGAACTGCAGAGACAAATGACAGAGTCTTGGATACAGGGAGGACACGGATCCATTAATGTACCTTAATCAACCGCAACCCTCTAACCACCAATGCAATTAAATAAGTATTTGTTGAATGCACTTGTGCCTGAATGCTTCTGGCTGCAGCCCAGGCAATGGGGGCCTGACTGGGAAGGGACCATAGCAGGGACTCGATGTCCTGCAGGTCTGCATGTAACTGTGCACGGCCGACTCCCCATTGGTCATGGCTGATTTGCTTTATCCTGCGACCCCAAGGGGCAACGATTACCTGATTTTATTTCTGAACAGTTTTGACAAAGTTGTTTTCAGGAGCCCAGGAAGCAAATCAATTGTAGATTTGAATTTTGCAGGGGGTCAGAATTGTTTAATATATATATAGTCTTTTACATGCTGATAATTATTTCCATACCACAAAGAAGGCCGGCTATTAGGAGGCTGCTGTTCAATTCCTTTGCCCCGTGAGCTCATGAGCTGTGTCTATGTGGGGGGCACTCACTTGTTAGAGATATTTCCCTTCAGAATAACATTAGCCAATATTCTAAATAAATGCAGGAAATTAAATAGTCTTCCCCAGACAGGTACTTTGCACTTCTAAAGTGAATTACACATTCTAAAATAAAACACAGTCACATTAAAAAAACAAAAGGTCTTTGTGTTAGGTTGGTCTGGCATCAGCAAAGATATTTTCCTCCAGAGTAGAAGATCCTTGTAATGCACGATATTGCGTGTGGCAGCCCCACATCTCGTTTCCTTTTTTTTGTTGTTGTTGTTTTTAACTAAAAGAGTTGACAATTTTATTTTCACATTTCCCAATACAAATGAAAACTGCATCTTTTTTGGTCCCACTTCTCCCCTCCAAAACTATTCTCTTTGATAGGGCAACGGGGCAAGTCTTCCTTATGCTGTTAAGAAAACCCGGCATCACAGCAGCATGATCTCCTGGTGAAGGGAGCAGGTAAATATAAAACTCATATAGGCCGGGTGCAGTGGCTCACACCTGTAATCCCAGCACTTTGGGAGGCTGAGGCGAGCGGGTCACGAGGTCAGGAGATTGAGACCATCCTGGCCAACATGGTGAAACCCTGTCTCTACTAAAATAAAAAAAATTAGTCGGGCATGGTGCGCATGCCTGTAGTCCCAGCTACTCAGGAGGCTGAGGCAGGGGAATCGCTTGAACGCGGGAGGTGGAGGTTTCAGTGAGCTGAGATCGTGCCACTGCACTCCAGCCTGGGCGACAGAGGAAGACTGTGTCTCAAAAACAAAACAAAACATTACAAACAAAGAAAACACAACAATAATAACAACAAAACAACACTGATGTAATGAGGCCTCCCCTCTATCCTTATCTGTCTGGTTGAGTCATTCTGGGCTGACTGGGCACCATCATGAGACGGGCAGGAGGTCTCATCATTGGGCACCCAGGCATCATGGGCATGTGGCCTTCCATGGGTGGCCTCATTCCAGGAGCAGGTCTCACTGGCATCATCCCAGGAGGAGGAGGGCCCATCATTGGCATCATGGGAGGGCCCCCCATATGGGGTGCTGCCATCATTCTGAGATGTGCTAGAAGTGTCAAATACACATTAGATTGTGAAGACTTAATATAAAAAGAAAGCAAAGTATTTTGTTAATGTTAAAATATTTTATACTTGTAGACCTGGTATTTCGGATAGATTTGTTTAAATCTGTGATATTATTCCAATTACCTTCACTTCTTTTGTTTTACTTTTTAAAATGTGGTTACTACAAAATGCAAAAGTAAATATGTGGCTTCCATCATATTTCATTACATTTAGTGTGGACCCTGAGGATCTAGGGGAGTTATGAGCCTTAAGTTGAGGGTGACCCAGGTCAACATGAATTGCTCTGAAAGAGAAGCAAAGGGCATAAAGAGAACGTATAAATGGAGAGAGGGAGTGAGGAAAGGCTTTCTTTCTTACACAGTCTGGCACTTCTTCAAAAGCTTAAACACAGAGTTCTATGACCCAGCACTTCCACTCCAGTTTATGAAAGAAATGAAAGTATATGTCCGTGCAGAAACTTGTACACAAATGCTCATAGCAACATTATTCATAATAGCGCCAAAGTGAAAACAACACAAATGCTTGTCTACTGATGAGTGGAGAAATAGAACATGGTTTGACCATGCAATGGAATATTATTCAGTCATCAAAAGGAATGAAGTACTGACACGTGCTACAACACGGATGAACTATGAGAATATTATGCTAAGTAGAAGAAACCAGTCACAAAAGGTCACATATTAGAAGATTTCATTTATATGAAATGTCCAGAACACGCAAATCTATGAAGACAGAAACCCTGTCTCTACTAAAAATACAAAATTAGATGGGCGTGGTGGCATATCCCTGTAATCCCAGCTACTCTGGAGGCAGGAGAATTGCTTGAACCTGGGAGGCAGAGGTTGCAGTGAGCCGAGATTGTGCCACTGCACTCCAGCCTGTGATAGAGACTCTATCTCAAAGTAGATTGTCAGGACTTAGTGGGAGGAGGAAATGGCAGGAACCTGCTCATGGATACAGGGTTTCTTTTGGAGTGATGAAAATGTTTTAAAATTGATAATGATGGTGGTCGCCGAGCTCTGTGAATGCACTGAAACTATTGATTTGTTCACTTTAAATTGGCAAAGCATACGGTACCTGAATTATAATAGTAATATTAAAAAAGTAAAATCTTCCTTGAAGAGATGACACTTAAGGAGAGGCCTAGGGGGTGGGATGAGTTCACTATGTAGAGAAATGAGGAACAGCATTTCAGGGTGAGGAACAGCATAGTGAAGTCCCTGAGGTTGATAGGCATAGAGCAGATTTAAGGGACTTTTGTTTTTGAGACGGACTTTCAGTCTTGACGCCCAGGCTTGGGTGGAGTGGTGCGATCCTGGCTCACTGCAACCTCTGCCTCCCGAGTTCAAGCGATTTTCCTGCCTCAGTCTCCCGAGTAGCTAGGATTACAGGTGCCGTCCACCACACGTGGCTAATTTTGGGATATTTAGTAGAGATGGGGTTCCACCATGTTGACCAGGCTGGTCTCGAACTCCTGATCTCAGGTGATCCAGCCGCCTCAGCTTCCCAAAGTGCTGGGATTACAGGCGAGAGGCACTGCGCTCAGCCAGATTTAAGGCACTTTCAAGAAGTTTATGTGGCTGAAGCCTGCAGGGCAAGCAAGAGAATCAGGAAATGAGGCTGGAGAAAGAGAGGGGCTAGGTCATGGAGGGTCTCACATTAGGGTGTGGAAACTTACACGAGTGGTCCCACCTTGGGCATCCCACCTAACTACTCTGTGTCCCAGCTTCCCCACTGGTGAGATCAAGGGCTGATGTAGGGATGGAATGAGATAGTGTGTGCTCAGTAGAGGTGACCTTTTATCATTTTTTTTTTTTTTTTTTTTTTGAGATGGAGTCTCACTCTGTCACCCAGGCTGGAGTGCAGTGGCGCGATCTCGACTCACTGCAAGCTCCACCTCCCGAGTTCACGCCCGTCTCCTGCCTCAGCCTCCGGAGTAGCTGGACTACAGGCGCCCGCCACCACGCCTGGCTAATTTTTTTGTATTTTTAGTAGAGACGGGGTTTCACCGTGTTAGCGAGAATAGTCTGAATCTGCTAACGTCGTGATCCGACTGCCTCGGCCTCCCAAAGTGCTGGGATTACAGGCGTGAGCCACCGCGCCCGGCCGAGCTTTTATCATTGTTAACCCACACAGCAGTGGGAGCCACGGAAAGTTGAGTGATCTGTTTGGATGCACCTTCTGAAGTGATTGCTTTGGTCCCTGTGAGGAGTGCAGATTGTCACAGGGCCAGGGAAAAGCAGAGGCCAGTCTGGAGGCATTTGCAGTCAAACACCTGGAGGTGATGGTGGCTTGGTTTATGATGGTGTCAGGAGAGTGGCTGAGCAGTGAAGGATATGAGAAAGATTTAGGAGGTAAAACCCACGTGACTTGGTCACTGAATGTGGGTTGTGTGGGCTGGAGGGAAGGTAAGAAAGAATGAGAAGAAAAACATACTCAAGTTTTGTAGGCTGTACAGGGAGCATGACACTGACATCTGCTGAGCTTCTGTAGAGGCCTCAGGAAACTTACAATGATGGCAGAAGCTGAAGTGGGAGCAAGAGAGTAAGGAGGGAGGTGCTACACACTCGTAAACAACCAGATATTGCAAGAACGCACTCACTATTGCAAAGACAGGACCAAAAGGATGACGATAAATCATTCATGAGAAATCCACCCCCGTGATCCAATCTCTTCCCATCAGGCCCCACCTCTAACACTTGGGATTACATTGCAACATGAGATTTGGGAGCGGACACATATTCAACCTGTCAGCTGCTTTCATTCTATGGGTGACAGAGCTCAGTATCTACTACAAGAGACTGTATGGCCCACGAAGTCTAAAATATTTACTATCTGATGCTTTCAAGTAAAAGCTTGCAAACCCTGCTCTTGAAAAGGAAAGGAAGGGAGAGGAGAGGAGGAAGGCTGGAAGGAGCAGAGAGGAACACGGGGCTGTATTCAAACATCTGTTGTTAAGAAGGAGAAATTCAATTTATTTGGCATGGTCCAAGTTATCAAACTAGGAGCACTCCATTGAAGTTTCAGGACAAACACTGTGCTGAATATAAGGATGACCCCATCTGTAATGCCTAACCTTGTTTTTATTAACTTTGTTCTTAGACTTTCCTTTTCTTTTAATCACTTAGCCTTGTTTCTACCTGAATTGACTTTCTTTTAGCTAAGAGAGCTAGACAGACTTTGTCTTGGCTTTTTCACTGGCAGCCCCTTCCTCAAGGCCATCTCTTGGCCGCCAGCTAAATAAACAGACTTAATTCATGTCAAAGTGTGGCATTTTCTCTAACTCGCTCAAGTACAACATTTGGAGGCCCGAGTGAGAAACGCCACGAGGCAAGAGCTGGGCTCGCTCCGGGCTTCCCCAGAAGGACGGCCGGCTTGTGGGGGGGTGCCATCTGAAAAAAAATTGCAGGTCCCCGAAAGGTGACCGTCTTCCAGAGGAGAGCGGATCGACTACCGTGTGGATGATTAGGACAGTTTCTTCCTTTTTTTTTTTTTCAGACAGACAAGGGGAGGGTTTCCTGTGATGGGATCAGTCAGATGCCTGCCTGGCCGCTCCCCCTGAGGGGACTTGGGCTCCTCTTAGCATTGGCAGGCAGGAATAAACTTCCGGCTCAGATCGAGCTATGCCTGATGCTGCCTTAAGCCTTATGAGGTCGCCACGGAACCGCAGGTGAGGTGAGGACCTACTTGAACTCCGTAGCTTTCGCCGTGGAGCTACAAACTGGAGGACAAGCGCGAGCCCTTGTCCTCCCTCACTCATTCATTATTCACACAGAGTATATAACAGTTTTTTTTTTCTTTCTTGGAGATTCTTCAAGAAACTCGAACAAGAGAAAGATGAGAGATAGAAAAGGAGAGAGAGAGAATGACCGGTCTGCCAGAAACCAGGACTCAGTCCTCCAGCATCCTGGGATGTGGACTGAGTCAAGGGAGGGCCCCTGTCAGGGCCACTTCCCTCCTAGAAAGAGACACAGAGGTGCCTGACAGAAAACCAGGGCTCTACCTTCTAGCGTCCTAGAGAAACAGGCAGAGTCGAAAGAGGGACACCCTCATCAGGGCCGCTTCCCTCTTACTAGAACTGAAGTCAAATCTGACCTACCTGACCTCGGGGTCAGAAGTCGAGGACTCAGAGGTGGAATTCTTATGGGCACCCACAGGGTAGTCGATCCGCTCTCCTCTGGAAGATGGTCACCTTTCGAGGACCTGAAGATTTTTTTTTAGGTGGCACCCCCCACAAGCCGGCCGTCCTTCCGGGGGAGCCCGGCTCTCGCCTATGGCGTTTCTCGCTGGGGCCTCCCAATGTTGTACTTGAATGAGTTAGAGAAAATGCCACACTTTCGCATGAATTAAGAGTCTGCTTATTTAGCTGGTGGCCAAGAAATGGCTAACTCTTAAAGTTCTCTTGGCCCCGAAGAAGGGGCTAGATTTTCTTTTATACTTCAGTTTAGAAAGGGGAAACGGGTCTAGTTAAAAGAATTTTACAGGAGTAAAGTAGACAAAAAAGTTAAAAGGATAAATTGTTACAGGAAAGTAAACAGTTCTAGGTCTAAGGGCTTTAAGACTATTACAAAGTGATAGACGTGGGGCTTTAGGCATTATCAATCGGACAAATTCCTGGGAACTGCGGATATTGCTCGCCCCACAGTATCTTATCAGTTAATTGCATTCTTAGATGTGCTAAGAGTCAGCTTGCACAAGTTAAGTCCTTGAGGAAGGGGCTGCCAGTGAAAAAGCCAAGATAAAAGCTGTCCCCAGTGTTAGAGGTGGGGCCTGGTGGGAAGAGATTGGATCATGGGGGTGGATTTCTCATGAATGATTTTGCATCGTCCTTTTGGTCCTGTCCTTGCAATAGTGAGTGAGTTCTTGCAAGATCGGGTTGTTTACGAGTGTGTCGCACCTCCCTCCTTACTCTCTTGCTCCCGCTTCACCTTCTGCCATCATTGTAAGTTTCCTGAGGCCTCCACAGAAGCTCAGCAGATGTCAGTGTCATGCTCCCTGTATAGCCTACAAAACTGCGAGCCAATTAAACCTCTTTTCTTTATATATTACCCAATCTCAGGTATTTCTTTATAGCATGAGAGAACAGCCAAATCCAGCAGCCATAGACAATATGTAGCAAATGTGCATGGCTGTGTTTCAATAAAACTTTATTGACAAACACATGTGCAAGCAGGTCAGATTTGGCCCATGGGCCATAGTGTCCCAACGTCTGCTCTGGAATATTCTGTTCAGCCTGGATGGACATCTCTAGGTTGTTTTTTTTTTTTTGAGACAAAGTCTCACTGTTGCCCAGGCTGGAGTGCAGTGGTGCATTCTTTGCTCGCCACAACCTCTGCCTCCTGGGTTCAAGCAATTCTCCTGCCTCAGCCTCCCAAGTAGCTGGGATTACAGGCACCTGCCACCACACCTGGCTAATTTTTGTATTTTTTAATAGAAATAGGGTTTCATCATGTTGGCCAGGCTGGTCTCAAACTCCTGACATCAGGCGATCCACCCACCTCGGCCTCCCAAAATGCTGGGATTACAGGTGGCCGCCACCACACCTGGCTAATTCTTTTATTTTTAGTAGAGATGTGGTTTCACTATGTTGCCCTGGCTGGTCTCGAACTCCTGATCTCAAGTGATCCACCTGCCTCGGCCTCCCAAAGTGCTGAGATTACACCTGTGAGCCACTGCAGCTGCCCTCTAGATTTTTCTTGTTTTTTTGATCATTGCTTATTTGGTTTGACTTTCATTTTCTTCCCCATTGTGGTAGTCGTTTTCTGAATGCCTGTTAGTTTGTCCATCTCTCTCCTCTGTAGTCCCTAGAGTCAGATGAACTCCTCTGCAGGTGCAATGGTGTAACACTCTCTAGTGCTGAATTTTGAGCAGGAGAAAGAGAGCAAGAGTGACCAGTACCTTTGGAAACTCTGGCCTCCTGAGAATTTGGTGTCTCCTCTGCAAAGGTTGCATACCTGTTAACCCACAGGCAGGAGAGACAGACAAGCCAGAATCATGATCTGTTGAGCTTGAGTTTAATAACTGATGCACAGAGATCACTGAGTTTTTTGATAAGAATTAGAGTAGGAAGAAATGGCCACAGAGAACAATTTATATCTCCAGGTGAGGACTCAGGAGATAATTCTGCGAACAGAACTTCCTGAGAACTGAGATGGGGTAAATCGCTGGTATTAGAAGAGTGAAAATGTCAGTAATTAAGGCTACGACTGTGCTCTTAGAGGCAAAAGAAGAAAATGAGACTGCCAGGCATGAATAATGAGAAATCTTTGATGGAATTAGCCATGCAGAACAGATACTAAATGCATCCTCATTCTTCTCATAGTCAAAAGTTTCTGCTTAAGCTGGATGGGAAAAAGAGAATCCCATTTCACTAAGTATAAAAGAGGGGATTTTAGAGAAGGTTTCAGAAGTAAGAGATGTGGGGGTTTGGTGAAACTCACCAGAGGCTGAACCCTCTCCTGCATAACACAGGGATTGGGAGGAGCGGGGTGGCATTAGGCCAGATGCATAGCCCAGTGCTGCTCTCTCTGGACTTTCTGCTCTCTCTGGACTTGTTTGCTATCTGAGCTCATCCATTTACATAATTTTCAGTGCCATTTCTCAGCTAATGAGTCCTGAACTTTTGTCTTGAGGCTAGACTTCTCCTTCAAACAGCAGTCTTAAACACTCAACTTCTTTCCTGTTTTTTCCACTTGTCAACTCATGAACACCTCAACCTTGTTACATCCAAAGCCAAACTCATGGCTTGGAGTGGTAGGTGATGGCTGTAATCCCAGTGCTATGGGAGGCTGAGGTGGGAGGATTACTTGAGGCCAGGAGTTGGAAGCCCGCCTGGAAAACACAGTGAGGCTCCCTATCTACAAAAAAAAAAAAAAAAAAAGCTAGGCATGGTGATGTGCATCTGTAGGATCTGTAGTCCTGCTACATGGCAGGCTGAGGCAGGAGGATCACTTGAGCCCAGGAGTTTGAGGCTGCAAAGAGCTATGATTGCACCAATGCACTCCAGCCTGGGTGACACAGCCAGAGACCCTGTCTTAAAAAAAAAAACCCAAAGCTAAACTCTCTTTTTCCTCCTCCTTCTCCATGGGCTCTGTCCATGCCATCTCTGTTCTGTAAATGGCACCACCCCCTGCTGAGCTGCTCAAGGTGGTCATAACTCATGTGTTGTGCTAACTCTGCTTTTGCCCTCTTCTCCAGTCAGCAAGTCCTGTGATTCTAAACTTTATCCAACTTGTCCAGTCTCTGTAGCTTCACTGTCATTATCTTTGCCTAGGACACCGCTATCTCAGCTAGGCTACAGCAGCCTCCTAACTGGTCTTAACTGGTACTCTGCACCTGCTCTCCATGCTCAGCAATCCATTTCCTACCTGGCAACTTCAGTGATCTTAAGGTGTCCATTGAGTCTCATCCCTGCCTTTCCTGCCCATGGTACATAGAATAAAATCGAGACCCCGAGTCTTCTGCCTGTTCCTGCCACCTCTCCAGCCCTCTCCTATCTCCTGCCCTTGGCCTACTCTATTTCAGCCGCTATGGCCTCCTTTTGTTTTCTTGGACTTTCAAACCTTTTTCCACAACACGGCCTTTGCACTTGCTGCTTCAGCCTGGAATGATTTTCCTCTGCACCTCCCCAAATTAGACCATCCTTTAGGTGTCAGCTAAAATGGTGCTTCCACAGACAGCTCTTCCCTGACCCTGCTCTTCTCCACCTTAACGTCTTATTGTTTCTTGTTGTGGGAAGTCAGGGACCCCAAATGGAGAGGGACTGGCTGGAGCCATGGCAGAGGAACATAAATGGTGAAGATTTCATGGACATTTATCAGTTCCCAAATAATACTTTTATAATTTCTTATACCTGTCTTTTATCTCTTAATTCTGTTATATTCATAAGCTAAGGATGTACATCACCTCAGGACCACTGTGATAATTGTGTTAACTGTACAAATTGTAAAACATGTGTATTTCAACAATATGAAATCAGTGCACCTTGAAAAAGAGAATAACAGCAATTTTTAGGGAACAAAGGAAGACATCCATAAGGTCTGCCTGCCTGCAGGGTTGGGCAAAAAGAGCCATATGTTTCTTCTTGCAGAGTCTATAAACGGATGTGCAAGTAGGAGAGATATCGCTAAATTCTTTTCCTAGCAAGGAATATTAATAGTAATACCCTGGGAAAGGAATGCATTCCTGGGGGAAGTTCTATAAATGGCCGCTCTGGGAATGTCTGTCTTATGCGGTTGAGATAAGGACTGAGATACGCCCTGGTCTCCTGCAGTACCCAAAGGCTTACTAGGGTGGAGAAAAACTCCGCCCTGATATATCTGTGGTCAGCCTGGTTCTCTGCTCTTGAACCCTGTTTTCTGTTGTTTAAGATGTTTATCAAGACAATACATGCACCGCTGAACATAGACCCTTATCAGTGGTTCTGCTTTTGCCCTTTGCTTTGTGATCTTTGCTGGACACTTATCAGTAGTTCTGCTTTTGTCCTTTGTCCTGTTCCCTCAGAAGCACGTGATCTTTGTTAGACCCTTAGTAGTAGTTCTGCTTTTTGCCCTTTGAAGCATGTGACCTTTGTACCTACTCCCTGTTCTTACACCCCCTTCCCTTTTGAAGCCCTTAATAAAAACTTGCTCATCTGAGACTCAGGGGGCATCACGGTCCTACTGATGTGTAATGTCACCCGCAGCAGCCCAGCTGTAAAATTCCTCTTTGTAGTGTCTCTCTTTATTTCTCAGCTGGCTGACACTTATGGAAAATAGAAAGAACCTACATTGAAATATTGGGGGCAGGTTCTGCCTATACTTCTTTCATGGATTTACTTATTTTTTATTTGTCCCTCTGTATCCTAGAAACTCCTGGAGGGCAGATGCATGCCTGCCATCTTCATCGTTTCATTACCACCATCCAACACTATCGGGGGACCTGCCCTGATAATCAGGTAGGTTCTTTTCTATTTTCCTAAGTGTCGAGTGGCTTGAGAAATAAAAGGACAGAGTACAAAAGAGAGAAATTGTAAAGCTGGGCGTCTGGGGGGAGACATCACACATTGGTAGGATCCGTGATGCCCCACAAGCCACAAAAACCAGCAAGTTTTTATTAGGGAGTTTCAAAAGTGTAGAGAGTATATGAATAGGTGTGGGTGACAGACATCAAGTACTTAACAGGGTAATAGAATATCACAAGGCAAGTGGAGACAGGGTGAGATCACAGGACCACAGGACGGAAGTGAAATTAAAATTGCTAATGAAGTTTTGGCACCATTGTCATTGATAACATCTTATCAGGAGACAGGGTTTTGAGATCAACCCGTCTGACCAAAGTTTATTAGGCGGGAATTTTCTCTTCCTAATAAGCCTGGGAGTGCTATGGGAGACTGGAGTTTATTTCACCTCTGCAATCTCGACCATAAGAGACAGGTACGCCATGGGTGGCCAGTTCCGAGACCTACCCCTAGGTGCGCATTCTCTTTCTCAGGGACGTTCAATGCTGAGAAAAGGAATTCAACGATATTTCTCCCATTTGCTTTTGAAAGAAGAGAAATATGGTGCTGTTCTGCCCGGCTCACCGGCGGTCAGAGTTTAAGGTTATCTCTCTTATTCCCTGAACAATTGCTGTTATCCTGTTCTTTTTTCAGGGTGCCCACATTTCATATTGCTCAAACACACATGCTGTACAATTTGTGTATGTAACGCAATTATTACAGGTCCTGAGACGATATACATCCTTCTCGACTGACAGGATTAAGAGATTAAAGTAAAGACAGGCATAGGAAATCACAAGGGTATTGATTGGGGAAGTGATAAGTGTCCATGAAATCTTCACAATTTATGTTTAGAGATTGCAGTAAAGACAGGCATAAGAAATTACAAAAGTATTAATTTGGGGAACTAATAAATGTCCATAAAATCTTCATAATCCACGTTCTTCTGTCATGGCTTCAGCCGGTCCCTCCGTTTGAGGTCCTGACTTCCCGCAACATCTCTCCCTTTCTTTTTATATAAATGTGCCATGGCGATGAAGGCTTGTTCGTTCTCTCGATTTTGACACAGGATTATTTGACTGGTACGGCACACTAAAAGCAAGCCGATTAAGCAGAGAAACATAATTCCAAAATTTAGTACAGTGGATCCCCCAATAGACTTAATCCATAAAGATTTTCTGCCACCTGATCTAACGCCTGAGCTCCAGGCACGATGGATAAGTGAGCTTGGGAGGCTTCAAAAATTTGCTTTTTTAATTTAGTTGTTTTCAATGATAAATTACCTTTTCTACCTAGAAGGTGTCCTTTGACCGTTTCCCATGAATGATCAGTCTCGTTATAGGAATAGGGGTGATGCAGAAATCCAAAGTATTCCAATCGCACTGCATTTGCATGCGATGTTCTAGACTCACTACCTGATCTCCAAGCCAAATAACAGACTGTCTTAAATCATTAATTTGCTTTGCCAATTTTTGATCGATGTCTTGTTGAGAATTCCACATTTGGGTGGAATTGGCTTGCCAATCATTAACAAAATGAGCCGTTTGAATAGACTGGTGTAATTCCATTCCGGCAGTGGTGGCCATTGCAGTGACTGTAATTAGGCCCATGATAACAGCGATTAAAGTGAAAACAAATCTCTTAGATCTTTTTAGAATTCGTTGTACCAGATCTTTTTTGAATTCGTTGTACCACTTCATTAATTAAATGTATTGAGGGGGAGAATTCCCAAGGTCGAGGTAAAGTTATCGGAATCCAGATTCTTTCTCCAGCTTGAACCAACATTACACTTTTCCTGGAGTCAAAATGGGAGTTAATACAAGTGTATAGATGACAATTGACGCACTGGACAGTTTGATTATTCATCCAAATTTTGATATTTCCTACCAATAGCATGTAACGAGGCTCAACACAACTCTGTATGGGAACAGTCAGGTTGGAGGTAAGTGAAGCAGAATGTCTGGGTCTACGATGATACTGAGAGAATGGGACGGTAGTGGGAACAACAGTCAAAATAGTTTTTCCTTCCCATACTCGCAGTCCAGCCATGGCAATAGCCAATTTCCAAAGTTCTGGGTGTTCTGGGCTCAGAATAGGGAGTGTCATAGGAGGCCTGGAGGGGGCGGGTAATGCCTTTATCTTCCCATTTTAAGGGAAAGAATGAGCTGATCCTTCTATGCAAAGTAGAATGATGATTCTCTTTCTCCGGATAAGAAATAAAATAAGTAGCCTCCAGGCATTCCCTTCCACAGAGGAGCAATTGTTTTTTAAATAGCCCTATGGTGCCCAGTCTATTACTAAACCATATGAGTCATTTTTTAATATTACTGCATGTGAGTTAACACAATCTTCCCAAATTAAAGTTTTAGATGGTCCCTCAAAATGTTTAGGGCATGGTTTTCCTGCAGGTTTATATTGAAAGTATGGGGTACCTCCCATTACTCCTCCTTTCATTTGTTGTAAAGGAGAAAGGGAGAGGCCAGAGGCCAAATGTCCCATTTTATCTGTAGCTGATGTTTCTGAAAGATAAGCAGCCCAGAACTGAGTTTCTAGATGGATGCAACCAGGTGCATGTCCGAGGCACAGAGGTGGGTATTTATAACCCATGGTAACATTAAATGCAGTGCCTTCTTCTCCTGGTTGTGCGGGGCAAGGGTCGTCTATGGCTCCAGGCATCCACACACTATCGTTAGTGTAGATTTCTGCGGGAGCATCTATCCGGGTGAGAGAGCGAATAAGTGGAGGAAAAGACACCTAAGCCCAAGAAGAATAATTATGTGTAGCAGGTAAATCAGTGTGAGAGGAAACTGGTGAGACAGAAAGTATAAGGAGGAGAATCATTAAATAAAACCTAGTGTAAGCGAGATGGAGTGCTGAAGGAGAAAGAGAAGAAGAGTGGGATGTTATTTTCAGGCTAATAGAAATGGTGAGATATTTAGGTTTGTAAGGAGAAAAAGAAAGGTAATCAGGATAAGTGTGATTAGTTAGATGGGTCTCCACTGTCATCAGGGAGGATTGATTTACACCCATTGTGATTTGGTGTGCCTGTTTCTGAGGAGTCGGCACAGATCTCACCACATCTGAAGGCAGTCTCTGACACAGACGTCTCTTCACTGTGGTTTTGATTGTCAGTATTCACAAGAAGCTTGAGTCTTCTGGTGGGCACCCAGACAGGGGATTGATGATCTCCTGGTGAAACACAAGCATATCCTCTTCCCCACGTTAAGTAGAATAAGAGACAATATTTAAAGGTTTGGGGAAATCCTGTAAGGCAGTAATCACAGCAATTAACTCCGCATTTTGAAGAGAAGTATAAGAGGTAGAAAGAAGTTTGTCTGCAGGACCTGTATAGCCAGCATTGCCATTACCAGAGCCATCAGTGAATACTGTAACGGCCTCAGGAATGGGTTGATTTTTGGTTAATCTAGGAACCACCCAAGACGTTATTTTTATAAAATCAAACAATTTGTTTTTTTGGATAATGATCGTCAATAACACCAATAAAATCAGCCAAGTGAATTTGCCACAGTACAGAATGTTGAAAGGCAGCTTGAACTTCGAGCTGATTTAAAGGAACTACAATTACACTTGGATCAAATCCAGAAAATTGAAGTATTCTGCACCGAACCTGTCCAATTAATATGGCTATTTGGTCTAGATAAAGTTTTTGACACAGAATGAGGAAGAAAACACCATTCCACTAAATCATTATGTTGAACTATTAGTCCAGTAGGAGAGTGTAATGAAGCAAAAACCAGAAGCTGAAAAGGCTGAAATGTCTGTACTCTAGATAACTGGGCGGTCTGGATTTCTTCCTCTACAAATTCCAGATCCAGTAAAGCCTCAGGGGTCAAAGTCCTAGGGCTGCGGAGATCAGAATCTCCCCGCAGCATAGAGAACAAGTTAGACAGGGTATAGGTCGGAATGCCTAAAGTAGGTCTTAAATAATTAATGTTACCCAAAAGTTTTTGGAAGTCATTTAAAGTTTTTAAAGAATCTCTCCTAATTTGAACTTTTTGAGGTTGAATACATTGTTTATCGACCACCATTCCTAAATATTGAACAGGAGTGGTCTGTTGAATTTTATCCTGAGCAATGCGTAATCCAGCCTCTGTAACACAGCGGTTCAAAATTTGGTAACAGTCAATTAATTTTTTATCAGTGGGGGCAGAAATTAAAATATCATCAATATAATGAAGAATATAGGCCTCGGGAAATCGGGCTCAAACTGGTGAAAGCACTTGTCCAACATAAAGCTGGCAGATTGTAGGGCTATTTAGCATTCCCTGAGGAAGTACTTTCCATTGATAACGAGCTACAGGCTCCTGATTATTGATAGATGGTACAGTAAAAGCAAATTTTTCACAATCCGATTTATGTAAAGCGATATGAAAAAAAAACCTCTTTAAGATCAATAAGTATGAGAGGCCAATCTTTAGGTATTAAAGCAGGGGCAGGCATGCCGGGTTGGACGGCCCCTATAGGTTTAATTACAGCATTAATGGCCCTTAAATCGGTTACCATCCGCCATTTGCCTGATTTCTTTTTTACTAGAAACACAGGAGAATTACAAGGGGAAAGAGAAGGTTCCACATTTCCAAGTTGTAACTGCTCAGAAACCAATTGATTTAAAGCCTCCAGTTTTTCTTTAGAAAGCGGCCACTGCTGAATCCCAGGGCCACTTGTCTTATCTCCTTTGTTTAAAAGGATATTAGGTAGTAAAAGCAATTGAACTTGTTTAACAGTAGTAAAAGAAACAAGAGCTTGGGCTCGGGAGTGTAGTTTATCCCAAGCTCTCATACACACTTTTGTTACTTGTTTTGTGGTAAGAGTATCAAAGTTTAATTGGGCATAAGCATCAGAGAAACTATCGGAGCCTGTGAGCTGAGCCTGAGTAATTAGAATGCCATTACTCCGATTTAGCTGAGCCTGTAAACAGGCCTCCTCTGACCACCAGGCTGAGATGGACTTAGAACAGCTTTTTGCCAAAAGATCACAGTCTAAAGGAAGCAAAACAACCTCAGTATAAAAAGTTTGCAATACCATTTGAACATAAGGAAAAGTAGGACCATACTGAGTACAAGCATCCTTAAATTGTTTTTAAAAAGGTAAGATTGAGCGGCGCCTATCGATGCAGACTGGCTGAGGAACTGAAACGACAGGAGGGTGAGGGGCTGTAGTGGATGGGGGAGGGCCTGGAGAATGACAGGTAAATTGTAGTTTGGTCCCAGAGCCATTATTTGATGCTGGAGGTTTGAAGAGAGAAGAATTAGCATATTTATGTTACCGGGCTTTGTGAGTCACAGCCGCAGGAGTGTGAAGTACCGGCTTTTCGTGGGAAGAAGTAAGAAAAGTAGGGGGTAACTTTAAGCCAAAGTTACCAGAGTTAGAAATCGAATTTTCAGAATCGTTAGGGAGGGGAGGAGTAGCTGAAGGGAGAGTCTGAACGAAGGCCATGTGGGAGAGGAAGGTTGAGAAAAAGGCAGAGAAACTGAGGAAAAGGCAGAAAACTGCGGCAACTGCAGGGGGTCACGAGATTGGCAAGCCACGAAGATGTCACGCACCAAGCACCCCAAACAGTGATGGGCACATAATACCCGGCCGAGATCAGTTTTCGGAATGCCTTACGGACACAATCACACAATTTTATATACACCGTTCCTTTTTCAGGAAACCAAGAACAGTATTTTTCTACTGCCCTGAATAGAGTGATCATATTTTTCATGGTTACCGGTTTTAACAGGAGTTTGTTAGATTACACATGACCCACAGTTAACCCAGACCTTACACAGATTACTCACCACTCGTCGGGGAGTTGAACACGCTTATCTGTGGACCAAGCCGATTGACGTTTCACCGCACCTACCAAAGGGAATCCGGTTCCCTCATGCACTTAGGAAAAAAGAAAGACCACGTGGGCGCCAGATATCGGGGGACCTGCCCCGATAATCACGTAGGTTCTTTTCTATTTTCCTAAGCGTCGACTGGCTTGAGAAATAAAAGGACAGAGTACAAAAGAGAGAAATTGTAAAGCTGGGCATCTGGGGGAGACATCACACATTGGTAGGATCCGTGATGCCCCACAAGCCACAAAAACCAGCAAGTTTTTATTAGGGAGTTTCAAAAGGGGAGGGAGTATATGAATAGGTGTGGGTGACAGACATCAAGTACTTCACAGGGTAATAGAATATCACAAGGCAAGTGGAGACAGGGCCAGACCACAGGACGGAAGTGAAATTAAAATTGCTAATGAAGTTTTGGCACCATTGTCATTGATAACATCTTATGAGGAGACAGGGTTTTGAGATCAACCCGTCTGACCAAAGTTTATTAGGCGGGAATTTTCTCTTCCTAATAAGCCTGGGAGTGCTATGGGAGACTGGAGTTTATTTCACCTCTGCAATCTCGACCATAAGAGACAGGTATGCCCCGGGGGGCCAGTTCAGAGACCTACCCCTAGGTGCGCATTCTCTTTCTCAGGGACGTTCCATGCTGAGAAAAGGAATTCAACGATATTTCTCCCATTTGCTTTTGAAAGAAGAGAAATATGGTTCTGTTCTGCCCGGCTCACCGGGCGGTCAGAGTTTAAGGTTATCTCTCTTATTCCCTGAACAATTGCTGTTATCCGGTTCTTTTTTCAGGGTGCCCACATTTCATATTGCTCAAACACACATGCTGTACAATTTGTGTACTTAACGCAATTATTACAGGTCCTGAGACGATATACATCCTTCTCGACTGACAGGATTAAGAGATTAAAGTAATGACAGGCATAGGAAATCACAAGGGTATTGATTGGGGAAGTGATAAGTGTCCATGAAATCTTTACAATTTATGTTTAGAGATTGCAGTAAAGGCAGGCATAAGAAATTACAAAAGTATTAATTTGGGGAACTAATAAATGTCCATAAAATCTTCATAATCCACGTTCTTCTGTCATGGCTTCAGCTGGTCCCTCCGTTTGGGGTCCCTGACTTCCCGCAACACAGCACAGTGCCTGGCACAAAAGAGTTGCTCAATAAATACATCAGGATGAATAGATAAATACATGGATAGGCACTTTGAACTACAGATGAGCTTAAATACTTTGTGTTTTTCTTAGTCAAACATGTGCAATTAAGCATGTGATAAATGTTATGATGAGCATACCTGTGTCTTGCCTGATGTTCTTTGCAATCACTAAATGAAGTCAATTGGGCCTGTTTTGACAGTTCTATTTTCAACCTAATGATCTGTTTATTTTAACTTCTGGCTGTTGGCTTTGTTTGGGTTTGTTAGCCTGACAAAGTGGTAGATATTGGTATTTGCTCTTTTGTTTAAATGTCACGAACTTTAAAAATGCCTTTGCTTTTGGTAAGAAACCCTAGTTAGGACACCCTAGCAGTCAGGATGATTTGCGTTCTGGTGCTGTAACAACAATCCCCAAATCTCAGTGGCCTCATGCAGTGAGGTATTTGTTTGTTTGTTTTTGAGACAGGGTCTCACTCTGTCACCCAGACTAGAGTGCAGTGGTGCAATCTCAGCTCACTGCAACCTCTGCCTCCCAGACTCAAGTGATTCTCCTGCCTCCTGAGTAGCTGGGATTACAGGCCCATGCCATCACTGTCTGGCTAATTTTTGTACTTAGTAGAGACAGTATTTCACCATGTTAGCCAGGTTGGTCTTGAACTCCTGACCTCAAATGATCCACCCGCCTTGGCCTCCCAAAGTGCTGGGATGACAGGCATGAGCCACCATGTCTGGCCACAGTGAGGCTTATTCTTGGTCACGTTGCATGTCTGGGCTGTGTTAGGGCATTGTGGGGTGGTCTGTTCATTGTGTTCACTCAGGGATCCAGGCTGACAAAAGCCCCATCTCTGCATGTGTCCTTGATCACCACTTCAGGGGAAAGAGAATGTGGTGGATCATAGAGCCTCTTAACACTTCCACCTGGAGGTGACTCAAGTTGCTCCTGCTCATGGTTCATTGGACAAAACAGATCAAAGAGTCATGGGCAACTTCTCTGTGCCTGGAAGAGGAACCAAAATATGAATATCTACATTGACTTTCCCTAGCTATTACACAGAAGGTCTCATTTAAATGCAGTTACTTATTTGTGTTTTGAAGCTAACTGTAGTCCATCAAACTTCACAGAAGATATGTGCACTTCCAAGCTATTACTAAGCACAATTTTTTTTTTTTTTTTTTTTTTTTTTTTTTTTTTTTTGAGACAGAGTCTCACTCTCTTGCCCAGGCTGGAGTGCAGTGGCATGATCATGGATAACAGCAACTTCTGCCTCCTGGGTTCAAGTGATTTTCATGCCTCAGCCTCCCAAAGTGCTGGGACTACAGACAACCACCACCGCACCTGGCTAAGTTTTGTATTTTTAGTAGGGATGGGGTTTCACCATGTTGGCCTGGCTGGTCTGGAACTCCTGACCTCAGGTGATCCACCTGTCTCAGCCTCCCAAAGTGCTGAGATGACAGGCGTGAGCCGCTGTGCCCGGCCTTGAGTATGATTTTTGATTGGGAAGGTCAGAGTTAGGGTTTTAGTCTGAGGACAGTATGATGTGAAGGTGAAAAGCAGAGCTTGGCTGTGAGTTTGCTGGGATTCCTGTGCTGCTTCTACAGCTCTTTGGCTGTGTGACCATCACCTTTGGCAAGTTCCTTTACCTTTCTATGTGTTGGCTTCCTCATCAATAAAATGGAAAAACTAATCATAATCATAGTATCTGTTGGTGTTGGGATAGCCCAGTGGTTGACACATAAGGACTCAAAAATAGTTTTTTTTAGTTTTTTTTTTTTTTTTTTTTTTTTGAGACAGAGTCTTGCTCTGTTGCCAGGCTGTAGTGCAGTGGTGCAATCTCAGCTCACTGCAAACTCTGCCTCCTGGGTTCAAGCGATTCTCCTGCCTCAGCCTCCCTAGTAGCTGGGATTACAGACACCTGCCACCACTCCCAGCTAATTTTTGTATTTTTAGTAGAGATGGGGTTTCACCATGTTGTCCAGGATGCTCTTGACCTCATGATCTGCCCACCTCAGCCTCCCAAAGTGTTGGAATTACAGGCATGAACCACCGTGCCCGGCTCAAAAATACTATTACTAATTTTGGGGGGTAGTTACTATATTTTGTGAAAATCAGAGTTCAGTACCTTGTAACACTGGGTTGGGATCTATCCCTGAAGGAACAGGCTTCTTAAGAGGAAGGCATGGAGTGAGGGGCAAAATTTTAGTTGATGTTGTAATGACTTTAGGTATATGGATCTGGGTCTGAGTTCTAGCTGGGGCCACCAGGTAGCAAGGTGAACTTTGCTAAATTCTATCACTTTCCTGAGCCTCAGACTCACTTGTTACAAATGAGGTTAAAGCATCCCTCTTTCAGGGCTAAGATAAAGATGATTAAGTAAGAGGGAATGAAAGTAACTTCCATCAATGGTCAAAAGTATTCGTTTAAAAAAAAATATATATATATATATATATATTTTTGAGATGGAGTCTCTCTCTGTTGCCCAGGTTGGAGTGCAGTGACATGGTCCCGGGTCACTGCAACCTCCGCCTCCTGGGTTCAAGTGATTCTCCTGCCTCAGCCTCCTGAGTAGCTGGGATTACAGGTGTGTGCCACCACGCCTGGCTAATTTTTGTATTTTTAGTAGAGACGGGGTTTCACCATGTTGGCCAGGATGGTCTCCATCTCTTGACCTTGTGATCCACCCACCTTAGCCTCCCAAAGTGTTGGGATTACAGGCATGAGCCACCACGTCCGGCCCATTTAACTTCTATATTACTTTCCTGTTGGTGGATTTACCAGTGCAAACTGAGCAGCTTAAAACACCACCAAGGGTCTGGGCAGGGTTTAACTGGGTCCTCTATTCAGGGTCACAATACTGCAACCAGAGTGTCAGTTGGAGCTGGGGTCTCATGGGATGCTCAGTATCCTCTTCCAAGCTTATTCAGTTTGTGGACTGAATTCAATATCTTGCAATTGTTGAATGAAGGCCCTCAACTCCTAGAGCTGCCACCTCCAAAGACAGCTCACAGCATGGCCATTTGTGTCTCCTTGGAGGCTAAGGGTTGAACCTCTGAAACTTCACCTTTAAAAGATTCACCTGATTAGGTCTGGCCCACCTAAGATCATCCTGCTTTGGATGAACTCAAAGTCAGCTGAACAAATGTGCTTAACAAAGCAACTGTGACCATAATCACATTTGCAAAATTCCTTCCTCTTGGCCAAATCACAAGCTCTGCACACACTCAAGAAGAGGAGATGATACAGGGAGCAGATATAAGGGAGTGGGTCTCTTGGGGGCTGTCTTAGTATTCTGTCCATTACAACTTCCTTTCTTGAGGAACAGCAGGCCTGGGGAGAGATGATCACAGATGAGGGCAGCCCACAGGTGGTGAGAGCCTGGTGCTGGTGTAGGATGCAGGAGGCTGTGAAGCAAGTAGGAAAAGCCTTCTCTGGGCTGGGTGCAGTGGCTTACACCTGTAATCCCAGCACTTTGGGAGGCTGAGGTGGGCAGATCACGAGGTCAAGGGATCGAGACTATTCTGGCCAACCAACATGGTGAAACCCCGTCTTTACTAAAAATAAAAAAATTAGCTGGGCATGGTGGCGCATGTCTCTAACAACCCAGCTCCCCAAGTGAGCAACTCTTGTCCCTTTTAAGGGCTCACAAATCTAAGGGAGTCCACATGAGAGGGTCATGATCGATTGACCAAGCAGGGAGTACGTGACTGGGGGCTGCATTCAGCAAACCCCATCTCTACTAAAAATACCAAAATTCAGCAAAGTTTCAGGATACAAAATCAGTGTGCAAAAATCACAGGCATTCTTATACACCAATAACAGAGAGCCAAATCATGAGTGAGCTCCCATTCACAATTGCTTCAAAGAGAATAAAATACTTAGGAATCTAACTTACCAGGGACATGAAGGACCTCTTCAAGGAGAACTACAAACCACTGCTCAATGAAATAAAAGAGGATACAAACAAATGGAAGAACATTCCATGCTCATGGGTAGGAAGAATCAGTATCGTGAAAATGGCCATACTGCCCAAGGTAATTTATAGATTCAATGCCATCCCCCTCAAGTTACCAATGACTTTCTTCACAGAATTGGAAAAAACTACTTTAAAGTTCATATGGAGTCAAAAAAGATCCTGCATTGCCAAGTCAATCCTAAGCCAAAAGAACAAAGCTGGAGGCATCACGCTACCTAACTTTAAACTATACTACAAGACAACAGTAACCAAAACAACATGGTACTGGTACAAAAACAGAGATATAGACAAATGGAACAGAACAGAGCCCTCATAAATAATGCTACACATCTACAGCTATCTGATCTTTAACAAACCTGACAAAAACGAGAAATGGGGAAAGGATTCCCTATTTAATAAATGGTGCTGGGAAAACTGGCTACCCATATGAAGAAAACTGCAACTGGATCCCTTCCTTACCCCTTATACTAACATTAATTCAAGATGGATTAAAGACTTAAATGTTAGACCTAAAACTATAAAAACCCTAGAAGAAAACCTCAGCAATACCATTCAGGACATAGGCATGGGCAAGGACTTCATGTCTAAATCACCAAAAGCAATGGCAACAAAAGCCAAAATTGACAAATGGGATCTAATTAAACTAAAGAGCTTCTGCACAGCAAAAGAAACTACCATTAGAGTGAACAGGCAACCTACAGAATGGGAGAAAATTTTTGCAATCTACTCATCTGACAAAGGGACCTATGACTTTCTTATAACCAAGAGAATATGGCAGAGGTGACAGGATGTAGTGATTATGTTAGATAGATAGGATGTTAAGTTGTCTTGCTAGGAGGCTGTCTGTCTTGCTGGCTTTGAAGATGTGAGCTGCCATGTCATGAGCGGCCAGATGGAGAGGCCCATGTGGCAAGAAGCTGATGGCAGCAAGAAACTGGGGCCCTGAGTCCAGCAGCCTGCAAGGAACTGAATGCTGCCAACAACCAGATGAGCCTGGAAGCAGATCAATCACCAGTCAAGCCTCCAGATGAGAACTGAGCCCTGGCTGACACTATGGCCACAGGCTTGCATTGAACCCAGCTGAGTCACACCTGGATTTCTAATCCACAGAAACCGTGCAGTGGTAACTGTTTGCTGTCTCAAGCCACAAAGTTTGCAGTAATATTTTTGCACAGCAATAGATAACTAATATAAAAACTGTCCTACATCATGTACATTACTGAGCGAAAAGTAGAACCTGGATTTGAGCTCTGATTTCAGAGTTGTCTCCCCAGGGAGACCTGTCCTGGGAGACAGTTATGCCAGGCTGTGATGCTGTGATGATTGTTCTCTTCCTACTCAGAAGCTTTCAATAGGCATGTCAAGCATGTGAACCCAGCTACATATACCAAATATATTTCTGACAAATGCCAGGACATCGTGAGCTTTCTTATTTTACTGAGAGCTCCCTAAAGGAGGGACCATCTCTGTCTTTTTTTTTTTTTTAATAGTCTCACTCTCACCCAGACTGGAGTGCAATGGTGCGATCTCGGCTCACTGCAGTCTCTGCCTCCTGGGCTCAAGGGATTCTCCAGCCTCAGCCTCCTGAGTAGCTGGGATCAAAGGTGTACATCACCACACCCAGCTAATTTCATATTTTTGGTAGCGATGGGGTTTTGTCATGTTGGTCAGGCAGATCTCGAACTCCTGGCCTCAAGTGATTCGCCCACCTTGGCTTCCCAAAGTGCTGGGATTACAGGCATGAGCCACTGCACCTGGCCTGTCTTTTTTATGTTATGTCCACGTGAAACAGCCCAGTGGTCAGCACACAAAGGGGTCCAAATGTGAAAGGGCAAACACAGGGGAAACAGGGGTGTTCAGAAATAGTTCCCAGGTTACTGTCTGTTTCAATATGTACCGTTCTCTGCCCCACCCACAAGATTCTGACTTGGCGGGTCAGAGTTGGAGATGGGGGAGCTACCTGGTTACGAGGGATCCCAGTGATTTTGAGGCAGCTGGTTGTTAGACTGCACTGTAAAAGTTACCCCCCAAAGATGTGAAGGGATAATTCATGTATTTTTAATAGAGATAGGGTTTCACCATGTTGGCCAGGCAGGTCTCCAACTCCCAGCCTCAGGTGATCCGCCCGCCTTGGCCTCCCAAAGTGCTGGGACTACAGGCATGAGCCATTGCTCCAAGCACTATTTTTTTAATGAGGCCAAATACACATAACATACAAGTCCCTGTATGAAATCATACACTTCAGTATCATTAAATACCTTCACAATGTTAAGCAATCATCATCTCTGTCTAGTTCCAAAACATTTTCTTTAACACCCCCCGCCCCCCAAAAAATAACCCTGTATCCATCAAGCACTCTCCATCCCCTCCCCTTTCCCCCAGTTCCTGGCAACCACTTACCTGCTTTCTGCCTCTACAGATTTGCGTATTCTGGACCTTTCACATAAATGGAATCATGTAATATATATAATAACCAAAAGGTAGCAACAACAAAGATGGTCATTCGGTTTATGAATGAATAAACAAAATGTGCTGTATCCGTACAATGGAAGTATTGGTGCCTACTACATGTGGATGGAACTTGGAAACATCACGCTGAGTGAGAGAGAGCCTTGGTATTGTCTCATCTCCCCAGGAGATTCCAAGGTGCAGCCAAGGTTGAGACCCACTGACAAGCAATGGATAAGGTTGGGTGCAGATGAAATAAGGCAGCCAGGGGCAGGAGGGACGTCTCATTGAAGACGACTATTTGTGGATGCCTAGCAGGGGTGGGGATGAGGGATGATAACAGCAACCCCAATCCCAACACAGCGTGACCGATTTTATCTTCAGCCAGCTGATACGCCTCATGGGGTGTGGACACAGGACATCTCTGCCTCCCAGGTTCAAGCGATAACTCCTGCCTCAGCCTCCTAAGTAGCTGGGGTTACAGGCATGTACCACCACGCCTGGCTAATTTTTGTATTTTTAGTAGAAACGAGGCCTTTTCATGTGGCCCAGGTTGGTCTCGACCTTCTGGCCTCAAATGATCCACCCACCTCAGCCTCCCAAAGTACTGGGATTACAGGCATGAGCCACAGTGGCAGCCTCCAAATTCTATTTGAAGTTCGACTTTCCACCTCCAGAAAATCCAAACCTTTGCCCAAGTCACAGTGGGACACCTCGGAGTTAATGTGAGAGAAATGTGCTTTTAAAAACAACTCCAGGACTAGCACAGTGGCTCACGCCTATAATCCTAGCACTTTGGGAGGCCGAGGCGGACGGATCACGAGGTCAGGAGATCAAGACCGTCCTGGCTAACACGGTGAAACCCCGTCTCTACTAAAAATACAAAAAATTAGCCGGGCGTGGTGGTACATGCCTCGAAGCCCAGCTACTCGGGAGGCTGAGGCAGGAGAATCGCTTGAACCAGGGAGTCAGAGGTTGCAGTGAGCCGAGAGTGCGCCACTGCACTCTAGCCTGGTGACAGAGAGAGATTCCGTCTCAGAATAAATAAAACCCTCCGATATGAACACCAAACTAGAATCACTCCATTGACTTCCCTCCGCCAATCAGGGGGAGTGATGGTGATGGTGCATGAGTGTCTATTTGCATTCAGTCTCACTCAAAGGAAAAACAAATCACAGCCCAGACTGGAGCTGTGGATGAATAACATGGCTGAGTGTTGGTACAGGCTTTCCACAGCAATACTAAAACTGAAAAAATCAGCAATGAAACTCCCAGCCACATTTCTGCCAAATGATTTGGGGGAAAACAACAGAGGCACTCCTCAACTTTTTCTTCGCTGCACAAAGTGGGTTTGGCTGGAAATGCCAAGTGTGCTTGTTGCTGGGATCTTTCAAATGAAAGCAAGCTGGGAGTCAAACTCCTGCAGCCACAGGCCAGAAATGGGTTTAGAGCAAACTATTATAGTAACACTGGTGCACATCGAAACAGATTAAACTCCCTCACAGCAATCCAGATTAATTGAATATGCTTTCTTATTGGCATACTGCGTTTCTCATTAAAGCAAATGAACATCCATCCCTCTATAATAAATTAGGGCCAAAAAAAATTCATATGTTTAGGGCATAGGGAAGGAGGAGTTGTTGGCTGTTAAAAAAAAAAATACTGCAAGTGGCCTTTGAAAGTCTAGACATCTTCATCATAAACACAAATATTCCTCTTCACAAAGGGACTTCAAGTAACCTTAGGCTGGAGGGCCCACTTGAGTATGTTTTTCTTCTCATTCTTTCTTACCTTCCCTCCAGCCAACCCAACCCACATTCAGTGACCAAGTCACGTGGGTTTTACCTCCTAAATCTTTTCAGATCCGTTCACTGCTCAGCCACTCTCCTGACACCACCATAAACCAAGCCACCATCACTTCCAGCTGTTTGACTGCAAATGCCTCCTCACTGGCCTCTGTCTTCCCCTGGCCCTGTGACAATCTGCACTCCTCACAGGGACCAAAGCAATCACTTCAGAAGGTGCATCCAAACAGATCACTCACTTTCAATGGCTCCCACTGCTCTATGGGTTAACAATGATAAAAGCTCAGCCGGGCACGGGGGCTCACGCCTGTAATCCCAGCACTTTGGGAGGCCGAGGCGGGTGGATCACGACGTTAGGAGATTCAGACCATTCTCGCTAACACGGTGAAACCCCGTCTCTACTAAAAATATTAAAAAAATTAGCCAGGCGTGGTGGCGGGCTCCTGTAGTCCCAGCTACTCGGGAGGCTGAGGCAGGAGAATGGCGTGAACCCGGGAGGCGGAGGTTGCAGTGAGCCGAGATAGCGCCACTGCACTCCAGCCTGGGCGACAGAGTGAGACTCCATCTCAAAACAAACAAACAAAAAACAATGATCAAAGCTCACCTTTACTTAGCACACTCTATCTCAGTCCATCCCTACATCACCCTTGATTTCACGAGTGGGGAAGCTGGGACAAAGAGTAGTTACGTGGGATGCCCAAGGTGGGACCACTCGTATGAAGTTTCCACACACTAATGTGAGACCCTCCATGACCTAGCCCCTCTCTTTCTCCAGCCTCATTTCCTGATTCTTTCGCTTGCCCTGCAGGCTTCAGCCACACAAACTTCTTGAAAGTCCCTTAAATCTGGCTGAGCGCAGTGGCTCACGTCTGTAATCCCAGTACTTTGGGAAGCTGAGGCGGGTGGATCACCTGGCATCAGGAGTTCGAGACCAGCCTGGTCAACATGGTGAAACCCCATCTCTACTAAACATCCAAAACTTAGCCAGGTGTGGTAGAGGGCGCCTGTAATCCCAGCTACTAGGGAGACTGAGGCAGGAAAATCGCTTGAACTCAGGAGGCAGAAGTTGCAGTGAGCCAAGATCACACCACTCCACTCCAGCCTGGGCGTCAAGACTGAAAGTCCGTCTCAAAAAAAAGTCCCTTAAATCTGCTCTATGCCTATCAACCTCAGGGACTTCACTATGCTGTTCCTCACCCTGAAATGCTGTTCCTCATTTCTCTACATAGTGAACTCATCCCACCCCCTAGGTCTCTCCTTAAGTGTCATCTCTTCAAGGAAGATTTTACTTTTTTAATATAACTATTAAAATATAATTCAGGTACCGTATGATTTGCCCATTTAAAGTGAACAAATCAATGGTTTCAGTGCATTCACAGAGGTCGGCAACCACCATCATTATCAATTTTAAAACATTCTCATCACCCCAAAAGGAAACCCTGTATCCATGAGCAGGTTCCTGCCATTTCCTCCTCCCACTAAGCCCTGACAATCTACTTTTTTTGAGATAGAGTCTCTGTCACCGGCTGGAGTGCAGTGGCACAATCTCGGCTCACTGCAACCTCCGCCTCCCGGGTTAAAGCAATTCTCCTGCCTCCCGAGTAGCTGGGATTACAGGGATATGCCACCATGCCCATCTAATTTTGTATTTTTAGTAGAGACAGGGTTTCTGTCTTCATAGCTTTGCGTGTTCTGGACATTTCATATAAATGAAATCTTATAATATGTGACCTTTTGTGACTGGTTTCTTCCACTTAGCTTAATATTCTCATAGTTCATCCGTGTTGTAGCACGTGTTAGTACTTCATTCCTTTTGATGACTGAATAATATTCCATTGCATGGTCAAACCATGTCCTATTTCTTTACTCATCAGTAGACAAGCATTTGTGTTGTTTTCACTTTGGCGCTATTATGAATAATGCTGCTGTGAGCATTTGTGTACAAGTTTCTGCAGGGACATATATTTTCATTTCTTCCATAAACTGGAGTGGAAGTGCTGGGTCATAGAACTCTGTGTTCAAGCTTTTGAAGAAGTGCCAGACTGTGTAATAAAGAAAGCCTTTCCTCACCCTGTAAGACCGAGCTCCCTCTCTCCATTTATACGTTCTCTTTATGCCCTTTGCTTCTCTTTCAGAGCAATTCACGATGAGCTGGGTCACCCTCAACTTAAGGCTCATAACTCCCTTAGACCCTCAGGGTCCACACTAAATATGATGAAATATGATGCAAGCCACATATTTACTTTTGCATTTTGTAGTAACCACATTTTAAAAAGGAAAACAAAAGAAGTGAAGGTAACTGGAATAATATCACAGATTTAAACAAATCTATCCAAAATACCAGGTCTACATATATAAAATATTTTAACATTAACAAAATATTTTGCTTTCTTTTTATATTAAGGCTTCACAATCTAATGTGTATTTGACACTTCTCACACATCTCAGTATGATGGCAGCACCCATATGGGAGGCCCTCCCATGATGCCAATGATGGGCCCTTCTCCTCCTGGGATGATGCCAGTGGGACCTGCTCCTGGAATGAGGCCGCCCATGGGAGGCCACATGCCCGTGATGCCTGGGTGCCCAATGATGAGACCTCCTGCCTATCTCATGATGGTGCCCAGTCAGCCCAGAATGACTCGACCAGACAGATAAGGATAGAGGGGAGGGCTCATTACATCAGTGTTGCTTTTTTGGTGTTATTGTTGTGCGTTTTTTTGTTTTGTTTTGTTTTTGAGACAGAGTCTTCCTCCGTCACCCAGGCTGGAAGGCAGTGGCACGATCTCAGCTCACTGAAACCTCCACTTCCTGGTTTCAAGTGATTCCCCTGCCTCAGCCTCCTGAGTAGTGTGGGACTACAGGCATGTGCACCATGCCTGGCTAATTTTTTTTATTTTAGTAGAGACAGGGTTTCACCATGTTGGCCAGGATGGTCTCAATCTCCTGTCCTCGTCACCCGCTTGCCTCAGCCTCCTAAAGTGCTGGGATTACAGGTGTGAGCCACTGCGCCCGGCCTGTATGAGTTTTATATTTACCTGCTCCCTTCACCAGGAGATCGTGCCGCTGTGATGCTGGCTTTTCTTAACAGCATAAGGAAGACTTGCCCTCTTGCCCCATCAAAGAGAATAGTTTTGGAGGGGAGAAGTGGGACCAAAAAAGATGCAGTTTTCATTTGTATTGGGAAATGTGAAAATAGAATTGTCAACTCTTTTAGTTAAAAACGAAAAAAAAAGAAAAGGAAACAAGACGTGGGGCTGCCATATGCAATACCATGGATTCCAAGGATCTTCTACTCTGGAGGGAAATATTATCTTTGCTGAAGCCAGACCAACCTGACACAAAGACCTTTTGGTTTTTTAATGTGACTGTGTTTTATTTTACAATGTGTAATTCACTTTAGAAGGGCAAAGTACCTGTCTGGGGAAGACTATTTAATTTCCTGCATTTATTTAGAATGTTGGCTGATGTTGTTATGAAAGGAAACAGCTCTAACAACTGAGTGCCCCCCACATAGCCACAGCTCATGAGTTCATGGGGCAAAGGAATTGAACAGCAGCCTCCTAATAGCCGGCCTTCTTTGTGGTATGGAAATGATTATCAACATGTAAAAGACTATATATATATTCAACAATTCTGACCCCCTGCAAAATTCAAATCCACAACTGATTTGCTTCCTGGGCTCCTGAAAACAACTTTGTCAAAATTGTTTAGAAATAAAATCAGCCAATTGTTGCCCCTTGGGGATGCAGGACAAAGCAAGTCAGCCATGACCAATGTGGAGTCGGCCGTACACAATTACATGCAGACCTGCAGGACATCGAGTCCCTGCTATGGTCCCTCCCCAGTCAGGCCCCCATTGCCTGGGCTGCAGCCAGAAGGATTCAGGCACAAGTGCATTCAACAAATATTTAATTGCATTGGTGGTTAGAGGGTTGCGGTTGATTAAGGTACATTAATGGATCCATGTCCTCCCTGTATCCAAGACTCTGCCATTTGTCTCTGCAGTTCCTCCCACTGAAGAATCGGAGTATATTTCTCCAGCCCCTAATGTTGGGTTTAGTCATGTGTCTAGCTTTGGCCACTGGAATATTAACCTGCATGACCAAAAACTTGGAAAGTGTGCATTCATTTGTGCTCGCTCACTCCTGCTATCACCATGAGAACAAGCCCAGGCCAGACTGCTGCTTCCAGCAGAAGATAAGAGACACCAAGAGCGAAGTCGAGCTTCTGAGACATGCTCATGCCAGATTAACCAATCCTCAGCTGATCCATAGGTCCATGAAAATAAACGATTGTTGTATTATGCCACTGAGATTTGGAGTGACTTGTTATGCAGCATTTTGTGACAACAACTAACTGATACAAGGGTCACCGTCCTTTATCTCTGTAGATTTTAACCAATTTTTAATAGCTAGATGGAGATCTTCTAGTTGCCTTTATTTATAATGAATATGACTGTAGAGCTAGTTTGGCCTGATACTACCAGTAACCTACCCAGAAATTCAGAAATACTTTCTTCTCCAACCCACCCCAACCAACCTTTTTTTTATTTTGTTTTGTTTTTGGGTTCTCCATCTTTGCCTAGGCTAGAGTACAAGTGGTACAGTCAGAGATCACTGTAACCTCAAAATCCTGAGCTCAAGTGATCTTCCCCTTCAGCCTCCTATGTAGCTAAGACTACAGACATGTGCCACCGTGCCTGGCTAATTTTTTTATTCTTTGCAGAGACAGGATCTCACTATATTGCCCAAGTTGGTTTCAAGCTCCTGGCCTCAAGCACTCCTCTTGCCTCACCCTCCCAAAGTGCTAGGATTATAGACATGAGCCACCACACCAGCCTCTTCTTCTTTTTAAATAGAAACCCTATTTTATTCTGACAGTAGGTTGCTTTTTTTTTTTTTAAGAAAAATTTGGCCCAGCCCCAGGGAATAAATTGTGACTGGTCTAAACAGGGTTGGCAAACTATAGACCAAGGGCCAAATCTGGCCCTCTGACTGTTGGTATAAATTAAGTTTTATTGGAATAAAACCAGGTCCATTCATTTATGCATTTTTTACATATGCTTTTAGGCTACAATGGCACCACTGGGTCACTGCAACAGAGGTTATCTAGACCAAAAGCCTAAAATATTACTGTTTGCCTCTTTATGGAAAAAGTTTGCCATTCCCTAGTCTAAGGTTTAGATTCTGAGCTTATCATTTTAGCCTATCCCCCCTTACCAGTGACTGGCTCAAAACAAGTCTGTGATTCCATTCTGAATGTTCTACTGAGGGAATTCTCCCTTCTTCTCATGCAGAGTTGATGAGGACAAGTTGTATTAATAGGACATATGCTCAGGTTTTCTGAAAAATACTTTTATCTAGAAATGCATAGGAATATGCTGGTGCCTGAATGTACCATCTGGGGGCCTGGAGATTGACTCACCTGCCTCCAGAGCTAGTGCTCACCCTTACTACTGAGAGGCCTGAGGAAACACCTGCCTACCCACCACCAGAACCTGCACAGATCACCTGGAGAACTAGAGATCAGACTGCCACACACACCACCCAGGAGCCCAGTGGTGCACCTGCCCAACTGGCCCAGTGCTGCCACTGCCAGCAACCAAAGAAGCCACCTGGAGGCCCAGGGATTGGCCCATGCAGACAGGCTATCATTAGTGCCCATGTATACTGCCTGTGGTCCCTAGTATTGACAAACTTGGTCCACCACCACTACAACTGAGGCTGAAGGACAAGACTTCCTGGCATCCCCATCCTCAGCAAAGCCTCACCACAGCTTCCAATAACAACTGCATTCTGGCCAGGTGTGGTGGCTCACGCCTGTAATCCCAGCACTTTGAGAGGCCAAGGTGGGTAGATCACGAGGTCAGGAGTTTGAGACTAGCCTGGCCAACATGGTGACACCCCGTCTCTACTAAAAGTACAAAAATTAGCTGGGCATGGTTGCACGTGCCTGTAGTCCCAGCTACTCAAGAGGCTGAGGCAGGAGAATCATTTGAACCCAGGAGGCAGAGGTTGCAGTGAGCTGAGATTGCATCACTGAACTCCAGCCTGGTGATAGAGCTAGACTCCATCTCAACAACCACAAAAAAAAAAAAAAAAAAAAACCAAACAAAAACTACAGTCTAAGCCACTGAATGACTCACAGACACCACTCATCCAATTACAGCAGAAGAAATCATATGCAGATTATACCACTGTACCCACCCAGAATCAAAGCCAAACTGTGATATCCAATGAACATTGTAGATATAGCTATAAGAAAAGGTCTTTCCCATATAAAAGCCAATCCATAAAATTGGAAGCAGTGACTGTTATGTCAGAGGCACAGATAGTCACATAAGGATGCAAGAAATATGAAAAAGGAAACATAACATCTCCAAAGAAGCACAATAATTCTCCAGCAACAGATTCCAATGAAAAGAAAATCTATGAAATGCCTGAAAAAAATTCAGAATAATGTTATTGAAGAAACTCAGGGAGATACAAGAGAACACAGATAATGAATACAAAAAAATCAGGAAAACAATTTATGATCTGAATGAGAAATTCAACAGAGATAGACAGCGTAACACAGAAACAAACACAAATCCTGGAAGAGAATAAATCATTGAAAGAAATACAAAAGATAATTGAGAGCTTTAACAATAGACTAGATCAAGCAAAACAAAGAATTTCTGAACCTGAAGACTAGTCTTTTAAAATAATCCAGTCAGACAAAAAGAAAGAAAAAAGAATGAAGCAAAGCTACATGACATATGGGACACCTATGTGACCAAAAACTGAAATTCTGGGAGTTCTGGATGGAGATGAGATGGGTAAAGGCATAGCAAACCTATTTAATAAAATAATAACTGAAAACTTCCTGAAAGCTTCAAATACAGGAAGCTGAAAGATTACCAAATAAATACAACTCAAAAAGGTCTTCTCCAAGACACATTATGGTAAAATTGTCAAAAGACAAAGAGAAAATGCTAAAAACAGCAAGAGAAAAGCAACAAGTCACTTATAAGAGAATCCCCATCAGGCTAACGAGATTTCTCAGCAGAAACCTTACAGACTAGGAGAAAAGGGGATGTATACTACAAGTTAAAAAAAAAAAGTAAGCCAAAAATACTATACCCAGCAAAGCTATCCTTCACAAATGAAGGAGCCTGGCACAGTGGCTCACATCTGTAATTTCAGAGACTCATAAGGCTGAGGCAGGAGGATCATTTGAGCCCAAGAGTTCAAGGCTGCAGTGAGCTATGATCATGCCACTGTACTCCAGCCTGGGTGACAGAGTGAGACTCCATTGCTAAAAATAAATAAACAAATAAATAAAAGAGAAAAAAGTATTTCTCAGATAAGTAAAAGACTGTTTGTTTGGGTATTGTTTGTTGTGGTCATACAAGAAATGCTTAAGGGAGTCCTACATTGGGAAGAAAAAGAACAATATCTACCATCATGAAAACACATGAAAGTATAAAACTCACTGGTAGAGCAGACACACAAAGAAGAAAGGATTCAAACATCACCATTAAAGAGAGAAAATAGGAATAAAGGTGTATTAGTCTGTTTCCACACTGCTGATAAAGACATACCTGACTGAGACTGGGCAATTTACAAAAGAAAGAGGTTTAATGGACTTACACTTCCACATAGCTGAGGAAACCTCACAATCACGTTGGAAGGCAAGAAGAAGCAAGTCATGTCTCACATGGATGGTAGCAGGCAAAGAGAGAGCTTCTGCAGGGAAACTGCCCTTTTTAAAACAATCAGAACTTGTGAGACGTATTCACTATCATGAGAACAGCATGGGAAAGACCTGCCCCCATGACTAAATTGCTTCCCAACAGGTCCCTCCCACAACATGTGGGAATTCAAGATGAGATTTTGGTGGGGACAAAACCAAACCATATCATTCTGTCCCTGGCCCTTCCCAAGTCTCATATCCTCATATTTCAAAACCAATCATGCCTTCCCAACAGTCCCCCAAACTGTTAACTAAGTTCAGCATTAACTCAAAAGTCCACTGTCCAAAGTCTCATGTGAGACAAGCCAAATCCCTTCCACCTATGAGCACATAAAATCAAAAACATGTTAGTTACTTCCTAGATACAATGGGGGTATAGGCATTGGGTAAACACAGTCATTCCTAATGGGAGAAAATTGCCAAAACAAAGGGGCTACAGGTGCCATGCAAGCCCAAAATCCAGTGGGGCAGTCAAATCTCAAAGCTCCAAAATGATCTCCTTTGACTCCATGTCTCACATGCAGGTCATGCTGATGTAAGAAGTGGGCTCCCATGGCCTTGGGAGAAAAAAGGCCACAGCTCCACTCCTGTGGCTTTGTAGGGTATAAACCCCCTCCTAGCTCCTTCCATGGGTTGGCATTGAGTGTCTGCCGCTTTTCCAGGCACACAGTGCAAGCTGTCAGTGAATCCACTATTCTGGGGTCTGGAGGATGGTGGCCCTCTTCTCACAGCTCCACTAGGTGGCGCTGCAGTAGGGACTGTATGTGGGGGCTCCGACCCCACATTTCCCTTCCGCACTGCCCCAGTAGAGGTTCTCCATGAGTGCCCTGCCCCTGCAGCAAACTCCTGCCTGGACGTCTAGACATTTCCATACATCTTCTGATATCTAGGCAGTGGTTCCCAAACCTCAATTTTTGACTTCTGTGCACCCACAGGCTCAACACTATGTGGAAGCTGCTAAGGCTTGGGACTTGCACCCTCTGAAGCCACAGCCCACATTGTACCTAGGCACCTTTTAGCTGCAGCTGGAGTGGCTAGGACTCAGGCACCCTAGGCTGCTCACAGCAGGGGGGCCCTGGGTCCAGCACACAAAACCATCTTTTCTTCCCAGGCCTCTGGGCCTTTGATGGGAGGGGCTGCCATGAAGATCTGTGACATGCCCTGAAGACATTTTCCCCATTGTCTTGGGGATCCACATTTGACTCCTTGTTACCTAAACAAACTTCTGCAGCCAGATCGAATTTTTCTTGAGAAAATGGGATTTTCTTTTCTATTGCATGTTCAGGCTGCAAATTTTCCAAACTTTCATGCTCTGCTTCCCTTATAAAACTGAGGGCCTTTAACACACCCAAGTCATCTCTTGAATGCTTTGCTGCTTAGAAATTTCTTCTACCAGATACCCTAAATCATCTCTCTGAAGTTCAAAATTCCACAAATCTCTACAGCAGGGGCAAAAAGCCACCAGTCTCTTTGCTAAAACATAACAGGAGTCACCTTTGTGCCAGTTCCTGACAAGTTCCTCATTTCCGTCTGTGACAACCTAAGCCTAGACTTTATTGTCCATATAACCATCAGCATTTTGGGCAAGTCTCTAGGAAATCTCTTCCAAATTTTCCCACATTTTCCTGTCTCCTTCTGAGCCCTCCAAACTGTTCCAACCTCTGCCTGTTTCCCAGTTCCAAAGTCAGTTCCACATATTCAGGTATCTTTTAGCCACACCCCACTTCTGGTACTAATTTACTGTATTAGTCCATTTTCACACAGCTGATAAAGACACATTCAAGACTGGGAAATTTACAAAAGAAAGAGGTTTAATGGACTTACAATTCTACATTGCTGGGGAGGCTTCAAAATCATTGCAGAAGTCAAGGAGAGGAAAGTCACATCTTACAGGGATGGCAGCAGGCAAAGAGAGAGATTAAGCAGGGAAACTACTCCTTTTAAAACCATCAGATCTCAAGAGACTTATTCACTATCAAAAGAATAGCATGGGAAATACCTGCCTCCATGATTCAACTACTTCCCACTGGATCCCTCCCACAACACATGGGAATTCAAGATGAGATCTGAGTGGGGACACAGCCAAACCATATCAAAAGGATATACAAAATAACCAGAAAACAATGAACAAAATGACAGGAATAAGTCCTCACCTATCAATAATAACTTCAAATATGTGTTAAGTTAACTACCTAAAAGATAGAGGCAGGCTTAATGGACAAAAAATGACCCAACAACGTCTACAAGAAACTCATTTCACTTGTAAAGACACACACAGACTGAAAGTGAAGGGATTGAAAAAGATATACCACATAAACAGAAATCAAAAGTAACCAGGAGTAGCTAAACTTACATCAGATAAAACAGACTTTAAGTCAAAAACTGTAAAAAGGACAAAGAAGGTCATTATATGGTAATAAAGGGATCCATTCAGCAAGAAAGTATAAAAATTCTAAATATGCATGCAACCAACAAAAGCACATCCAGACACACATAGCAAATATTATTAAATCTACAGGGAGAGATAGAATCCAATACAATGATAGTTGAGAACTTCAATATCCTACTCTCAGCATTGGACAGTTCATCTAGACATAAAATCAACAAAGAAACATTAGATTTAAGCTGCACTTTAGACCAAATGGACCTAACAGATATTTTCAGAATATTTCATCCAGCAGCAGCAGAATATACAATCATCTCATCAACACATGGAACATTCTCCAGGATAGACCATATGTTAGGACACAAAACAAGGCTCAACAAAATTTTAAAAATTAAAATCATATCAAGTATCTTCTCAGACCAAAATGGAATAAAACTTGAAATCAATAAGAAGAAGAAATTTGGAAACTGTACAAATACATGGACATTAAACATGCTATCGAATGGTCATTGGATCAATGAAGAAACTAAGATGGACATCAAATTTTTTTTTTTAAACAGAAAATAGAAACACATCATGCAAAACCTATGGGATACAGCAAAAGCACTACTAGGAGGCAAGTTCATAGCAATAAATGCCTACACCAAAAAAGTAGAAAGATCTCAAATAAACAACCTAACGATGCACCTCAAGGAACTCCAAAAGCAAGAACAAACCAAACACACAATTAGTAGAAAGAAAAAAAAAATAACAGCAGAACCAAATGCAACAGAGACAAAAAAGAAATGCAAAGAATCAACAAGATAAAAGTTGTTTTTTTGAAAAGTTAAACAAAATTGATAAACCACTAGTGAGGCTAACCAAAAAAAAAGAAAGGAGACCCAAATAAATACAATCAGAAATGAAAAAGGAGACATTACAACTGTTACCAAAGAAATAAAAAGGATCATTAGAGGCTATTACGAACAACCATACCCTAACAAATTGGAAAACTTAGAGGAAAGGGATAAATTCCCAGACATACACAGCCTACCAAGATTGAACTAGGAAGAAAGAGAGAACCTGAACTGACTCAAAATGAATAGCAGGTTTGAATCAGTAACAAAAAGTCTCTCCAAAGAGAAAAGCCCTAGACTAGGCTTTTATACTGATTTCTACCCAGTTTATAAAGAAAAACAAACACCAATACTTCTCAAACTATTCCCAAAAATTGAAGAGGAGGGAATTCTTCCTAACTCATTGTATAAGGCCAGCATTACCCTGATATCCAATCAAGACAAGGACACAACAGAAAGAGAAAACTACAGGCCAATATTCCTAATGAACACAGATGGAAAAATTCTCAGCATAATACTACCAAGCCAAATCTAATGATGAATGAAAAAGATAATATACCATGATCAAGTGGGATTTATCCCAGGAATGCAAAGATGGCTCAACATCCAGAAATTAGTGCATGTGATACATCACATCAACAAGATGAAAGGCAAAAACTATCTGATCATCTCAGCAGATGCAGAAAAATCACTCAGTAAAACTTACCATTCCTTCATGATGAAAACTCTCAACAAGTTATGCATAGAAGGAACATTTCAACATAAGAAAAGCATATATGATTAATCTACAGCTAACATCCTACTCACTGGGAAAAATTGAAAAGCCTTTCCTCTAAGAACTGGAATAAGACAAGGATGCCCACTTTCACCACTCTTATTCAACACAGTATGGGACATCCAAGCCAAAGTGATCAGACAAGATAAACAAATAAAAGGCATCGAAAATGGACAAGAGGAAGTCAAATTGTCTCACTTTGCAGATGACATAATCTTATACTTGTAAACAGAAAAACCTAAAGACTCCACCAAAAAACTCTTAAAATGGGTAAATTAGGCTGGGCATGGTAGCTCATGCCTGTAATCCCAGCACATTGGGAGGCCAAGGTGGGCGAATCACCTGAGGTTGGGAGTTTGAGACCAGCCTGGCCAACATGGCGAAACCCTGTCTCTACAAAAAATACAATTAGCAAAGCATGGTGGTAGGTGCCTGTAATCCCAGCTACTTGGGAGGCTGAAGCAGGAGAATTGCTTGAACCCGAGAGGCGGAGGTTGCACTGAGCCAAGATTGCACCACTACACTCCAGCCTGGGCAACAGAGTGAGACTCTATCTCAAAAAATAAAAAATAAAAAATAAAAAAAATTTAAAAAGCAGATGTATAATTCAGTAAAGCTTCAGGTCACAAAATCAACCTAGAAAAATCAGTAATGTTTCTATATACCAGTAAGAAACTAGCTAAAATAGAAATCAAAGAAGAAATTCTATTTACAATAGCTACAAAAATAAAATACCTAGGAATAAACTTAACCAAGGAGGGGGAAAATAAACCAAAAAACCTCTGCAGTGAAAACCACAAAACATTGATAAAATAAATTGAGAAGGACAGGAACATATGGAAAGGCATCTCATACTCGTGGGTTGGAATAACTAATACTGTTAAAATGACCATGCTACTCGAAGCAGTTTAGAGATTTAGTATAATCCCTATCAATTATATTATTCACAGAAACAGGAAAAAAAAAGCCCTGAAATTCATATGGAACCACAGAAGACCCGAAATAGCCAAAGCAATACTGAGCAAAAAGAACAAAGCTAGAAGCCTCACACTACCTGATTTAAAAATATACTGCAAAGCGGCCGGGCGCGGTGGCTCATGCCTGTAATCCCAGCACTTTGGGAGGCTGAAGCGGGTGGATCACAAGGTCAGGAGATCGAGAACATCCTGGCTAACATGGTGAAACCCTGTCTCTACTAAAAAAAAAAAAAAAAAAAAAAATTACCAGGTGTGGTGATGGGTGCCTTTAGTCCCAGCTACTCGGGAGGCTGAGGCAGGAGAATGGCGTGAACCCTGGAGGCGGAGGCAGAGCTTGCAGTGAGCCAAGATCGTGCCACTGCACTCCAGCCTGGGCGACAGAGCAAGACTCCATCTCAAAAAACAAAACAAAACAAAAATATATATATATGTACTGCAAAGCTACAGTAACCAAAACAGCGTGTACTGGTATTAAAAAAGACACAAAAACAAAGGAAACAGACTAAGGAATCCAGAAATGAATCCACATATTTACAGCTAACTGATTTTCAAGAAAGCTGTCAAGAACATACATTGAATAAAGGATACCCTCTTCATTAAATGGTGCCAGGAAAACTAGATATCCAAACACAGAAGAATAAAACTAGACCCTTATCTCTCATCACTTACAAAAATAAACTCAAAATCAATTAAAGACTTAAATGTAACAGCCACAACTATAAAACTACTGGAAGTAAACACAGGAGAAAAGCTTGAGAACAAAGATTGTATGGCTAACACTTAAAAACTACAAGCAACAAAAACAGACAAATGGGATTATATTAAACTAAATACCTTCTGCATATCAAAGAAAACAATCAACAGAGTGAAAAGACAACACCCCTCCCTTACACCATACACAAAAATTAACTCAAGATGGCTTAAAGACTTAAATTTAAAACCCATAACTATAAAAACGCTGGAAGACAACCTAGGCAATACCCTCCAGTACATAGTGTTGGGCAAAGAGTTCATGGTAAAGATGCCAAACGCAATTGCCACAAAAGCAAAAATTGACAAATGGGATCTAATTAAATGAAAGAGCTTCTGCACAGCAAAAGAAACTATCAAAAAACAAACAGATATTTCTCAAAAGAAGATATACAAATCACCAAGTTTATGAAAAAATATTCAACATCACTAATCATCACGGAAATGCAAATCAAAACCACAATAAGATATCATCTCATACTTGTTAGAATGGCTATTATTAAAAAGACAAAGCACAACAAATGCTGGCAAGCATGTGAAGAAAAGAAAATTATTGTATATTGTTGGTGGGAATGTAAATTAGTACAGTCATTATGAAAAAAAGCACAGAGATTTCTCAAAAAAACTAAGAACAAATCTACCACGTGATCCAGCAATCCCACTCCTGGGTATACATCCAAAAAAAAGGATATCAGTGTATCAACGGGATATCTGTACCTCCATATTTACTGCAGCACTATTTACAATAGCCAAGATATGGAATCAATCTGAGTGTCAATCAATGGATGAATGGATAAAGAAAATGGGAATATACGCATAACAGAATAGTATTCAGCCTTAAAAAAGAATGAAATCCTGCCATTTTCAGCTAAATGGATGAAATTAAACGTCATAATGTTAGGTGAACTAGGCCATTCACAGAAAGAAAACTATTGCATGTTTTCACTTATGTGAGCGGTTTATGTTCCTGGAAATCAAAGTGGGGGCCACGTTTCAGGTCACTAGGGTCAGGGATAGAGACCACAGTTATGGACTTGTGTGCCCTGGAGCTATATAAAATTGATATCATAGAGATAAAGAGTAGAATGATAGTTAATAGAGGCTGGGAAGAGGAGGGGTTTGAAAAGAGGTTGATTAATGAATATAAAAATATATAATAGAAGGAATAAGTTCTAGTGTTCATTATCACAGAAAGTGACTACAACAATTTGTTGTGTATTTCTTTTTTTAATTTCAATAGTTTTTAGGGAACAGATGGTATTTGGTTACATGGATAAGTTCCTTAGTGGTGATCTCTGAAATTTTGGCATACCCATCACCAAAGCAGCTTACCCAATGTATAGTCTTTTCTCTCTCACTCCCTCCCACCTTCCCATTGAGCCCCCAAAGTCCACTGTTTCATTCTTGTGCCTTTGCATCATCATAGCTTAGCTCCCACTTACGAGTGAGAACATGCTATGTTTGGTTTTCCATTCCTGAGTTACTTCATTTAGAATAATGGTCAAATCCATCCAGGTTGCTATGCATGCCATTATTTTATTCCTTTTTAAGGCTAAGTAGTATTCTATGGTATACATATATATAACACATTTTCTTTATCCACTAATTGATTGATGGACATTTGTGCTGGTTCTATAGTTTTGCAACTGTGAATTCTGCTGCTGTAAACATGTGTGCAAATGTATCTTTTTCATATAATGACTTCTTTTCCTCTGGGTAGATACCTAGCAGTGGGATTGCTGGATGAAATGGTAGATGTACTTCTAGTTGTTTAAGGAATCTCCATACTGCTTTCCATAGTGGTGGTACTAGCTTACATTCCCACCATCAGTGTAAAAGCGTTGTCTTTCACCACATCCATGCCAACATCAACTTTTGTTTTTTTTGTTTTGTTTTGTTTTTTGGTTTTTTGAGATGGAGTCTCGCTCTGTAGCCCAGGCTGGAGTACAGTGGTGCCATATCAGCTCACTGCAACCTCTGCCTCCCGGGTTCAAGCAATTCTCCTGCCTCAGCCTCCTGAGTAGCTGGGATTACAGCCAACTGCCACAATGCTCGGCTAATTTTTGTATTTTCAGTAGAGACTGGGTTTCACCATGTTGGTCAGGCTGGTCTCAAACTCCTGATCTCGTGATCCGCCCACCTTGGCCTCCCAAAGTGCTAGGATTACAGGCGTGAGCCACCACGCCTCGCCCTCTTTTTGTTTCTTTTACACGTGGTATTGCATTGTGGTTTTGATTTGCATTTCCCTGGTAATTAGTGATGTTGAGCATTTTTTCATGTTTGTTGGCCATTTGTATATCTTCTTTTGAGAATTGTCTATTCATGTCCTTGGCACACTTTTTGATGAGATTCTTTTTTTCTTGCTGATTAGAGTTCCCTGTAGATTCTGCAAATTAGCCCTTTGTCAGATGCAGTTTGTGAAAATTTTCTCCCACTCTGTGGGTGATCTGTTTACTCTGCTGATTATTTCCTATGCTGTGCAGGAGGCTTTTAGTTTAATTAAAGTCCCATCTATTTATCTGTGTTTCTGTTGCATTTGCTTTTGGGTTCTTGGTCATAAACTCTTTGCCTAAGCCAATGTGTAGAAGCATTTTCCAATGTTATCTTCTAGAATTTTTATGGTTTCAGACCTTAGATTTAAGTCTTTGATCCATCTTGTGTTGATTTTTGTATAAGGTGAGAGATAAGGATCCAGTTTTATTCTTTTACATGTGGCTTGCCAATTATCCCAGCACTATTTGTTGTATAGGGTGTACTTTTCTTACTTTGGTTTTGTTTACTTTGTCGAAGATCAGTTGGCTGTTAAGTATTTGGCTTTATTTCTAGGTTCTCTACTCTGTCCCATTGGTCATGTGCCTATTTTTATACCAGCACCATGCAGTTTTGGTGACTATAGCTTTGTAATATAGTTTGAAGTTGGGTAATGTGATGCCTCTAGATTGGTTCTTTTTGCTTAGTTTTGCTTTGGCTTTGCAGACTCTTTTTTAGTTCCAAATGAATTTTGGCATTTTTTTTCTAGTTCTATAAAGAATGATGATGATACATTGATAGGAATTGCATTGAATTTGTAGACTGCTTTTGGCAGTATGGTCATTTTCACAATATTGAGTCTACCCATCCATGAACATGGAATGTGTTTCCATTTGTTTTTGTCATCTGTGATTTCTTTCAACAGTGTTTTGTAGTTTTCCTTGTAGGGGTCTTTCACCTCCTTGGTTAGGTATATTCCTAAGTATTTTATTTTTACAGCTATTATAAAAGGGTTTGATTTGATTCTCAGCCTGGTAGATGTTGGTGTATAGCACTGCTACTGATTTGTGTACATAGATTTTATATCCTGATAAATAGAATTATTATGTATTTCTAAATAACAATAAGATTTGAAATATTCCCAACACAAAGAAATGATCAATGTTTGAGGTGGTTAATATCCCAAAGACCCTGATTTGATCATTACACATTGCACGCATGTACCAGAATCTCACATGGACCCCATAAATGTGTACAATTATTCTCTATCGAAAACATTTTTTTTTAAAGAAACATGCAGGAATACACTGTACCTCTTCCTTGCTGTCTCTGGATATTGTCACATGAGGACTTGACATGCGGATTGTGGCAGCCTCTGTGACCAAGAGCAGAAGACAATAGCAGCATAGAAACCTCAAATGAAAAACCTAAAATCTCAAGCTACTAATTTAGCCAACCTTGGCATCAGCTATCTCTGATCTTAGTACATGAGATGATAAGCCCCCACTGTTCAAGTTGGGTGGCCATCAATTGCTGCAGAATAGAATTTAATGAGGCTTCCTCCTCCTGGATCCTCTACTAGACCCTGACATGCCCATTCAGTCACAGGCAGAAAGGGAAGCTCAGGGTAAGGAGACCTGGCTGACTGCCAGAAGCAGATCTTACCTGTCCTGCTTAGAACACTCAAAACTCAATTGGTTAAACAAAAAAAGGAAAAAGACAGTAAGGAGTATAGCACTCCCCAGATGCAACTTAATGAAACACTCTATACTTTAGATTTTCTAGACATACATAGAAATCAGACCACTACTTCTGCAGAACATTTTACTGGTAAAAAGAATAGCCCACATGAGGGAAAACTGATTTGGTGGAAAGACAACAAAAACAAAACATGGGAAATAGGTAAGGTGATAACATGGGGGGAGGTTTTGCTTGTGTTTCACCAGGAGAAAATCAGCTTCCTGTTTGGATACCCACTAGACATTTGAAGTTCCACAATGAACCCATCAGAGATGCAAATGAAAGTGCCTCTGCAGAGACAGAAAACCCGCAATCGAGCATCATCGACTCGCAGGGTGAACAAAATGTGATATCAGAAGAACAAATGAAGTTACAATCCACCAAGGAAATGGCACATGTGGAGAGCCAGGGAGAGGAAGAGAAAGAAAAAGAGACAGAGATCAGAGAAAGACACAGAAAGAGATTGGGGAGAGAAATAGTGTAAAAGAGAGAGAGAGAGACCGTAAGAGAAGAGAGACAAAGAGATAAAAGGTGCGAGTGAGCAGGTGAGGAGAAAGACTGAAAACTATGAGAAACAGCAACTAAGACACAAAGGAGGTGGGAGACTGCGTTGGTGCCGCAGCAGCCACACCGTCCTCTTGCCCCCGTCACTTGGATTAAAACCACCGGAAATTCCACTATTGCAAATTTTTTATTAATCCTTGTATGTCTGTCCTTTCTATTTTTAGTCTACAGGTGTATCCAGCAGCTCCAGAGAGACAGCGACCAGCGAGAAGGGGCCATGATGATGGTGGTGGTTTTGTCAAAACGAAAAGGGGGATATGTAGGGAAAAGAAAGAGAGATCAGACTGTTACTGTGTCTACATAGAAAGGGAAGCCATAAGAGACTCCATTTTGAAAAAGACCTGTACTTTAAACAATTGCTTGCTGAGATGTTGTTTATCTGTAGCTTTGCCCCAGCCACTTTGCCCCAACCACTTTGACCCAATCTGGAGCTCACAAAAACATGTTTGTATGAAATCAAGGCTTAAGGCATGTAGGGCTGTGCAGGACGTGCCTTGTTAACCAAATATTTGGAAGCAGTATACTTGGTAAAAGTCATCACCATTCTCTCGTCTCAATAAACCAGGGGCACAATGCACTGTGGAAAGCCGCAGGGACCTCTGCCCTTGAAAGCTGGGTATTGTCCATGGTTTCTTCCCATGTGATAGTCTGAAATATGGCCTCATGGGATGAGAAAGACCTGACGGTCCCCCAGCTCGACACCCATAAAGTGTCTGTGCTGAGGTGGATTAGTCAAAGAGGAAAGCCTCTTGCAGTTGAGATAGAGGAAGGCCGCTGTCTCATGCTTGCCCCCTGGGAACTGAATGTCTCGGTATAAAACACTATTGTACATTTGTTCAATTCTGACATGGGAGAAAAACCACCCTATGGTGGGAGGCGAGACATGTTTGCAGCAATGCTGCCTTGTTATTCTTTACTCCACTGAGATGTCTGGGTGCAGAGAAACATAAATCTGGCTTACATGCACGTCCAGTCATAGTACCTTCCCTTGAACTTCATTATGTCATAGATTCTATTGCTCACATGTTTGTTGCTGACCTTCTCCTTATTATCACCTTGCCCTCCTACTACATTCATTTTTGCTGAAATAATGAAGATAATAATCAATAAAAACTGAGGGAACTCAGAGAACGGTGCCAGTGCAGGTCCTTAGCATGCTAAGCGCCGGTCCCCTGGGCCCACTGTTGTTTCTCTATACTTTGTCTCTGTGTCTGATTTCTTTTCTGTCTCTCATCCCACCCGACAAGAAATACCCACAGGTGTGGAGGGGCAGGCCACCCCTTCATTATGAGATTACAGGCATGAATAACCCCACCTGGCCACCTAACTCACTCTTGAGAGGCCAGAAGTGATGCTGGAACTTTCTTCGTCTGTGGGTTAAAAAGGGAAAATTAGGGAGAACACAAGGCATGAGAGATGCAGCGATGGATATGTCTATATGGAGCTTCTGTCTGCATCCAGTAGAAAATGCATTTCTAGGCACCAGGTTTAAGAGCGAAAACCTGGAGTCTTGTCTGTTAGCATTCTCCTTCCCCACAAACCAGAGAGGGAATACATTTGCTCCAGCACACCCGGATGTAGGAAATGTCACATTCCTATTTCTGTAACTTCACTTAAATCTGCTCTGAGTCCCTGGATGCCTGGCAGGTGGAGAATTCAATCTTGTCGTTACCAGCATTCCTTTCCCTTCTCCATGGGCTTATGTAAGAATTCTGGGCTTACACACTGTTGGAAAGCCAGGTAGGAACTACATCCCCTGAACTCTCCATTCTTCCACCTGCTCATGATCCATCAACATTCTTTGGGCCACCTGCTATAGCAAGACCCTACTCACAGCATCATTCCACTGACCCACAGGCTCAGCCCCAGGGACCCTCACTAGAACAGGTCTCCACTATGCATAGGAACTCACAAAAACCTTCTCTTCATCTTGGCTTCCTCTGATATCCAGCCACTCCCCAACTTCTCACCTTAAACACAGATGGCAGCTCCTTCCCATCCTTCCAAACCTGGGGGATTGTCCAGCCAAATTCTCTTCAGACACCAAAGCTTCACCCGCCCTCTTTAGGGAGGTGCTGCAAGGGCATCTGAGATCTTTGGAAGCCCAATTCTGGCCTCTCTTTGGGGTGGGCTGAGAGTGGGAAGTAGACTCTCTTTTCCAAATGCCATGTGTATCTTGTTCATCATTATATTATCTCCAATGCCTGACACATAGTAGGCACTACAGACTGGCACATAGTAGGTGCTATTAGTGTCTGTATAATGGGACTCTTGAGGTTGAAGCTATTAGCAGGAACCTGCCAGGCAAAAGGATGGAAAACCAACCACCAAAAAAAAAAAAAAAAAAAAAAAAAAAAAAAGAAAACAATCGTGGCTTTGAGCTCTAAACACACAAGGCACCAACCCAAGTTTGGGCAATTTTAATACAACAGCCATTTTGCCTCCAAACAAACTGACACTGGGAACCTCCCTCTGCCTCTAAAAGAGAACCAGTTTCCCTTTCTCTAAGTGGGCAGCATTTCTCCCCTGTGGCAGTACCCAGCCCACTACCACCAGCAAAGGACTGCAGCCAGGACCCAAGAGCTTGAGAGTTTAAAGAATAGATTTTATACGGAAAAATAAAGTAACATCCACATAAATCTGGAACTACCACCACTTTCCAGAGGCCGAATCCCATTTGTGGAGTCTCTTGCGTGTCAAGCACCTTGCAGTCAGCTCAACTACACACTTTTGGGATTCGTTGCAGACACGAGAGAAGGTTATCAGCAAAATAAAGGAACCAGGGCTCAGAATTACCAGAACAATCCATGACAGAGGAGGTGAGTAGAAAAGGGAAGGGTGAAGTCAAAGGAGAGAAGTCAATGAGTTGGCCAACACCAAACAAGGATCATGGGACCCTCTCCACGACCCCACATCTCAAATGAAGTCAACAAAACCCATCAATGCTTGGTGTAAGTGTTGTATGCTCCCGGAAATGAAAGCAGGGGCCACATTTCAGGTCAGTAGGGTCGGTGGTAGAGGCAGCGGTCATGGACTTGTGGGCCCTGGAGGATGGGATGATTCTGAGACATTGAATCCCTGCACTGATCTCAGTTGAAATCTCAGGTAGGGCTTCAACATTCGTGGACCAAGGACTCTGTGGGCCTGAGAGCAACAGCCTTGGTGCATGTCCCAGCTCCATCAATCCCAACTGGGGCTTTGAACAAGTTACTTATTTTTTTAACTAAAGTTATTTTAATTGACAAATCAAAATTGTACACATGTATGTGATGTTTTGATATGTGTATACAATGTGGGATGATTAGATCAAACTAATGAACACGTCCATCCCCTAATTTACTGACAATTTTCATGATGCAACATTTGAAATGTACCCACTTAGTTATTTTGAAAGATACATTATTATTTACTATAGTCACGCTACTGTGCTATAGATTTCAAAGCATATAATCCAGCAACCCAACTTCTGGATATAGACCAAAAAAAAATCAAAATCAATATGTCGAAGGGATCCCTACATTCCTATGTTCACTGCAGCACTATTCACAATACCCAAGATATAGAATCAACCTAAGTGTCCATTAGTGGATGAAAAGATAAAGCAAATGGACTATATACACACAACGGAATACTATTAACCCTTAAAAAAGAAAGAATTCCTGTCATTTTCAACAACATAGATGAATTTGAAAGACATTGTGTTAAGTGAAATAAGCCAGGCACAGAAAGACAAATACTGCATGATTTTACTTATATGTGGAATCTAAAGAAGTAGAACTCACAGAAATAGAGAGTAGGACAGTGGTTATCTGGGGATGGGGTGAAGGAAAGGGAGGGGATTGGAGACACTGGTCAAAGGGTACAAAGTTTCCAATAGGAAGAATAAGTTTTGAACAAGCTAAACTCCTCTGAAAGTTCAGTTCCTCATCTGTAGAGCAGGGACACATCATCAACCTTCTACGGATGTTGCTGTAAGAGTAAGAGATGATGTTCAACACAATACCTAACACACAGTCAGGTCTCCTTAAGCTTGAACCTGCATCCCCATGACCTCTACATCTCAGGACAGAAGGGCTCACAGCCAGTGTCTCAGTTCCCAATGAAAAGTGGATCCCAGACCAGGCTGAACAGCAGGATCCCTAGGGGATACCCCACCCTACTGAGTCAAAATCACTAGAAGTAGAGCCTGGGTATGTATGTATGTGTGTGTATATATATGTGTGTGTGTGTGTGTGTGTGTGTGTGTGTGTTTGTGTGTGTATGTATAAGAGACAGGGTCTTGCTCTCAAGTCCAGGCTGGAGTGCAGTGTCACAATCATAGTTCACTGCAGCCTCAAATTACTCCTGGCCTCAAGCCATCCTCCCATCTCAGCCTTCAGAGTAGCTGAGACTACAGGCACATGCCACCAAGCCCGGATACTTATTTTTTTTTTCTTCTTTTTGTAGAGTCTCACTCTGTTGCACAGGCTGGAGTGCAATGGTGCAATCTTGGCTCACTGCAACCTCTGTCTCCCGGGTTCAAGTAATTCTCGTGCCTCAGCCTCCTGAGTAGCTAGGATTACAGGCATGCACCACCACACCAGGCTAATTTTGCTCTTTCATTGTTGTTTCTTGTTTGTTTTTCACAAATAGGACTTCTTATTTGCTACTGTTTTAAGTCTGAACTTTAAACAGATTCTTGGACTGATGGTTCATATCCATCAGCTCATTCAACTTTAGCACGCATCTCGTCCCTAGTGGGTTTTCCAGAATCACCACCATCACCAGGAAGCTCTATTCCTTTCAAATCCAGGGTTCTCCAGCATTTTTACTTTTCTAATGAAGACATCATGGAGAGGATAGATTGGCAAGCCTTTTCTACATCTTTTCCAATGTTGTCTGGAATCAATTTATTAACCACTTCTTTCAAGTCATTTGTCTGCACCTCTCAGGTCATGATTTCCATCATCTTCTTCTGGATTTGGCAGACTGTTGGTGCTGAGCATAAGAGGTCTTCAGTATCTGATTGTTGTGTTTTTTAGTAAAACCAACACAAAACAGAAGAAAGAAGTAACCATCGGTAGTCTTGACATCAACATGAGCTTCAATTATTGTTGAACATTTTTCAACCTTGGAATATATTTTGTCACAGGTAATACCCATGCCATTGAAGTTAGTCAGGCAGCTTTTGCCCTGAACATCTTCAGTAATCAGCTTGAATTTTCTAAATGCAACTTCATCATTCTGCAAATCAGCAAGACTCATTTCAAACACTAGAAACTTGAGACCATCAGATGCAATTTGGGTTCCTTTGGTCCTGGTGACCAAGTCTTTCCAATATTTCTTATATTGAACATAGCAGGTGCTTTCACATCATACTGATCTTTCTTAGAGAATGGACCAACTACTTTCTTCTTAACTCCCTTTTTGCCACCTTTCATAAGGCACTTGTTCTTAACAACCGCCATGGTGCTGCTTAGAGTACCAAAAGGCTAAATTTTATATTTTTGGTAGAGACGGGATTTCACCATGTTGGCCAAGCTCGTCTTGAACTGATGTCAGGTGATCTGCCTGCCTCAGCCTCCCAAAGTGCTGGGATTACAGGTGTGAGCCACTGTACCCAGCTGATATTTATTTTTTCTTTTTTTGTACAGACAGGGTCTTGCCATGTTGCCAAGGCTGGCCTGGAACTCTTGGCCTCAAGCAATCCTCCCACTGCAGCCTCCCAAAGCACTGGGATTTCAGGTGTGAGCCACCATGCCCAGCCTGGAATCTATTTTTAAAGCAATCAAGTGTTGAATAAAATTGCAACTTGGGCTGTTTTTTCTTTGCATTTTTTACATTTCAATGGTTTTTAATATATTCAGAGATATACGCAAACATTACCAGTCAATTTTAGAACATTTCATGACCTCAAAAAGAAACCTCATACCATTTAGCTAACACCCCCATCCTCCCATGCCCCTACCAGCCCTAAGCAACCACTAATCGACTTCCTATTTCTATAGATTTCCATCTGAATGAAATCATGTAGAATGTGATCTTTCATCTGTTTTGAAGGTTTATCCACGCTGTAGCATATGTACATTCCTCCTTTTTGTGATCAAATAATATTCCACCATGTGTGTAGACAACAATCGGTGTCTCTCTTCATCTGGTGATGGGCATTTGGATTAATTCCCTCTTTGTGTTATTAAGAGTGATGCTACTGTAATTATTCATGTACAAATTTTTGTGTGGACCTGTGCTTTCATTTTTGAATATGAAAATATGGCACATCTCCAAGGAAGACATACAAGTGGCCAATAAGCACATGAAAAGATGCTCAATGAAATTCTTCATCAGGGAAACAGAAATCAAAACCGCAATGAGATACCACTTCACACCCATAAGGATGGCTAGAATCGAAGATAGAGAAAATTGGCCTGGTGCAGTGGCTAATGACTGTAATACCAGCACTTTGGGAGACCGAGGCAGGTGGATCACCTGAGGCCAGGAGTTTGAGACCATCCTGGCCAACATGGTGAAACCCTGTCTCTACTAAAAAAATACAAAAATTAGCCAGGCATGGTGGCAGGTGACTATAATACCAGCTACTCGGGAGGCTGAGGCAGGAGAGTAACTTGAATCTGGGAGGCAGAGGTTGCAGTGAGCTGAGATTGTGCCACTGCACTCCAGCCTGGGCTACAGAGCAAGACTTTGTCTCAAAAAAAAAAAAATACAGAAAATAACAAGTGTTGGTGAGGATGCAGAGAAACTAGAAGTTTCATACACTGCTGGTAGGAATTAAAATAGTGTAGCCACTGTGAGAAACAGTTTAACAGCTTCCCAAACAATTCTACATGGAGTTACCAAATGACCCAGCAATTGTACTTCTAGGTATAGGCCCAACTTGGGCTCTTTTAATCTATGGAAAATGAACTATCGGTACTTGGCAAGAACAAAGAGGGAGAGAGGCAGAAATGGAGCCACGAGGGCACATTGATTGGTCTGTAGTACACAGGGCTCCTACTGCAAATGGTCTCTAAATGACTTCATCAGTTGCTCATAAAAAAAAATCACCCTCTGCTCCAATCATGGAGGAAAAAGTATGGATTGGACCTGGTGAGCCACGGTAAGACTGACTGCTAAACTTCATGAATGATGAGGGGATTTGCACGTATAATCTTGACTGTACTAGATTTTTTATTTTATCCACTGTCTTTGAAAACCTAACTCTTGACTAAGAACTAACTTTCCTGTACTTGTTGTTGAGTCTAAGTAAACTTCCAATTCCACATAGTCCAAAGATGATGTGTTGAGAAATCTCTCAAAAGAAAAATGCTAAGAATACAGGCAGAGTTATGCGGCAAGTTTTGCAGAATTAACACAAATTGTATTGTAGGTATGAAGCACAGAACATTTTCATGGGTAAAGAAAAAAGTGTTCTTCATTCTAGTAGACACTGCAGGATGAGGCCGATCAAGGTCCTTGCCCAGCCAGACCTTGGGCTCTTACCTAATTTGTGTTAGAGTCAACCCTGATGGAGTCTGTATCTCAGTCATCTTTTTTTTTGACATGGAATCTCACTGTCTCCCAGGCTGGAATGCAGCGGTGTGATCTCAGCTCACTGCAACATCTGCCTCCTGGGTTCAAGCGATTCTCCTGCCTCAGCTTCCCAAGTAGATGGGACTACATATGCATGCCACCATGCCTGGCTAATTTTTGTACTTTTAGTAGAGACGTTTCATCATGTTGGCCAGGCTGTGCTCAAACTCCTGCCCTCAAGTGATCCGCCTGCCTTGGCCTCCCAAAGTGCTGGGATTACAGGCATGAGCCACCATGTCCGATCTCAGTCATCTTTTTATCCTCCATACCTGGCAAGTTCTAGACACACTGTGGTTCCATACAAGTTTGTTGAATAAATAGGAGACAGATAGAAAGTGGGAACTCTGCAAGTAGAGAAGATTCCAGAAATTGTGCATATTTCCCAGAGACTGTGGCCCAATTCCTCAGTCCTGCCAGAGTTTCTCTATCTCAACTCAAACCTTATGTGTGGGCCCAGGCGCAGTGGCTCACACCTGTAATCCCAACAATTTAGGAGGCTGAGGTGCGCAGATCACTTGAGGCCAGGAGTTTGAAACCAGCCTGGCCAACATGGTGAAACCCCCTCTCTACTAAAAATACAAAAATTACCCAGGCATGGTGGTGTGCACCTGTAGTCCCTGCTACTCGGGGGGCTGAGGCACAAGCATTGCTTGAACCCAGGAGGCGGAGGTTGCAGTGAGTCACGATTATGCCACTGTATTCTAGCCTAGGCAATAAAGCAAGACTGTCCCAAAAGAAAAAAAAAAAAACCCTTAAGTGTGGGCCTTGTTACAGAATTAACGTTTATATGGACAATATGTACATGGGTGTATGTTAAGAGCATGAGTCATCCACAAGATTTTAGCAAAGTCCATTTAGAAAGCTCAATGCTTTGGGCTTCCACTTGCTTTGCTGCCTCTGTCCTCAGAAGGAGGCTTCATCCTTCCATATAATCAGCAAATCCTTTATGCAGAGATGTACACAACACACTCCTATCCTTGGCTATGACACCTTGAAAGGGTCCTCTTGGTGTCCCCTGGTGCTCATTTCAGAGTAGTTCAAATTAAGGTGATCAGCTTTCATGCCAATCACTCTACAAATCACTCCTATTATGACCAATTTTTCTAAATGGTTTATTGAATTATTACTTAAAGAAATGTGCACATAGAAGAGGTCAACACAGTACTTTTCTTACAAACTGAACATACTGGCCAGACGCAGTGGCTCATGCCTATCATCCCAGCACTTTGGGAGGCCGAGGTGAGCAGATTGCTTGAGCCCAGGAGCTCAAGACCAGCCTGGGCAACATAGTGATACACCCCTCTCTACAAAAAATAAATAAATACAAAAATTCAGCAACAGTGATGGCACATGCCTGTAGTTCCAGCTATTCAGGAGGGCTGAGGTGGGAGGACTGCTTGAGCCCAGGAGGCAGAGGCTGCAGTGGGCCATGACGGTGCCACTGTTCTCCAGCCTCGGTGACAGAGCAAGATCCTGCCTCAAAAAAACAACAACAACAACAACAAAAAACTGAACATCTCCATATTACTGACACCCAATTCAAGAAACAAAATATTACAGCCCCTTCCAGGATATTCCTGGGGTCTTTTCCATCTCTACTAACCCCTGACTACAAACAGCCTCCACCTATTTCACCTGACATTGTACTTTATGAAAGCAGCAGTTCTCAGATGGGGCTATTTTGTCCCCTGGGGACATTAGGCAATATCTAGAGACACTGGGGTTTGTCTCTACTTGGGGGGAGTTGTGTTACTGCATCCAGTGAGTCCAGGGATCCAGGGATGCCGCTCAACATCCTGAAATGCACAGGGAACCCCCACACATAAAACAGAGAAACTGCTGAGCCAAAATGCCAGCAGTGTCACAGCTAACACCCTGACATACACACTATCACACAGTATCTGCTCTTTTGTGCTCAGGATCTCTTTCATTCTAATCATCTCATAGGAAACAGAAATGTTATTAGGAGGTAGGTAGAGTCCAAAACAAAGAAGATCCAGAGTTTTTTTTTTTTTTTTTTTTTTTTTTAATCAGCCTGGTGCCTTTAGAGCTAGGATTTAGTTTCCATTCTTTCTATCTCATTTTCAAGTGATTTTTCTTCAAATGGCATCTGCTGGGCTCAAGATCCGGAAATCCCCACAAAGCTGAGATTCACATGGGAATTTTGTACACACCCACACAGGTATACGCTGCCATTTGCATGCAGACATCTACCCACAGATACACACATCCGGAGACCAAGACAGAAAGCAAACTCCAACATAAAAGCACGGTTTCCCGAACTGGAGAAACCCACCATTCACTCCAGGGAGGTACCTATTTGTTTAATTCAGCCTCTGATAGTCAGGCTGTTGCCAAGCGCAGTTCTGAAACTCTTCCCTTCTAGGAAAGAGAGATGGATTTTTTTCTTTACTCAAGAATATAGATCTAAAAAAAGCAAACACTTCTGCATCTCAAAGCAGGCTCTACCTCCTGAGCTACACATATTGATCAGCATTTTATTGTCAACTTTCTTTTATTTGAATTGGAGAAAAATATAACTTAATTATGTTCTTACTGACAGTTTGGAATCAGGTACACTAAATCCAATTCTCTGGGTTCTCGTGATTAATGTGTTTAATTTGGGGGACAACAAAGCAAAAGCATTGGTCGTGTTTTAATATAATTAATACAGGATATATCTAAGGGGTTCAAGTATCACTGTAGCAAGAAGCTCATTCTGCAGTAAAAGGCAGGTTCTGCCACTAGGATTGAGTTAGGGTGGTTCATGGCTGCACCGTTTTATCAATGTCTCTTCAAGAGTCCATGGAATGTGGAATGGGAAAGACTGAAATAGTCCAAGTCTTGGCTAAGCTTCTATTAAGGGGTGTTAGGAGCTGATAAAATAACCTGGTCTTTAAAGACATCCCACACAGTAGTTCTCTAAGCTACAGATTCTCAGATTTTTCTATTTTATAAACGGGTAAAATTTGTTTTTTTTAATTTGAGAACCAACATAAGGTTGCTATTTTCTTTTTCTTTTTGGTAAGAAGGAAATTTTTTAAACTACCAGTTACACACACAAACACACACACACACACACACACACACACACACACGGAATTTCCACCATGATTGGTCAGAATAGGTGAGGTTTTGCTGCAATAACAAACAACTCCTAAATCTTGGTAACTTCAAACATCAGAAGTTGTGTTTCTTACTCATGCTACATCTGCAGGGAGGTGTGGGGTGCTCTGTTTCCCATCAAACTTTCCCTAAGACTAAGGCTAATGGGGGTTGCAATACCTCGAGTATCACCAAGCAGGGAACAGAGGGAGAAGAATGCTAGAGAGCCTTGTACTAAGAATTAAATGCTTCGGGCTAGAAGTCTAACACTGCACTTCTGCCCCCAGCCTCTTGGCCAGTACTAGCCACATCCCTTCCCCCACCACACTGCAATGCATGGAGACAGGAGAATTGGATACATTACAAATTTCTACCCCATGGCATTTCATAAAAGAGAAAAAAATGCAAATACAAAAATGTTTTAATAGAATAGAATATATACATTTTTAGAATAAAGAAAAATCCTCCAAAAAGGACAGCTGGTGGTCTTTCACCAATGGGCACATTTCTGTGACATTTTCTCTGTTTTTCCATTTTATCCTTGACCTATGAATATTTTATACAGATGGTCCAAAGAACACAATTTGGGAACCACTGCTCTTATCAGGTGATGAAAACGGCCCCAAGAACAGAGCAGAGTCTCTTTAGCAAAGACCCAGCAGGGCCAGGGTGACCACGTTCTCACCATCAATGTGCAGACATCCACCTGCAGCATACTTACATACCAACATCAAACAGTGGCTCTTTATAGCTTGATTCTAATGCCCTTTGATCTTCATACTCATTGTAAAGCTCTCTGGCCCCAAGATCTAACATCGCCACTCTAGCTACGTCCTGCAACTGTTCACCTCTCCTGACTCCTCATCCCTCTAAACTTCTCTTCACAACCTCATGTTTCCTTCTTGCTATACATTCCTGCTCAGCCTGGACTTAACAGATACCTTCCTCTTGTAATGTGCTCCTAAACGCGTTCTTCCCTGCCTTCAACCACACCCACCTGGAAAATCTCCATACCCCATTGATGACTTGCCTCGCAACTGACCAAGGGCTGCTGAATGATACTGGAAAGAATCACAACAGGGATCTCGTAGTTCCACTAAATAATCTCACCGTCCAACTCTAGGAAAGACTTCACTTCTGTTCAGCAATATTTTTAAGCATCGCAAATAAATTCCAAACCATATTTGCCATAACAATTGACTTTAAGCCTCTTCCATATCTCAAAAACCCCCAAACCCATCCCTAGGGGTGAAAAGAGCCCAGAGCTGAGTTCTCTCAACTCACTTCCATCTCACCCCTAGATCACTGTATCTTGACCCTCTTCCTCTGCCTTTCCCATCTTATAAGGAGAAACATCCTTCTCCTTTCCCAAGCTACCTTCCCCACTTGTGCCTCATTTGAGACCTCCCTTTATCACCCGTTCCCTTGGAACTCCCATGACTCACCACCTTCACTTGTCATTTCACTCATAAATATTTTGCACCATGTATGTGCCAGGCATTTAACATATAGTCATGCTTAAGTCTCCACATGCTAATAAGAAAAACCTTGATTATCCCTGCTATGCCCTCAAGTCATTACCCTCCCCGCTCCTTTCCTGTGTTCCCAAACTTTGTTGATCTTCATCAATCCCTCTGATGCAGATGGCTCCGAAGTTTGCATCCTATTAGGTTTGTGCAAAAGTAATTGCGGATTTTGCCATTAAAAGTAATGGCAAAAATAGCAATTATTTTTGTACCAGCCTAGTATCTTTTCTCCTTCTACCAAACTTTGTCCCTGAGCCATCTCATCACCTATAACTACCTCCTCCATGCAGTTGATTCCCAGATCTGTATTATTCTACTGAAAGTCCATTCCCCAGCTTTCTCAGCTAGAATAACAGAAGCCCAATTAGAATTCATGATAACAGTTTCCCACCACCACCACCACCACCACCTTCGCCCTGCCATTGTTAGCAAAACCATCTCTTGAGTGGAGCTCAAAGATTTGTAATCTCCCACTCCCCAGAAAGATAACTTCAGACTCAGCCTAGAAGTAAAGATCCTCCAGATATGGCCTCAACTACCCTCCAACCCATGTCCCCAGTGCATCCCTTTGATGCCCCCTTCAGTGGAGTTAAAATGGAGTGAGTGTTTTTCTTTTCACATACTCCTGGTGTTCTTCCACAAATACAATTTTCACCTCTTGAATATTTTCAAAGATTCTTCATGCTACACACAGTGAAATCCAAACTCCCCATCAAGACCCCCGTCTTCCCAAACCCTCTTTGCAGTTTTCTGCCTCCACGCTTTTCCTTGGGTCATCCTCTTCTCTAATGTAACCTTGTGTATTACTCTAAGTTCTCCAGAGAAAGAGCAGAGAGATAGAGGTAGATCTATACACATAGAGACAGATTGATTTGTTGTAAAGGATGGCTCACATGGTTATGGAGGCTAAGGAGTCCTGGAGTCTGCAGCCAGCAAGCTGGGGACCCAAGACAGCCAATGATATTGTTCCAACTCGAGTCCACATCTAAAGTCAGGAGAAGATTGATGTCCCAGCTCAAATATAATCAGGTAAAAAGAGCAAATTCTCTCTGACTCTACCTTTTTGTTTTGTTCAGGCCTTCAGTGGAATGGATGAGGCTCACCCATATTGGGGAGGACAATCTGCTTTATTCAGTCTACCAATTAAATGTTATCCTCATCCAGAATACCTCAGAGACACACCCAGAATAATGTGTAACCAAATATCTGGGCACCCCACAACCCAGTCAAATTGATACATACCGTTAACCATCATGTCTTGCTTCTACTCTCTCCCCATTACTGGATGGCCAAATCCTTCCCTTATTTCAAGGCTTAGTTCAAATGTTACCTCTTAACTAAGCCTTCCCTGCTAACCCCAAATATTAATAGAATTGGTTTCCCCCTTCTCTGATATCTCAAAATATGTTGTGTGTTTCTCTTTTACTGTATTTATTACAAACTCCCTTATAAATGAAGACAGTGATTCCCAGACAAATTATCACAAGAGTATAAAAGAAGTCTTCTTTGAGTGTGAAATATCTCATGGAATATAGCACATGGCCTCTTCATGAAGAAACTACTGGGAGAGAAAAAGACAAGCTGGAAGAGGCCAGGGAGAGGGGGTCAGTACAAAGCACAATGAGGCTGGGCTCATACAGTTGCTCACACCTGTAATCCTAGCACTCTGGGAGGCCAAGGCCAGTGGATCACGAGGTCAGGAGATCGAGACCATCGTGGCTAACATAGTGAAATCCCGTCTCTACTAAAAATACAAAAAAGTTAGCCAGGCGTGGAGGTAGGCCCCTGTAGTCCCAGCTACTCGGGAGGCTGAGGCAGGAGAATGGTGTGAACCCGGCAGGCAGAGCTTGCAGTGAGCCAAGATCGCACCACTGCACTCAAGCCTGGGTGACAGAGCAAGACTCCATGTCAAAAAAAAAAAAAAAAAAAAGCACAGTGAAATGTCAGTGGATGGGTGCCTATAATTTCTAAGGGAAATAGAGTATAATCCAAGAATTTTATAGCCAGCTAAATTATTGCCCAATCAAAATAGGCAATAGACACTATCACAAGTTCAAGAACTTAAAGAATACAGTATTTCTGAGCTCTTTTAAAAAAAAAAGTCTTCATAATAAAATTTAGTCAGCCAAGAAATTAAAAAATAAGCAACTTGTGAATTGAATGACCATGACAAAAGGCTAGTGATGAGAGGTGAATCCATTTAAAAATAGGACTATGAGTGCAGAACAGAAAGAAAAGGTGGCCCACCTTAACAACACAAAACAACCTAGAAATCACTAGTTTCCAGAGGTAAAGGGAGGGACTGTAGGAAGTAGAAGTGCTAATGCCCTTTATTTAGTCAATTAATCAGGTGTAAAATTGAAACGTGGTTTTAAATATATAACTTCTTGTTTATTTTCCTCCCTAACTACCTGAGGATCAACCACCATGATGAATGACACAGCAACTATCTGGACCAGGAAGTTCATGACCAATCGACCGCTCCAGAGGAAACAAATGGTCACCAATGTCCTTCACCCCAGAAAGGCAACAAAATGTACAAGACCACAATGGATGTCATCTTCATGTTAACAGTTGGACACAGAACCCATGTTGGTGGTGGTTAAACAATCGTCATCCACATTGGAGTGCAGTGGTACGATCTCAGCTCACCAAATCTCTGCCTCCCAGGCTTAAGCAATTCTCCTTCCTCAGCCTCCCACGTAGCTGGGATTACAGGCAAGCACCACTACTGCCTGGCTAATTTTTATATTTTTAGTAGAGATGGGGTTTCACCTTGTTGGCCAGGCTGGTCTTGAACTCCTGACCTCAAATGATCCACCCGCCTTGGCCTCCCAAAGTGCTAAGATTACAGGCATGAGCCACCGCGCCCAGCCTTTTCTGTATTAAATTTTTAAAAACACAACATTTAAAATAATCAAGTCATTCTTTTTCAATCTACTTTGTATTATAGGTATTCAAATACTCACCTATTCTCCCTCACATGATGACAAACTCGTTGAAATGTCATATCATTTTGTGGCTCCAGCCCCAGGGATTCTGACTCTGATTCTAAAGGGCCTGCATGCAGACCGAGCAAGCCCCCTGGATGCTTCTCTTACAGGTGTTTTAAGGGCAGCAGTTTGACACACCCTGATGCAAAAGAACGAACCCTCAAGGAAGTTGGCTGTACATGTATTTTCCTTCCTAGCACAGGAAACGACAGAAAGATTATCCAATCAGTACCACTCATAGCACCTGATTATATGTGTATGAGGAATTCAGAAATGGTTTGATCAAGGTTCAAGACCTAAAAAGAAGCTTTTCTCTCGGCCACCAAATCCCCATCTCATGCGTGGTTGAGTTAGCAGAAACTGAGGATGATGCTTCTTCCTCCAGCATTGGTATCCTATGGTTTTTGTTGTTCAGTAAATGAAGTAACTCCATCCCCCAACATCCTCAAGCTCAATTCCAGTTTTCTCACGTACACTTTTTTTTTTTTTTTTTTTTTTTTTTGAGACAGAGTCTCGCTCTGTCACCCAGGCTGGAATGCTGTGCAGTGGTGCAACCTCAGCTCACTGCAACCTCCACCTCCCAGGTTCAAGTGACTCTCCTGCCTCGGCCTCCTGAATAGCTGGCATTACAGGCATGCACCATCATGCCTGGCTAATTTTTGTATTTTTTAGTAGAGATGAGGTTTCATCATGTAGTCCAGGCTTTTCTCAAACTCTCAGCCTCAAGTGATCCAACTACCTCAGCCTCCCTAGTGCTAAGATTACAGGTGTGAGCCACCGTGCCCAGCCCCCTCATGTACACTTTTACAGAAGATCTGATCATACCCACTCTGAAGAAGTCAGAATGGCCCCCACGTGGTGTTAAACGGGAGTGAAAACTTGAGTTCAATCAACTGAGGGTGACACAGAAACATTTCCCCCAAAACGCTTTTGGCAGCTCTGCTGATCCATAACCTGGCTCCATTTCAGGGCAAGACCTCCACTTAAGCTGCACTGGCTTCCACTAGAGTAAATCACATTAACTCATGGCAAACACAACTGAAGGGCAAAAAGTTTCTTTTTAAAATGATTTTTGTCTCTCACTTACCAACACACGCTGGCCTCCCTAGAGCCGGACTCCATTCAGCACCTGTTCCACTGAGCACCCACTGAAAGCTCAGCTCATGAGCTGAGATGACCCAGACATCAAGGAGTTTACAATCCAGGGGAAGAACAGACCTGAATACAAGTGATGACAATACAAGACAGAGTCAAAGAGCCCAACTTGAAGTATCAGCAGAATAGCACCAAAGACTAGTTCCCAACCCAGCTCCCAGCGCCAGAGCCAGAGCCAGGCTGTCTGCATGGGATCAGCTGGGAGATTTTGCAAACCTAGGTCCTAGCTGAGACCCTAATCATCAGGCTGGCAGTCACTGGGAGTGAGCTTCAGGAACTGGTTTATTTAATAAGCACCCACACACACATGATTCTGATGTTCCTAAGGGTTGTAGAAACATGGAAGTATAGAAAACACTAAAAAAAAAAGGCACTAAAAGAAACCTATAAATATTCACTACCATTCCAGGCATCATGAGGACACTCCACGTGCACTCTTTACAATACTTAGAATAACCTGCAAGGGAAGCATTCATTCATGACGATGGGCTTTAGTGAGATCAGAGCCAGCCCTGGGAATGTTTGAACCTGCGCTGAAAGTCACCCCCTCCTCCCCACAGGAGGAGGCTAACATTAAGGAGCAGGGGCCAGATAGGAAATGGAGTGTCCTTTTATTATGAGACCACAGTGACAGACTTTATTTTTTTTTTCCAGAGTCTCGTTCTTTCCACCCAGGCTGGCCTCCAGTGGTGCAATCTCAGCTCACTGCAACTTCCGCCTCCCGGGTTCAAGTGATTCTCCTGCCTCAGCCTCCCGAGTAGCTGGGACTATAGGCACCCGCCACCACACCTGGCTAATTTTTGTATTTTTATTAGAGACAGGGTTTCACCATGTTGGTCAGGATGGTCTTGATCTCTTGACCTTATGATCCGCCTACCTTGGCCTCCCAAAGTGCTGGGATTACAGATGTGAACCACCACGTCTAGCGTCAGACTTTCAAGTAAAGCCACAATGGACCACAGAACTTAGACATCAGGGCTAACATGGAATCTCTGTCATTAAATCTTGAGATCTTATTTTCTTTGGTCAAAGAAAAAAATAATCACAATTGACATTTTGAGGACAAGACATCTGAATGTAAACTTGATCTTAGAGGATATTAAGGAATTACTGCTAATTTGATTAGGTATGACAATGATCATATAAAAAATGCCCTCATGTTTTTAGAGGGAAAGTAAATTATGTAGCGGTGAATATCAGGATGCAATTAAATAACTACTGTAAACTATTTTGTAAATACTTCAGAAAAACAAATGGAGTAAATATTGCAAATGTTAATAGTTTTTAAATCTATGTGATGGGTATATGATAGCTCATTAAACTGGTGTCTCTACTTTTATGTTTATTGAAAAGTTTTCGTAATAACAATAAAAAAAAAAAAAAACCTCGGCCAGGCACAGCAGCTCATGCCTGTAATCTCAGCACTTTGGGAGGCTGAGGTGGATGGAGGACTGCTTGAGCCCAGCAGTTTGAGACCAGCCTAGACAACATGGTGAAACCTCATCTCTACAAAAAATAGACAAATTAGTCAGGCATGGTGGTGTACACCTGCAGTCCCAGCTACTCAGGAGGTTGAGGTGGGAGGATCACCCGAGCCCAGAAGGTCAAGGCTGCAGTGAGCCAAGGTCATGCCACTGCACTTCAGCCTGGGCGACAGACCCTGTCTCAAACAAACAAGCAAGCAAACAAAAACCGTCTTGATCCCATTTCCCAAAAAAATGATTTTTTTGAGATCTTACCATCTCCTGGCTTGGTGCAGAGTACAGGAAATCAAGACAAAGTACAGCACACAAGGAATAAGGAGGGAGGGAAGCGTGGGGGAGGCTGACACCGTGGACTCTCCCAGCTCAGTCGACCCATGCGTCTTGCTTCATGGAAGAAAGGAATGGAAGATGAATCATGCCTTCAGCACACAGTGAACTTCCTCACTAGTAAATGTGCCTCCAGAAGTGTCCAAGAACTCAGTGCCAGAGCCAGGCTGGCTGCATGAGAATCACCTGCGAGTTTTTGCAAACATAGACCCCTACTGGCTCCAAATGTATTCATCTCTTGGAGAGGAGGAGAGAGGCAGAACAAGGAAAAGGATGGGAAGAAACCAGCCTTGTGCACAGGAGGATGCTGGGATTCCTCCTGCAAGTTTAGCGCAATGCACCCTATTTTACAAGGTCACAGAAGCTCAGAGATGTAAAACTGCCCAGGTTCTCATAGCTTGTAAGTGGTAAAACCCGCCCAAGTCTCTGTCTCTAGAGATATTTCCACTTGCTTCAACTCTGGAGCTGTCTTAGTTGTAAAGATGACAGATTCCACTCCTCACTCACTTTTGTTAGCAGATATTGCCTAAGGTCCCTTGTGAATATTTAGGTCAGGGCTTTTTTTTTGAGTTTTTTGTTTGTTTGTT